>NC_000004.12:98315320-98618350 GCF_000001405.40 Homo sapiens | reverse complement strand
CACAGTGCCTTAGGTCTGAGGTATTAGTACATTAATAGTGTGATTATTCCTACTTTGTCTTTGTTTTATACTGGTGACTTTTTTTTTTTGAAAAGCATTTATTAAAGAATAAATATAAATTGAAAAGGGGAAATGGTCCAGAATTCTAGGACTTTAGAAAATTGAATGCACTTTTCTACATTTTTCTAACATCTGTGGGAGTTAAAGCTGCCAGATAGAATGCATGGACCTGTTTGCTTCAGGATGTTTGATTTAAAACAGTGGTTCTTCCCTTTCCGGACAGGGTCAGAATGACCTGGGTTCTCTCCAAGGTTGTGTACAAGAGCTCCACACCTTCTGTTCAGAAGACCAAGGACAGTGGCAGATGCCATGGCCTGTTGTGAAGTGAAGTTGGAGGAGGGAGAATTCTAGAACAGATGGTTTCTTGGATATCTGGGGCCTGTCCAGCTCTAGCTTTGAAAATGATGGGCCAGACCTTGAACTGGCATGGATACAGGCTTAAGTGCCAGAACAGGAAGTGAGGTCCTAGGGTGATGTCTTTGGGGCAGCTGCTGCTACTCAGCTGGTGGGCTGGCACCGCTAGCTTTGGCTTCCTATGGTTTGGTGAGGTGATTGTGTGTGGTACAATAACAACAGTGAGGTGGGAAACTGGGCCTGCAATCTGAGAAGGCCATAACCACTTTGGAGCTGTTGGCCTATTTTAGAAGGGGTGTCAGCTACTGTGCCTTGCAGGACATGTGCTACCTTTGGCATGACGGAAATGCATGAATGTGGGAGCCAAGGATACATGCATCCCCTACACTGATCAGCCTGAGTTCTGGCTTGTGTAGAGCAGTAAGCAGTGCTTTGTGGGAGGGCTTGGCTGTCCCCTTTGACATTAGCCTCCAAAGACTAGGAGCTTATCACAGACTTTGCTAACATCCTCTGATACCTTTTTGGAATAATTAAATCATTCTTGGCTAGGTTCTGCTGTTTGTCCTGCCTCTCACTAGCTGGGTGTCCTTGGGCGAATTACTTAATCTCTCTGTGCCTAGCTTTCTTTATGTATAAAATGAAGAGGCCAGACTAGATGATACCATAGATGTGAGATGATCTCTGATGTCCAAATCTGATTAAATAATTTTTAGGTATACATGTATTTTGGTATTTGCTTTTTTTGAATAGTGAGTCCCACAAATATTACTTCTGTGTAAGTGACACCTACACCCTTTCTTTTGTTCATAAATTCTTTCTTAAAGATTTCTGTGAGCTCTAATCCCAGTATTTTGGGAGGCCAAGGCAGGTGATTGTTTGAGCTCAGGAGTTCAAGACTAGACTGGGCAACATGGTGAAACCCAGTCTCTACAAAAAATAAAAAGAATTAGCCAGGCATGGTGGTGCACACTTGTAGTCCCAGCTACTCGGGAGGTCGAGGTGGGAGGATGGCTTGAGCCCAGTAGGTCAAGGCTGCAGAGCAAGACTCTGTTTCCAAAAAAAAAAAAATTTACGTGGAGCTTCTCAATATCTAGTATTCAAGAATTTGGAAATTGGAGTGTATCGTTATTTTATGGAGAGAAGGACCCATTAATTCCCTCTCTCGTAAATGATCTTGTCCCATTTGTTGTTGGAACAATACTGGTTGCAACTGTTGTTTGAGAGGCAAAGTATGAAAAGCATGGTGTCGAATTATAGAAACATATTATTACAGTGGCACTAGAGGCTCTTCATACTAAGAGGAGGAGATTGAGGCCCAAAAATGTTTCAGGGTGAGTCTGAGGCTGTGCGCTATGCTCCCCTTGAGAGTGGAGGCTGTGCTTTGTTCATCTTGCCATCCAGCGCCTCTTGGGCTGGTTTTGTTTTATTTTGTTTTGTTTTGTTTTTAAACAGCTCTTGTCAGAGTGACACTAGGTAAAGATCTCTCTTTAACTTCCCCTTGACCTGTTCGATGCTGAAATGCCGTCACCCATATTTCTAAGCATTATTTCAAGGTAGCACAAACTCCAGGAGCCGTGGGTTTCCTTTTCAGCATGGTCTGTGTAAACATGGGCTGTTTCTCAGAGGCTGGGCTGAGGCCCCAGAAGTTTTCTTCATAAGGGGTCACCTCTTACCTCTGCCCCTACAATTCCTTTTCTATGAGGTTTTAATCTCCAAGAGGGAAGCAGAGGTATGGTTCTGAGGAGTGATGTGGATTCTGGGGAATGCAAGGGAAGCAAGGGCCAAGTGGGTTGAGCTAACGTGGGGACTGAGAAACCATAGTGAGGGAAAAGGACAAGCAGAAGGAAGGGCCTTGTAGAACCACCTAGTGCTTGGATAAGATTCTTCTGCAGAGCCCTGGGAAATTGGAAACACTCTCCGGGGTGGTGTGTGCACTGGCAGTTGAATCTTAGCATCTTCGTTGTTTCCTTTTGATTTCACTTGTTCTGCTTCTTCTCTTGCTGTAGTTGCCACGTGCCCTGACATTTCGCAGAACTTTGTTGCCATCCATCCAGATTTGGCCATTTCTCCTTTAATTCCACCTGTTGCCCCTCATTGTAAGTGTGACACACTTATCTTCTTTGGTTTATTCTAAGGCATTAACTAAACATGTCTGAAATTCCGACGAGTCTAAGAATCAATATGTGTGTGTGTATACAAAAAGTAATTCTGCCTCAGCCTCCTGAGTAGCTGGGATTACAGGCATACATTACCACGCCCTGCTAATTTTGGTATTTTTAGTAGAGACAGGGTTTCGCCACGTTGGCCAGGCTGGTCTTGAACTCCTGACCTCAAGTGATCTGCCTGCCTTGGCCTCCCAAAGTGCTAGAATTACAGGCATGAGCCACCATGCGCCCGGCCATCAACGTCTGTGTTTAATGCCAGGTTTTTTCTTTTCCCTAAAAGCATTGTTCGGAAATCTCTGCATTTGAGAATCTAGAAATAATGATAGTCAAACACGGGACATTTTTAGTGAAGAGAAGCTGAGTGATTGAGAACAAAATGATTGGAAAGAAGGGGCGATGACAACCTTAAAGGTGGGAACAATTTGCTAAGAGAGAGGGAAAAGTACTGTATTGTCATTGTCCCTGAGGTTTCCAGGCTTGTGTGAATTTTGAACAGGGGCAGCCTGTCCAGTTGTAGGAAGGTTGTGGCATTAGGCTCTCTTGGTCCCAAGGCACAAAAACTCTGTAGCAGGGGTTTTCATAGCAGGTTACACGTGGCAAGGCAGATGGGAATCTTGAGAATATCTGAGGATATGAACTGTGGCTGGGCCACACAGGTATGGGCTGTCACGTGGTTCCCGATCCAAGGCAGCACTGGGGGGTTGGTGACTCTTTCCTCCTTGAAATTTCTGCTACGGTGACTGTGATGATCCTAGCTAGTTGGCATCATCTCTGTTGAAGTAGACACTTGAATTAAATATGTTGCCCTATGTTGTTGGCCAATAGGGCATAGTGTATATATCAGGGAGGATGGCAGCAGCTGTTGGCTGCGATGGCATTTAGCTTGGGCCTGACATTCATGAAGGGCCTCAGATTTATTACTTCATGTTGTCTCCACATGAACTTGTACGTTTAGTCACAGAGACAAACTGGCAGGATTGAAAGAAGATGGCATTCGTCATCCAGATTTAAATATGTTTCTCATTAATAGACATTCTGCCTGTAGTGCACTATGAATTAATACATTTTATAAATCTTGTAACTGCCTTATGAAGAGCATAATTAGTTATAAGTGTTTGGATGTTAGAAATGTTAATTTGTTCAATATAGGCGTTAAAATGTTTTGTCATTTTCTTATTTTTAATGTTATTGGGAACTTTAAAAAACAAGAGTGGCTCAAGCCCCTCTTGACCTCTTGGAAGGCCCTGCTGAGCTGGGTTTGCATCGGCTGTTCTGGGTCATATGTTCACTTTGGGTCCAGTTGGCTGGGCCTAGGGTTTCACAAGGTGTGGAAACCTTTGTCCCCCATATGTAAAATAGCCTGGCTCCATTTCTGTCAGAAATGCAGCCCACTCTACCCGCCACAGCCCAGGCAAGGGGATGGAGCTGGGTCAGTGGGTGTGACAGGCTGATGACGGAATTGAAGAGGGGGAGCCTGTGAGTCTGACTTACGGGACTAAAGAATAAGGCCCCAGGCAGAATTCTTGATTTAGACATAAGACTCCAAAGTTTTAGGCAGTTCATTTCAGTTTTCTGCATCTACACTTATAAACTACAGATGAATAACACCAAATGACTTTTGAAAACTCTGAAGACTGTAAAACTCATTTGTGCTTTGAGATACCAAGCCACTGCTAAACTACTTTCTTGAAAATGAAATCATTGTTTAGGCAGTTGGTGGTTGTTTGGAAAAATTTCAGAGTGAAGGGCTCTAGGAGAAAAAGAGTTCCAGAAATAAGGAGAGGATAAAGTGATGCAAGGGACCATTTAGCCGGCTAGATAAAGGCTGGAAGTGATAATTGGTTGTGCTTAGGGAGGGATAAAATTGGAAAGCAATGTCAAAATGCAGCGTGAGTCATTTTGGGGGGGGAATCTTTGAAATGAAAAACTGGTATTTAGTAGTAACAGCGACCATGCATTTTAAAATCCATCAACCAGCATCTCTATTCCCCACCCTCAATATCAACCTGTAATAATTTATGCTGTAACCACCACCGAGAGATAGCTTAGGACTGGATTACATCAGTCACTTTTTTTTTTCTTGGTTGTATGGCAGATATTTTGATGTTTACAATAGGGACTAGAGAATTTTATGGGGAAAGGTTGGCATATTAACAGTCATTGAAGTAAGCAGTCTGGGACCCTGTTGTGTTATAAGGGAAGGGATTTTGGACCTTGGTGTTTTGCAGAGGCCATATTTGCATAATTAGAGAGCACAGGATTATGGGTAAAATGGTTGCAACTACTAAACTAGCCTAGTTTATATGGATTCTTGTTCATTTGCAAAATACCTTTTCTGTGTGCTTGTTGAAACCATAATATCCTGGGTAGGTTTTATTACAATAACTTATGGTCTAGTAAACATATCTGGAAATACCATAAGAGAAAGCATAGGCAACATTTGTAAGCCTGCTGCTTTATGAAGAGATTGTGCTTATCAGAAATTGTAGCATTACTGTAAATTTTTTCTTTCATATGGAGTGATTTACTTGGTATTTCAGTATATTAATTTGCTAGGAAAATGTCAAGTTAGTACTTCTCTCAAAAGGGCATTGTGCATCTGAATCACCCGTGGAATTAAAAAAAAAAAAAAAAAGGTTTTGCCCTCAACCCAGATGTGTTGTGACTTAATCTCCAGTTCTGGGCCTGGGCACCCATCTAAAATGGTGAAGAGGACAGAAATGATTCTTGACTTCTTGGTGTGTACGTCTGTGAGGAAGCCAGATGATAAACACTGCAGGGGGAAAAAACCATAATTGTAAATTGTGATAAGTGCTACGGTGAAAAAATAAAACACGGGGTAAGAGACTGGCAGAAAGAATGTAGTTTTGATGGGCGGGAAGGCCGCTCTGAGGAAGTGAGACCGCAGCTGAAAACTCAGGGATGGAGAGGTTAGCCCTGTGGGGGGAGGGAGGAAGGAGCATTTCAGGCTGAGGGGACAGAGTAAGGGAGGCCTGATGTGGAGAGGGCTTGGTGGGTTTGAAGAGCTGAGATGATTGGGACTTGTGGCCAGAGATAGGGGAGCGGGGGGAGCCCCGCGGGGAGCGGGAGAGGATGGTGCTCCTGGCAGAGATGGCAGGTGGCCTGCTGTTTCTATTCTGTGCTCCTTAGTGTCTTGGTTATGAAATGACTTGCCAAAATGTCCCTTTAAAAGAAAAGGGGTCCTTGCCAGTTACAGCAGTGTCACTGTTTAGGTCTGCTAAGCAAATTCTAGGGTGTCTGATGGCTTTGTGTTGGGAGTTGTAAATGGATTTCATTTGAGAACATGACAAGAACTGAAAGATTAGTTTAAGCAAAAGAATTTAATTGAAGGATACATCATTGTTCTTGTAAATCCTTTGATATTTGGCTGTTGTCTTCCAGCCTTTTCATTCCCTGCATCCTGTCTGCTGCTTGCAGGACTGGGCTGTAAGCCTTCATTCACCTACAACCCTTTTGTATTGCTTGGAACTTGCTTGCTTCTTCCTCCTGCTCCTCTTGTTCCCCACTCCTCTTCTCCCTTCACCTCCCCATCCTCCTCCCCCTCCTCTTCCTCCTGCTTCTCATCTCTTCAGATGGAAGAGAGATGGGAAAGAGCATTCACTTAGTTATTCTTTGGAATAAAATATACGTCAGTTTCCAGCGAGGGAATTCTGGCAGATTTACTGACAGGTGACAGTGTCTGTGTAGAATTAGGATTCCTAGGAAACATTAGTTCTAACTACATTATTGATAACAATGCCATGTGCATTGTAAATTTGGGACCAGGCCCTGCATGCAGTTGTGTGGTGGTTCCCTACACAAGGGCTCCTGGCTGAAGGGCAAATGAGGGTGGAATCCACTGAAATGCAGCCCACTCGCCACCCTCCACGGCCCAGGCCAGGGGATGGAGCTGGGTCAGTCTGGAGGAAGAGGGTGTTCTTTTCTGTTTCTTACGCAAGCAAATCACCAGGCCCATTTCTTGACTCCTTCAGAGGTGCCAAAAGGGCTGGTGATAGCCCTGCCTGGGACAAACCTCAGTGACTTCTGGGTCGCACATTCTTGCCTGGGAAGACCCTGTTCTTACCTGGTAAGGCACAATTGAAACTATGATTGGTCCACTTCACAGACGAGGCAGCTTGTTTTCTCCCCTGGTGTGTTATTAGTTTTAATGGACATATTTGTGCAATCAGTGTGTACAGTTCATGTTGGTAAGCATCTGGCATATTTTCATTATTTTAGAATAATGCTATGCTGAGCTCACATTTCAGCTTCTTGTCAAAAATAGTAATATTCTGGTATGGCAGATTTCCTTCTGGGGCAGTACTTCCCACCAGTGTGTGCTGCCTGGATATAGTTTCATTCACAGAGGCTGCTTCACATCACATTTCAATGCATTTGTGCTTTAATAGTTGATTCTTAGTATTAATAAAATTGACCGGGTGCTTTCATCTCCAGTTTATAAAGGAGGAAATTGTGCAAGGGGGAGGCTAACTCACTTGCCCTAGACAAATTAGAGGCTTGTTTCAGGGTTGGAAAACAGGTTCTCATATTCCTTCTGGAATATGTTAAGGTGTGGACTAATCTCTTCTGTGACAAGGACATCCCTGAGTAGTACAGTGTGTCCTCAGATCGTAGTCCAGAGTTAAGAAGTCAGGGTTGGAGGAGTTCCTCTGCCTTCCTCCATGCCTGGCTGTCCAGATGGCTCCGTTTGTCACCATGTCTTAGCCAGTGGTGCAAGTGGCTGTGTCTTTAAGAGGGTGACCTCAAAGTTGGACACATTACATCGAGTCATATCACATCACGGTATAGTCACAGGAACAAACCTAGTTCCCAGGGAGCCTAGGAAATATAGTCTATACCTGGGGAGCGGGGTCAGGGGGAATCACATGCCTGACTAGAGCTAGGGGAGTTCAGTACTAAAAAGAGTAGCGGGGAGGATGCCGGGGCACTGACTACCACATTAGTCCTCGTTCCTCCCTGAACAGCCTTAGGGTGGGTGAGCAGCCCTAAGTGAGTTGTTAGCTAACAGAGATGTATAATGAAGGGGCACCACAGAGCATTTTATATTCCTACTGTAGCCCTAAATGAATAGGCAGCTCTTTGTACATACGCTTGAATATGCTTCTTGGAACCAGTTCATTCACTCGACAGATACGTGCTGAGCGCCAGTTCTTTGCCTGGGTGCTGTGTGGTCTAGTAATTGAAGGTACCTGTAAGATGGCCAGGGCCAGCCCTGCTCATCATGAAGGGCCTACTTATGTAGATAATTTTGAACCTCAAATAGGAGGGAAGTTGGAGTTGATTTACCTGTCATTAAGTTGTTAAAGAAAGATTTTTCCTACTGGTAGCAACTGAATGGAGCTCTACTATGGTTTGAATGTGTCCCCCAAAGAGCATATATTGGAAACTTAGTCCCCAGTGTAACCGTGATGGGAGGTGGAGCCTAATGGGAGGTGTTTAGGTCATCAGGGCTCCCCCTCATGAGGGGATTAGTGCTGATTATAAAAGGGCTTGAGGCTGAGTTCGATCTCTTGCTGCCCCTCATCTTTTGCATTCCACTATGGGATGATGCAACAAGAAGGCCCTTTGCAAATGCCAGCTCCTCGGTATTGTGTTTCCTAGCCTTCGTAACTGTGAGAAATGAGTTTATTTCTTTACAAATTACCCAGTCTGTGGTATTCTGTCATAGTGACACAGAATGGACTAAGATGAGCTCAGAGGGAGAGAAGGCTGTCTAGGCCCGGGGCCTTTGCTGTACAGCAGCTGGGCTAATGCCTCTGCGAATTATATTAGCCTGTTTGTGTTAAATGAGGAGCCCTCCTGCTTGAAAGAGGCAAGGCATTCTGCTTATGAAGCCAGAGAAATCAGTCAGGCAGCCTCTGACTTACCTTTGCCCTCCCCTTCTGCTCAGAATCCTTCAACTCACTGTCCGTCAGGCTCAGCCCTGTCTCCCCTGGTCTCTCCCAGACCTGCCTTTCTGGGTGTGGGGTCTTCTTGCCTCCCTAGGTAAGGGACAGATAATGCCTTGACCACCCAGGGAAGAGGAGTTTGGGACATTACCCCTGAACTGAGAGGTGGTGCTGATGAGAGTAATTAAGCACCCAGAGACATTGTCCTTCAATACATTGCAAAGGAAAGCTTGCTCAGAGTAGACCTGCACCTGGACACGAGAGGCTGGAGACTGTATTCAGGACAGTGCTCGTGGGGAGCTTCCTTCACTGCTCCACTCTTGTGTCCTGTGTTACAGGGGCTGCTGGCTGTTGCCACTGTTTTTCAGAGAATGGGCTGCCTGTACACACCTGACTTGGGTGATCATGTCTACCCAGGAGGACCAGCAAAAAGGGACAAGCAGTGATGCCATCTGGTTTTACCTCCAGCATTCCGAGCACTGCCCTGGCCCTCTCCCCCAGCCAGTGGTCGGGGTTGGGTGCGCCCCACTCTGGCTGCACAATAGAGTAACGCAGGAGCTTTAAAAACTCCCAACACCCAGAGCTCACCCCCAGCAAATCCGACCTAAATAGTCAGGCATGGGGCTTGGACAGCAGTATGTGTATATATTTTAAGGTTTCTTAGTTGAATTTAAATGTTACAGTGGGGATTGAAAATCTTGGTCTAGTGGTGGTAGCTGTTGGGTTTTTTTTCTTTTCATTTTTTTTGCATCCATTCCTGTTACTACCCTCTAGACCACTGTGATTTCTTAGTCTAATCCTGACTTGCTACCTGAAACCCTCTAAATGTAAGTCTCGTGCAAGAGAGTGAGAGGTAAAGTTTGGTTTTTATGATAAGAGATACCTTGCTCAGTAAGCAGAAATAAGTGCCATGTGTTAGTAACTACAGTTTTGTTTTGTTTTGTTTCCTGTGGGAGCGACAGAAAAGAGTTTACAGGGTGTGGTGGGGAAAAGAAGAAACGAACATCTCTCTGAGGGCGAGTATAAGGTTGTGGACTTAGTGGGAAAAGTCCTCAACTTCAAGTCAGAGAGAACTGTCGAGGAGAGAGACTGATGAAGAAGACACAGTGAGGTTTTTAGTGGTTAAAAACACAGCACTGCGTTTACATAGTCTATTTCCCCCCTAACAGTGGCAACATGTTGTGGATTTTCTTTTTTTTTCTTTTTCCTGGAGAGAAGCATGCTGCCTCTGAACAGTGGAGAGGAGGAAAATCATCAGCATCCTCATTGGGGTCAGGTGACCTGGGCCTCGTTCTTCCGCTGCCACCTGCCAGGGTTGGGATTGTCACAGAAGACTGTTCCTCTCCGTGGTGACTGATTGCGGAGAGATAAGGGGGTTAGGAACATGCAGCTTGCTGTGCTGGGCTCAGAAGGGACTCCATGTGATTGACTCCAGTGGAGACTTATTTTACCTGCCATTTCTGTAGCAAGAAGGAACCCAGATGGGGCCAGGGGTCTGTGAATGCCTGGAAAGTATATGTCAAACATTGTGTGAGGGTACACATCCTTTTCTGGGGAAGAAGTTCCATGGCTTTTAAAAATCAGAGTCCTAAAGGATCCCAGTGACTAAAAAAAGGAAGTGAAGAATTCCTATCATAAGTATCTTTATCTGTGATAGGGAACGGGAATGTCTGCCTGATGTAGTCTAGAATCCTGTGAATTCAAACAGATACTTTGTTCGTTCACACTCCCGCAGCTTATGTCTAGCGTGTTATGCTATAACGAATAGGGTTCTAACATTAAACTTATTTTTTGAGAAATCTTCAGGAAAAAATACCATCTTATGAATAGGTATAGTATATATAAATTTCATGGCCCGGCGCAGTGGCTCATGCCTGTAATCCCAGCACTTTGGGAGCCCGAGGCAGGCGGATCACTTGCGGTCAGGAGTTTGAGACCAGCCTGGGCAATATGGTGAAACTCCCTCTCTACTAAAAATACAAACATTAGCTGGGCATGGTGGCGGGCACTTGTAATCCCAGCTACTCAGGAGGCTGAGGCAGGAGAATCGCTTGAACCTGGGAGGCGGAGGTTGCAGTGAGCTGAGATGGCGCCATTGCACTCCAGCCTGGGTGACAAGAGTGAGACTCCATCTCAAAAAAAAAAAAAAATTTCATTTAAGGCATCACAGATTGTTTCTTTTTTTTCCCAACTGTGTACTCTAAATACAGGCAAAAAGCATGTAAGGAAGGTTGTAACAAAATGTATATGTAGGCAATAGGACTGATAAAATACAAATAAATCACAAAAACTATATGGAGGAAGGGGGAAATCATGCCAAATAACTTAGGCTACTGAGGTTATTTGAGCATTACATTTATAATGAGCTTCCTGGAAACCAAAGTAAAAAGAGAAACACAGTGGATGTTAGAATTTCTACTTAAAGATAGCAAATTCTTTCGTTAGGTAAGACAGTCTTTCTGGGGTTCATGTCTAAGACTTTATCACATGTCGCATTCCTCAACACTTTCACCAAACATACAGAAATGCCTCTCTTGTGATTGCTTTCCACTTCCACAAAACTAATTGTGTGGGATACCCATCTCCGGATGTGTGGTTCTTTGATGAACTCTCTCCCCTGTTTTTCTGAAAACTCAGTTACCTTAGCTGCTGGGAATCGCAGTGCAAGATTACACTCTGTGGAACTGCCCAGAGCGGGGAAAATGAGGAGGGTGACAGGTGCTTTCCTTCAGGAAATGACAACTTAACAAGCACAGTGATGGTTTTTTGCTATGGAAATGGAGGATGCTGACCAGAATGTCTGCTGGGATGGCAGGTCCCCCGGCTGCTCCCTTCCCCCAACTGCCTCACCACCTCCCCCTGCCACACCACCCCACTATGGGGAGTTGAGCTGAGGAGGCCCTTTGCAGCCATCCGTCTGCACCTCGCCTCTTTAGGAAGTACTCTTTCTTTCACCTTCTTGCACATAATTTACTTTGTGACTACTCATAAATGCCCCCTAAAGATGAAAACATATTTTTAAAGTTGGAGTGAGAATCACCGTAAAGCCTTTATAGAACCAAATGACGTTTCTTTACCAAACTGCAGAGCTTTCTTTTCTGCTCCTTTTCTTCAAAAAGAGTCACAAAAATTCAGGAATTTTAAAAACCTCTGCATTTAATTCCTCATTGCCTTTCATATATGTTCAATAATTGCATAAGCTGTCTCACTTAAGCTGTTGCTAATAATAGCTTTTTTGTCGTTTTGGAAAACTATAACCAAGAACCCTAATACATAAATACTTCAAAGTATGTTTTCTTAATAATGGTGTTTGATGTAGGGTGGAGGATGAGGGGAAGTCAAATATTTAGACACTTACATAGTTTATGTTTAAGAATTATCTACCTGTATATCCATTATAGTTTTATCCAGAAATAGCATGTAGTGTGGAAAGATGTTTCCGTAACCTTCCTGGAGTAGCTCATAAAGCAAACCTAAGAATGCTTTGGAAGTCTTTATGGTATGAGTGTTTTGTGTTTGTCCTGTTTTCTTTTGAAAAGTACAGATCCAAGGGCAAACCTTTCAGAATGGGGTAAGACAACAATTGAACTTGATGAGTTGCCTTATGTAGCAAAGATGGCTTCAAAGATAAAGGTAATCTGCAGAAATAAAATCAAGCTTCTTTTGCTCTGTGACTGCATCACATGAAAATGGCTAGGTAGATTTTCACTCGATTGGAGTTTGTTTAGGGTGGTCTGATTTAAAATGTAGGCTCTTGTGATGTGCATAATTTTAGATGGTCTTGATTGCCCAGAGCAGCTGTTACTGCTGTGCAGAAACAAGTGTTCAGTGTCCCTTTTGGAGAAATGTGCCGTGTGCATACAGATGCCATAGACAGAGAAAACAAATGGTGGTGTCAACATGAGCCCCACCTCAGGTAACAAGGACAAGCTGGATTCCAGAGGCAGGGTTGTGTGGGGACAACTCCGTGAAGTCCACACAGCAGAGAGGAGCTACAGGGAGGTGTTTATTTCACAATGGTTCGTGATTTTTTTGACCAATGCTGGATGGGCAGCTAAGATATAGTATCAAAAACACATTAACTATAAATGGGTGAATTTTAAATAGCCACATGTACACCTCCATTTTTAGACTGTTGAGAAGCCATTAAAAATTAGTTCCTCCTGTGATTATTCACAGGGATGAAGTATTCCGAGGGATTGACAGTTTGTGGCTAAGCCATTTAAAAGGCTGTATAAACTGGGTATTTTAAATTAGTCTTATAAGTGAACTTCAGTATACTATGGAGTATTTTTCTTAAAAATTGTATGCTTGTCATCTTTTGGACATTCTTTGGGTCAGAGACTCAAGTGATTCATGCAGGAGGTCACAGTGAGTAGTGACTGCTGAATTAGGAGGTAGGGCAGGGCAGAGGTATGTCTCTGCTCTTCTCAGCTGACCGGTCGTGTGTTGGTTACTTTGTCCACCAAACAGTTCTGGCACCAACTTTGGAAGGGTGATGCGATATTATGCTCAGTGAACTGATTAGTGCCCCCACAATTGAACCTTAGCCAAGTTGTTGGTTGATAATTGGCACATTTTTTCTGATATGCTGATAATCCAGTTACTGCTTCAAGTTTATATTAAAATGTTTGACTCTTTCAAACCTTGCGGTTTTTGATGATGTCAGTAGGTCACCAGACTTTCTGAAAATAGTTCTTTGTTTCAACAACAACAACAACAAAAAAGAGAAAAGAGATAACACATAAGCAATAACTTACCATTATTGTTTTTTAAACCTTCACAAACTGACTTCTTTCATGGAAATACTGAAATATTTATTTTGTATTTAATTTATTATATAATTTAAAATGTAGAGCGAGTGAATTCAGTTTGGGATCTACTGAGTCACAGTGCCTGGTAGCAGTTGGATGTTGTAAGAGTGAAGTCTGAGTGGGAGAAAAGGGTTGAGGAATCTCAGCTGAGTGTCCCTGAGCAAGCTGCATAACATCTCCAAGCCTTGGTTTTCACATCTGACAAATGGCATGAGACCTGCTCTTTAGGGTTGTATTAGAGATTAAATAGTCACATAAGGAGTACTGAGACTGTAGTATGTGCTCAGTAAATATTCTCTTTTCTCTCTCCCTCTTTTTGGGTATGAAGGTAGTTGTAGTTGTAAAATTTTCTTCCACACTTAGGAACAGATATTTCTCTAAATGTAAGCCCCCTGGGCTTATTCTAGTTTGTTCGTACATCTTAAAAATGGAAACCTCAGACTAAATATAGTATTCAAGTATAAATCCCACTACTGCCTAGATAATGGTAAAGACATTACTTCATAGTCTTTGCGTGCCTTGTTCCCATTAATACATATCATGTCATGTTAGCTGTTTTATAAGACAGTTCATTGCTGATTCATCTCACCAATTCAGTTCCAGAACAGCACCGTGTCAAGGATGCAGTGGCTCTGTCATTTTGATGACGAGATGTTAGAACAGTTTTCAGTGTAAGAATCTGCTTAGCATTACAAAGCATTCATTTCTGTGGAAAGAAGTCTTCACAAAGCCCGGGAATTGACTAAAATAACCACCCCTTTTTTAGGGGTTTGGTGTAAAGAATAGAACATATTTGAAGCCTGGGTGATTGGTGATGGGGAAAGTTACATGAACTGAGTTTTGGCTTCATTTCCCGGAGTGATGATAATGAGTTTACTGGGTGCTGCAGTACTACGAGATCACAGAGTGCCAAGACCTCAGTGCAGTGCTGCGTGATTGAAATGACTGATACTCTCTTTTTTTTTTCATGCTAGTTCAGCCTGTTTTCATACACTCCAGAGGTTCAGTAAGCATCAAACAGGGAAAAGGAAATGGCAGTCCAATAGAGCGGTCGTTCAAAATGACCAAAGTAATTCCAGAAATTCAAGAAAGTAGTTGTTTCTCAAGTGTCCATTAGGATCGGGCTGTCTTAGAGTCTGCATAACTCGGAAGTGATTAGAGGGGTTTTGTGGCTTTTCTGTTCTCTGATGACTGGAGCTGGTTTCAGCCTTCAGAGTAAGTAGCCAGAGAGTAAGATAAGAAATGCTGAGGAGCTGAAGTGGGCACCAATTTTATTTTCCATTGTGAAGGAGATGAGCATCTGTAACCCACAGCAAGATCAACCACCACATTAAATTTATATTGTTTGAGACAGTTCTGATCCACTTGAGTGTGTGTGTTCCACTAACACTCTGAGATGGTTGCATAGGCCACAACTGTTCTGTCCAGTTCCTGCCTGATAGGTAAGCTCTCTGGGTAACTTTATTCCCATGAATTGAGATAGCAGAAGACAAACACCACAGTGGCATTGGTGTATCCAAGGCACTGATTTTGTTTTTCTTCCATGCGCTAGTTTGAGCTGGCCAACTAATCATGGTATTAGCCTCAAAATGTATTGACAACAGATTTGTTTTGATAGCAAAATTGCTTTTATACTTGAGAAATCTGATCTTTTATAAAAGGCCCAGGGTAAATGTCCTTTAGCAACATCATGAACATGTGTGATATCAGTGATATGGTGGGGAGATGTTCCTCAGCAAAGGATGTCTGTATTTGTTCCTAGGATTGACAAAGCTGTAAAGCAAAGTGCCTGGTAGGGGGGAGTCTAAAGGAACTAGTAGGTAAAATGATTAGAGAGCTTACTGTAGTACAGATGGCGATATGCAGTCTACAAATGACATCTCCTTGCCACCACTGTTACTATGGGTTCTAATGAAAAGAACCTGAGACTTTTGAGAATTTTTGAGTTCAAAGGTATAGAAGAAGGAAAGAAGCTGTGAAAAGCAGGCATAACATTGAGGGACAGAGAATTTGGCTAGGTAGGTCTAGACTGTAAATACAGTAAACTTCCCACACTACAGTGGTAAAGTAAAATTTTCCCCACTTTACAGCATACAGCCACCTTCTCGCCATATTCCAAACTTTTTCATTGCTATTATACCTGGTATTATTTCACTTCACTTTATTGCATTGCTGTATGTCATATGTGTTAGGAGCCTGTTTGGAAGAAGAGCAGCATTGTAGAATTATGGAGACAGCCATCTCTTGCACCCGTGTTTGAGCATCTTCATTTAAAGGGGTTACCAGTCCCTTGCATAAATGTCTATTTAATCAGCTTGCTTTCCTAATCTTCTGCATGAGCAATTCTGTCGCAGGGCAAAAGCGTTGATTGTAGGGGAAGAAGAGAGGGAAAGGAGAAAAATGTAGTTTTGGAAACAGAACACTTCAAATGAGGGTAGGCCAGGTTCTGTAGCTTCCTCAGGGATTTAGAGTAGGGTTGATATGAGAGCTGTGAGTACCTAGGCATCTGTGGAGAAGAGGGAGTGGAAGAGAGGTAAGTGAGGCTTTGTCAAAAAGAAATTTTGAAATGAGTAAAGTGTTTCTGGTTTTGCCAAAAAAGGAGAGGAAATTCTCAATAACCTTCTTATACCACAGGCTTCCTCCTTATCAGACCAATAGTGATCGTATCAGACATGCTGCAGATTAAAAAGACATTTGTGGGTCAACCTTTAATTTTTACCATTAATCACAGGAATGCTTTGTTTTATTGTGCTTCACTTTATTGCTCTTCACATATATTATGTTTTTGGTTTTTGGGTTTTTGCTTCCTAACAAATGGAAGGTTTGTGGCAACCCTTCATGGAGCAAGAGTATCAGTGCCATTTTTCCAATCGCATGTGCTCACTTCATGTCTCTGTGTCACATTTTGGTAATTCTCACGACATTCCATACTTTTTCATTGTTACTATATCTGTTATGGTGATCTGTGATCAGTGATCTTTGATGTTACTATTGTAATTGTTTTGGTGTGACATGAACCACGCCCATGTAAGAAGGCAAACTTAATAAATGTGTGTGTTCTCACTGCTCCACCGACTGGCCATTCTTGTCTCTCCTCCTCAGGCCTCCGTATTCCCTGAGACACAACAATATTGAAATTAGGCTGATGAGTAATGGTTTCTCAGTGTTTAAGTGAAAGGAAGAGTCACATGTCTCTCACTTTAAATCAAAAGCTACAAATGATTAAGCTTAGTGAGGAAGGCATGGTGAGAACTGAGATAGACCAAAAAACTTGGGCCAAACCATTAGCCAAGTTGTGAATACAAAGGAAAAGTTATTGAAGGAAATTGAAAGTGCTATTCCAGTGAACCCATGAATGATAAGAAAGCAAAACAGTCTTATTGCTGATATGGAGAAAGTTTTAAATAGAAGATCAAACCAGCCACAACACTCCTTAAACAAGAGCCTAATCCAGAGCAAGGCTCTAACTGTCTTCAATTCTGTGAAGGTTGAGAGAGGAGAAAAAAACTACAGAAGAAAAGCCGGAGTCTAGCCAAAGTTGGTTCATGAGGTTTAAGGAAAGCAGCCATCTTCATAACATAAAAGCGCAAGGTGAAGCAGCACGTGCTCATGTAGAAGCTTCAGCAAGTTATCCAGAAGATCTAGCTAAGATAATTGATGAAGGTGGCTACACTAAACAACAAATTTCTGATGTAGATGAAACAGCCTGCTATTGGAAGAAGATGCCATCCAAGACTTTCATAGCTAGAGAGGAGAAGTCAGTGCCTGGCTTCAAATGACAGGCTGACTCCCTTGTTAGGGGCTAATGCAGCTGGTGTCTTTAAGTTGAAGCCAATGATCATTTGCCATTCCGAAAATCCTAGGGCCTTTAAGAATGATGCTGACTCTATAAATGGAACAACAAAGCCCAGATGACAGCACATCTGTTTATAGCCTGGTTTACTGAATATTTTAAGGCCACTGTTGAGACTTATTGCTTATAAAAAAGATCCTTTCCAAAATATTACTGTTCCAGTGTGATAATGTACCTGGTTACCCAAGAGCTCTTATAGTACAAGGAGATTAATTTGCTTTCATGCTTGCTAACAAAACATCCATTCTGTAGTCCATGAATCAAGGAGGAATTTGACTTTCAAGTCTTATTATTTAAGAAATACATTTTCTAATGCTGCCATAGACTATATAGTGATTCCTCTGATTGATATGGGCAAAGGAAATTGAAAACCAGGAAAGAAGTCATCATTCTAGATGCCATTAAGGTCCTTCATGATCCATGGGAGGAGGTACAAATATAAATATTAACTGGTGTTGGGGAGAAGTTGATTCCAACCCTCATGGATGTCTTTGAGGGATCCAAGACTTTAGTGGATGTGGTACAGCAGATGTGATACAGATAGCAAGAGAACTAGAATTAGAAGTGGAACCTGAAGATGGGCCTGATTGCCACAATCTCATGATAAAACTTGAATGGATGAGGAGTTGCATCTTATGGAGGAACAAAGAAAGTGGTTTCCTGAGATGAAGTCTACTCCTGGTGAAGATGCTGTGAACATTGTTGAAACGACAGCAAAGGATTTAGAATATTCCATAAACTTAGTTGATAAAACAGGGTTTGAGAAGATTGACTCCAGTTTCAAAAGACGTTCTACTGTGAGTAAAATGCCATCTGACAGCATAACATGTTACAGAGAAATCTTTTGTGAAAGGAAGAGTCAATCAATGCTGCAAACTTCATTGTTGTCTTATTTTAAGAAATTGCCACAGCCACCCCAACCTTCAGCGCCACCACCGTCATCAGTCAGCAGCCATCAACATTGAGGCAAGGCCCCCCACCAGCAAAAAGATTACGATGTGCTAAAGGCTTAAATGATTTTCAGCATTTTTGGCTATAAAGTATTTTTAAATTAAGGTATGTACATTTTTTAGACATGATGGCATTGCACACTTACTAGATGCAGTATAGTATAAATATAACTTTTATGTGTACTGAGAAAAAAATTGTGTGACTCGCTTTATTGCAATATTTGCCTTAGTACTGTGGTCTAGAATGGAACCTGCATATCTCCAAGATATATCTGTAGTGTGATTATTTTGGAAAACCATTTAGTAGTTACCCAAGATAAGTTAAAACATGTCCACAAAAAAGACTTGTATGTGAATGTTCATAGCAACATTATTCACAGTGGCCAAAAACTGGAAACAACCCAAGAATCCATCACCTAGTGAATGGTTAAACAAATTGTGGTATATCCATAAAATGGAATACTACTCAGCAACAAAAGGGAACAAATTTACAGATACATACAACAGCATGCATGAATTCCAGAAAAATTGTGCAGTCAAAGGAATAAAACTCAGAAGACCACATACAATGTTCATTCATATGAAGTTCTGGAACAGGCAAAACTAGTCTGTAGGTACAGAAAGCAAATCAGTGGTTTTCTGGAGTTTGACATGGGGGTACTAACAAGGGAACTTTTTGGGGTGGTGGGAATGCTGTATATTTTGATTGTGGGGATGGTTACATGGTTGGATGCATTTGTCAAAACACACTTAATGGTAATGCAAAATGAATATATTTTATTTTATGTAAATTATACCTCAAAGTTGAATTTTTTTAAAAAGTTTCTTTTAAAAAGTAAAGACATTTGTGGTGCTTCTTGTAAATTTTACTGCTGATTATGACCTTGTTTCTTTAGATTTGACTTTCCAAGTTTGAAAAGACCAGTTTAAAAATGACTTTTGCTGGGCATGGTGGCATGTGCACGTAGTCTTACCTACTCAGGAGGCTGACGCAGGAGGGTCCCTTGAGCCCAGGAGTTGGAGGCTACAGTGAGCTATGATTATGCCACTGCACTCCAGCTTGGGTGAAACTGTGAGACCCTGTCTCTAAAAACAAAAATAAAAAAAAATTAAAATGGCTTTTTAGATTATAATCTATATGAAATTGGGGGTTATTTCGCACTTTTATATTATTTGTCCATTTTGCTTCTTTCTAAATAGCCTCTGGATTGTGTGTTATTTTCAGAAAGCTCTTGGAGATTTTTTGAAGTGTATGTTTTAACAGGATTTTCCTGTTGCTCTTTGGCAAACTTTGTCCTTTTATTGTTTAAGGAGTATAAATAACAACAGAACAGAATTACTTTCTGGTGCATTTTCCTCTTCTCCTGAGTCTTTTATGTTCAATAACTCTGAAGTTCCTGTTATTCCTGCCTTTGAACGTAGAAAATGAGACTCTCTCTCAAATACCTGAAACTAAGGCACATAAAAAATTTAGGAGGGGCCAGGCACGGTGGCTCATGCCTGTAATCCCAGTACTTTGGGAGATTGAGGCTGAGGTGGATGGATCGCTTGAGCTTGGCAGTTCAAGACCAGCCTGGGCAACATGGTGAAACCCCATCTCTACAAAAACAAAAATTAGCTGGGTATAGTGGCACGCACCTGTAGTGCCAGCTACTTGGGAGGCTGAGGTGGGAGAATTGCTTGAGCCCGGGAGGTGGAGGTTGCAGTGAGCACAGACCGCGCCACTGCACTGCAGCCTGGGTGACAGAAGTGAAAAGAAACACTGTCTCAAAAAAAAAACAGGAGGGAGGAGCCAAGATGGCCGAATAGGAACAGCTCCGGTCTACAGCTCCCAGCGTGAGCGACGCAGAAGACGGGTGATTTCTGCATTTCCATCTGAGGTACCGGGTTCATCTCACTAGGGAGTGCCAGACAGTGGGCGCAGGCCAGTGTGTGTGCGCACCGTGCGCGAGCCGAAGCAGGGCGAGGCATTGCCTCACCTGGGAAGCGCAAGGGGTCAGGGAGTTCCCTTTCCGAGTCAAAGAAAGGGGTGACGGACGCACCTGGAAAATCGGGTCACTCCCACCCGAATATTGCGCTTTTCAGACTGGCTTAAGAAATGGCGCACCACGAGACTATATCCCACACCTGGCTCAGAGGGTCCTACGCCCACGAAATCTCGCTGATTGCTAGCACAGCAGTCTGAGATCAAACTGCAAGGCGGCAACGAGGCTGGGGGAGGGGCGCCCGCCATTGCCCAGGCTTGCTTAGGTAAACAAAGCAGCCAGTAAGCTCGAACTGGGTGGAGCCCACCACAGCTCAAGGAGGCCTGCCTGCCTCTGTAGGCTCCACCTCTGGGGGCAGGGCACAGACAAACAAAAAGACAGCAGTAACCTCTGCAGACTTAAGTGTCCCTGTCTGACAGCTTTGAAGAGAGCAGTGGTTCTCCCAGCACGCAGCTGGAGATCTGAGAACGGGCAGACTGCCTCCTCAAGTGGGTCCCTGACCCCTGACCCCCGAGCAGCCTAACTGGGAGGCACCCCCCAGCAGGGGCACACTGACACCTCACACGGCAGGGTATTCCAACAGACCTGCAGCTGAGGGTCCTGTCTGTTAGAAGGAAAACTAACAACCAGAAAGGACATCTACACCGAAAACCCATATGTACATCACCATCATCAAAGACCAAAAGTAGATAAAACCACAAAGATGGGGAAAAAACAGAACAGAAAAACTGGAAACTCTAAAACGCAGAGCGCCTCTCCTCCTCCAAAGGAACGCAGTTCCTCACCAGCAACAGAACAAAGCTGGATGGAGAATGATTTTGACGAGCTGAGAGAAGAAGCCTTCAGACGATCAAATTACTCTGAGCTACGGGAGGACATTCAAACCAAAGGCAAAGAAGTTGAAAACTTTGAAAAAAATTTAGAAGAATGTATAACTAGAATAACCAATACAGAGAAGTGCTTAAAGGAGCTGATGGAGCTGAAAACCAAGGCTCGAGAACTACGTGAAGAATGCAGAAGCCTCAGGAGCCGATGCGATCAACTGGAAGAAAGGGTATCAGCAATGGAAGATGAAATGAATGAAATGAAGCGAGAAGGGAAGTTTAGAGAAAAAAGAATAAAAAGAAATGAGCAAAGCCTCCAAGAAATATGGGACTATGTGAAAAGACCAAATCTACGTCTGATTGGTGTACCTGAAAGTGATGTGGAGAATGGAACCAAGTTGGAAAACACTCTGCAGGATATTATCCAGGAGAACTTCCCCAATCTAGCAAGGCAGGCCAACGTTCAGATTCAGGAAATACAGAGAACGCCACAAAGATACTCCTCGAGAAGAGCAACTCCAAGACACATAATTGTCAGATTCACCAAAGTTGAAATGAAGGAAAAAATGTTAAGGGCAGCCAGAGAGAAAGGTCGGGTTACCCTCAAAGGAAAGCCCATCAGACTAACAGCGGATCTCTCGGCAGAAACCCTACAAGCCAGAAGAGAGTGGGGGCCAATATTCAACATTCTTAAAGAAAAGAATTTTCAACCCAGAATTTCATATCCGGCCAAACTAAGCTTCATAAGTGAAGGAGAAATAAAATACTTTATAGACAAGCAAATGCTGAGAGATTTTGTCACCACCAGGCCTGCCCTAAAAGAGCTCCTGAAGGAAGCACTAAACATGGAAAGGAACAACCGGTACCACCCGCTGCAAAATCATGCCAAAATGTAAAGACCATCGAGACTAGGAAGAAACTGCATCAACTAATGAGCAAAATCACCAGCTAACATCATAATGACAGGATCAAATTCACACATAACAATATTAACTTTAAATATAAATGGACTAAATTCTGCAATTAAAAGACACAGACTGGCAAGTTGGATAAAGAGTCAAGACCCATCAGTGTGCTGTATTCAGGAAACCCATCTCACGTGCAGAGACACACATAGGCTCAAAATAAAAGGATGGAGGAAGATCTACCAAGCCAATGGAAAACAAAAAAAGGCAGGGGTTGCAATCCTAGTCTCTGATAAAACAGACTTTAAACCAACAAAGATCAAAAGAGACAAAGAAGGCCATTACATAATGGTAAAGGGATCAATTCAACAAGAGGAGCTAACTATCCTAAATATTTATGCACCCAATACAGGAGCACCCAGATTCATAAAGCAAGTCCTGAGTGACCTACAAAGAGACTTAGACTCCCACACATTAATAATGGGAGACTTTAACACCCCACTGTCAACATTAGACAGATCACCGAGACAGAAAGTCAACAAGGATACCCAGGAATTGAACTCAGCTCTGCACCAAGCAGACCTAATAGACATCTACAGAACTCTCCACCCCAAATCAACAGAATATACATTTTTTTCAGCACCACACCACACCTATTCCAAAATTGACCACATAGTTGGAAGTAAAGCTCTCCTCAGCAAATGTAAAAGAACAGAAATTATAACAAACTATCTCTCAGACCACAGTGCAATCAAACTAGAACTCAGGATTAAGAATCTCACTCAAAGCCGCTCAACTACATGGAAACTGAACAACCTGCTCCTGAATGACTACTGGGTACATAACGAAATGAAGGCAGAAATAAAGATGTTCTTCGAAACCAACGAGAGCAAAGACACCACATACCAGAATCTCTGGGACGCATTCAAAGCAGTGTGTAGAGGGAAATTTATAGCACTAAATGCCTACAAGAGAAAGCAGGAAAGATCCAAAATTGACACCCTAACATCACAATTAAATGAACTAGAAAAGCAAGAGCAAACACATTCAAAAGCTAGCAGAAGGCAAGAAATAACTAAAATCAGAGCAGAACTGAAGGAAATAGAGACACAAAAAACCCTTCAAAAAATCAATGAATCCAGGAGCTGGTTTTTTGAAAGGATCAACAAAATTGATAGACCGCTAGCAAGACTAATAAAAAAAGAGAGAAGAATCAAATAGACACAATAAAAAATGATAAAGGGGATATCACCACCGATCCCACAGAAATACAAACTACCATCAGAGAATACTACAAACACCTCTACGCAAATAAACTAGAAAATCTAGAAGAAATGGATACATTCCTTGACACATACACTCTCCCAAGACAAAACCAGGAAGAAGTTGAATCTCTGAATAGACCAATAACAGGCTCTGAAATTGTGGCAATAATCAATAGTTTACCAACCAAAAAGAGTCCAGGACCAGATGGATTCACAGCCGAATTCTACCAGAGGTACAAGGAGGAACTGGTACCATTCCTTCTGAAACTATTCCAATCAATAGAAAAAGAGGGAATCCTCCCTAACTCATTTTATGAGGCCAGCATCATTCTGATACCAAAGCCGGGCAGAGACACAACCAAAAAAGAGAATTTTAGACCAATATCCTTGATGAACATTGATGCAAAAATCCTCAATAAAATACTGGCAAACCAAATCCAGCAGCACATCAAAAAGCTTATCCACCATGATCAAGTGGGCTTCATCCCTGGGATGCAAGGCTGGTTCAATATACGCAAATCAATAAATGTAATCCAGCATATAAACAGAGCCAAAGACAAAAACCACATGATTATCTCAATAGATGCAGAAAAAGCCTTTGACAAAATTCAACAACCCTTCATGCTAAAAACTCTCAATAAATTAGGTATTGATGGGACGTATTTCAAAATATAAGAGCTATCTATGACAAACCCACAGCCAATATCATACTGAATGGGCAAAAACTGGAAGCATTCCCTTTGAAAACTGGCACAAGACGGGGATGCCCTCTCTCACGGCTCCTATTCAACATAGTGTTGGAAGTTCTGGCCAGGGCAATCAGGCAGGAGAAGGAAATAAAGGGTATTCAATTAGGAAAAGAGGAAGTCAAATTGTCCCTGTTTGCAGACGACATGATTGTTTATCTAGAAAACCCCATCGTCTCAGCCCAAAATCTCCTTAAGCTGATAAGCAACTTCAGCAAAGTCTCAGGATACAAAATCAATGTACAAAAATCACAAGCATTCTTATACACCAACAACAGACAAACAGAGAGCCAAATCATAGGTGAACTCCCATTCACAATTACTTCAAAGAGAATAAAATACCTAGGAATCCAACTTACAAGGGATGTGAAGGACCTCTTCAAGGAGAACTACAAACCACTGCTCAAGGAAATAAAAGAGGACACAAACAAATGGAAGAACATTCCATGCTCATGGGTAGGAAGAATCAATATTGTGAAAATGGCCATACTGCCCAAGGTAATTTACAGATTCAATGCCATCCCCATCAAGCTACCAATGACTTTCTTCACAGAATTGTAAAAAACTACTTTCAAGTTCATATGGAATCAAAAAAGAGCCCACATTGCCAAGTCAATCCTAAGCCAAAAGAACAAAGCTGGAGGCATCACACTACCTGACTTCAAACTATGCTACAAGGCTACAGTAACCAAAACAGCATGGTACTGGTACCAAAACAGAGATATAGATCAATGGAACAGAACAGAGCCCTCAGAAATAATGCCGCATATCTACAACTATCTGATCTTTGACAAACCTGAGAAAAACAAGCAATGGGGAAAGGATTCCCTATTTAATAAATGGTGCTGGGAAAACTGGCTAGCCATATGTAGAAAGCTGAAACTGGATCCCTTCCTTACACCTTATACAAAAATCAATTCAAGATGGATTAAAGATTTAAACGTTAAACCTAAAACCATAAAAACCCTAGAAGAAAACCTAGGCATTACCATTCAGGACATAGGCGTGGGCAAGGACTTCATGTCCAAAACACCAAAAGCAATGGCAACAAAAGACAAAATTGACAAATGGGATCTAATTAAACTAAAGAGCTTCTGCACAGCAAAAGAAACTACCATCAGAGTGAACAGGCAACCTACAACATGGGAGAAAATTTTCGCAACCTACTCATCTGACAAAGGGCTAATATCCAGAATCTACAATGAACTCAAACAAATTTACAAGAAAAAAACAAACAACCCCATCAAAAAGTGGGCGAAGGACATGAACAGACACTTCTCAAAAGAAGACATTTATGCAGCCAAAAAACACATGAAAAAATGCTCATCATCACTGGCCATCAGAGAAATGCAAATCAAAACCACTATGAGATATCATCTCACACCAGTTAGAATGGCAATCATTAAAAAGTCAGGAAACAACAGGTGCTGGAGAGGATGTGGAGAAATAGGAACACTTTTACACTGTTGGTGGGACTGTAAACTAGTTCAACCATTGTGGAAGTCAGTGTGGCGATTCCTCAGGGATCTAGAACTAGAAATACCATTTGACCCAGCCATCCCATTACTGGGTATATACCCAAATGAGTATAAATCATGCTGCTATAAAGACACATGCACACGTATGTTTATTGCGGCACTATTCACAATAGCAAAGTCTTGGAACCAACCCAGATGTCCAACAATGATAGACTGGATTAAGAAAATGTGGCACATATACACCATGGAATACTGTGCAGCCATAAAAAATGATGAGTTCATATCCTTTGTAGGGACATGGATGAAATTGGAAACCATCATTCTCAGTAAACTATCGCAAGAACAAAAAAACCAAACACCGCATATTCTCACTCATAGGTGGGAATTGAACAATGAGATCACATGGACACAGGAAGGGGAATATCACACTCTGGGGACTGTGGTGGGGTCGGGGGAGGGGGGAGGGATAGCATTGGGAGATATACCTAATGCTAGACGACACATTAGTGGGTGCAGCGCACCAGCATGGCACATGTATACATATGTAACTAACCTGCACAATGTGCACATGTACCCTAAAACTTAGAGTATAATAAAAAAAAAAAAAAAAAAAACAAAAAACAGAGATCCCTTAGTTAGGTAAACCAGGCCCTTTCTGATTGGTTGCTGTGAATCTCCTGGTTTTTTGAATACTGGCTCATTTTGAAGTTCAGTTTCATTATGTGGCACCGAACAGGAGCGATTCCATACTGGTTCTGTCTGGTCTTTTGGGGCCTAGAGCACAGCCTCAGCCCTAAACAATGGCTTCTCTTCCACTTTGTTTAACAGTTCTCTGAACTCTTTCAAATTAACGTTTCCGTATGGCATGAGATAAAGGTAATGGTTCATTTGTTCTCCATGTGGCTATCTAGTTGTTATAACACTATTTATTGAAAAGTGTATCTTTTCTTTATTGAATTACTATCATATCTTGTTAAAAATCGAGGATATGTGTGTAGGTCAATTTCTGGATTCTCCATTCTGTTCCATTGATCTCTTGGCCATATACCACACTGTCTTGATTACTGTAGCATTATAATAAATCTTTAAATAAGGGAGTATAAGTCCTTCAACATTGTTCTTTTTAAAAATTCTTTTGGCTATTTTTGGTTCTTACCATTTTCACATAAATTTTATAGTTTGTCAAGATTTAGCAAAAGCCCTGTGGCAGTTTTGATTGGAATTGCATTAAACTTATAGATAAATGATGACTAATGGGAACGTAATGCATGTCAAAATATGTAAGCACATGTAATTTAAATATTTCTGGTAGACACATTAAAAAGAAAAAAAACCATGAAATTAATGTTAATAATTATTTTATTTACCCCAATATATGAAAACATCAACCTGTAATCAATATAAAAACATTGATATGATATTTTATTCTTTTTTTGTACTAAGTCATTGAAATCTGGTGTGTTTTTACACTTACAGCACACCTTAGTCACCTTAGTCTGAATTAAGATTCAGACTAGCCACATATCAAGTGTTTAGTAGCCTCATGTGGCTCATGGATACCATACTGAACAAAATAACTATAGATCAATTTGGAGATAATTGTCAAATAAATAGTATTTAGTATTCTTAACAAAAAATGAATTTAAAAGTGTATTATTAAGTGTCTTATTTATCTAAACAGGTATTAGTGTACAGTTCTTGCATGTACTTTGTTAAATTTATTCCTAAGTACTTCAGGTTTTTGCGTGCTGTTATTAATGGTATTGTTTTTCATGTTTTAGTTTTTAATTGTTCATTGCAACTTATATAAATAATTGAATTTTGCGTATTGGCCTGGTATATTCTGCAACTTATTGAAAGTGTTTACTAGCTCTGGTATGTTATTTTGTTGACACTTTAGAACTTCCTACCTAAAAAAAATATGTCTGTAAATAAAAGCAGTTTTCACTTATTAAAAAAAAAAAACAAAAAAACAAAAAAAAGGAAAAGCATGGCAGGGCAAAGTTGCTCATTTCTATTGGGCTATGACTGGGAACCAAGAGTTAGGGAAGTTGGTTTCCTACTTGATGTACACACCAGTCTTTGAGGTTTACTGATTACAGGTACCCAAAGTGTGTGTTCCTGCTTGCCTTCTCAGGTTCCTGTGTGGATGGATGGTTATCTTAATGCTGGTAATTAGGCTAAAGGAGCCATTTCACCCTTGTGGGGTCTTAGTGAGCTGATAATAGACTAGTCTTGGAGTTCAGTTGACCTGTGTTCAGAACATGACACTGATCAGCACTGTGACCTCGGACAAGTTAATTCATCTCTCTCTCTCTCTTTTTTTTTTTTTTTTGAGACAGTCTCGCTCTGTCGCCCAGGCTGGAGTGCAGTGATGCAACCTCGGCTCACTGCAACCTCTGCCTCCCGGATTCAAGTGATTCTCCTGCCTCAGCCTCCTGAGTAGCTGGGACTACAGGCACATGCCACCACACCTGGCTAATTTTTTGTATTTTTAGTAGAGACGGGGTTTCAGCGTGTTAGCCAGGATGGTCTCGATCTCCTGACCTCGTGATCTGCCCACCTCGGCCTCCCAAAGTGCTGGGATTACAGGAGTGAGCAACCACGCCTGGCCAATTCATCTCTTGAGCCTTAGTGTCCTCACCTGTAAGATGGGAATATCCACTTTACAGAGTTTTCTGGAAAATTAGATGAGATGAAATAAGTGAGAGTCATAGGTGTTGTGCCTGGCACATCATAGGCACTTGGTAAACCTGAGTTCATTTCCTTCCTTTATTGGGCAGCTTCCTGGCTCAGGTCCCTATTTCACATAAATTGTATGCCTAGCAGCACCCTATTCATTTTATAAATTGAATATGAGAATCAGATGATAAGAGTTTGGGACCATCTTTAGCAGATGGTTTTTGTTAAAGGTACCTTTTGAAGTGGGGGTAGTGCCGTTTCATTTCATGGTCTGTGTTGTGTACCTTTGCAGCATGTCTTTGTGATATGCAGTGATGTGACTGGAATTTCGTACAGTAGGATGGGATACTGAAAGTAAATCTGATCATTGGTAGCACCTTTCCTGTAATTACAGCACAGGAGAGAGGTAGTGTGACTATGTAAATAGAGCTAGAAGTGCTATTGAAATAACTCAGCAGATTCTTTAAAGAGAAAAAGGGGAGAAAAACCCCACCACCTTCCACAGAGACATTCCCATGCTAGGCCTGCACTGACACTGCAACACCAGATAGACGATTCAGTTTATTTTGCTCCAACATTTTACGCGTTGGTCAGAGAAAATGGTTTTCATTAACACAAGGTAATGAAAAATTTTGTGCCATGGTATCATGTTTGTAAAAAGCTTAATTACATTGTTGCTGTTTCTGTTTTGAACCTAATTCTGGTAGTCTGCGCGTAGCTGGCGTGCCAGTTCCGGGTTGTGGGTCTAGGCAGTTGGAGAAAAGAAGCAATTATCCAGTTAATGTAAAGAATCCTGCTAAGGAGGAAAGAAAGGTGCCCCTCATGCCCTCATCAGTCACTCCAATTGGTGTTTATAGGGAATTAAGTTCTCTGGTAATTGCCCTCCTTCCCTTTCCTTTGTCTGCTAGGGCCATCATCACAGGCCTTAAGTGAACAACTCTGGGAGTATTTCCGGCCTCTTCTCTAAGTCAGGCCAGTAATGCAGCTGTTAAGCACTGACATCTGGGTCTCAGTCATGCTTCCAGACCAGGATTGTTCTTAGTTCCAGGAGATTAATTGACCCATAAGAAATATTATAATGCAAATATATGTTTGCGCCAATTTGCTGACCAGTGCTTGCTATCCTGGAATTCACAGTGTGGCAGAATACAACTGTCTGGCATTAAGGATAACCTAGGTCTTGTTTCCACTTGTTTCCAGCATGTACTAATCTAGGGTGAACTTTCTTCACACGTAGAGAGCATCAAAGAGGAAGGTGTTGAAGCAGGAGCCCTGGATTAGGGATCAGGAGTGTGGAGTCTGGTTCCAACACTGTCACATTTCTGCTGTGTGTCCCTTTCCAGGCCCTTAACCTGTGCTGGGCCTCAGTTTTCTCATGTATAGAATGCAGTAATCATAGCTTAATTTCTAGCCAGCTTTCTAGGGTTGTTAATCTATCCTTTTATCAAAAGGATAAAATGATATGTTATAAATGAAGACACCTTAAAAAACAAAGCACTCTGCAAACGTAAGATGTTATTAAATGTAAACTCAATGACATTATTTCAACATTCACATTAGAGAAACAACATTTGAAGTCTTCTAGGCCACACACAAGTTATTGTAGAGCTTAAATTTCTCTTTGGTGAAGTTCTTTTAGGACAGATAAATATGCCTCAGGGCCAGCTTATCTCTTTGAACATCGTAACTGGATATTCTTTGGCTTCCTTTTTCCATTATTTAATCTTACTAAATTTCTCTTTTATTTTGAAGCATTGGGAATAATGAGAAAACTGGAAGATTTCAACAATAATGAGTGGAAATAATATGAAGGACCTATGGGAAGAGAGAATAAATTATATTAAATATATTCAAAGCAAAAGATGAGAAAAGACATTCTTTAAAAAATAGTGATAATGTTAAAATATCTTTTTTAGAAGTAATAGACTTGGGAACAGAAAAGGGATGTTGTTAACTTTTTTTTTTTTTGAACCGAAGTTAACACCCAGCACTGTCCTTTCTTTACTTAGCGAAACATACGGTGGAAACAGATTTCTGTGATCTTCTGCGGTCTCTGTTACTGGCCACCCCATTCATGTGACATCGGCACACTTGGCTCATTTAAAAGGCTTCTCAGTGATGTCTTGAAAGCCTAATCCTTTTTCATTTTATCTCTTTCATCCTGCAGGCCATGATGAAGTTAATTCGTTTTAACTTTCCGAGACACAACCACTTTTACAAAACAGGAAAATGAAAGGACTCTGAAAAGTGTGACACAGAATATCTAGTTTGCAGAATAGACTGTGCAGGGCGGGAGGATGGCCGACGACGGGTTTCATTTAGGAACTCAAAGTGAAAGGACAGGGCAAGAAGTGTAGTGAACACCTTCAGGGAAATGCCGAAGAGACCAACTGTTATTTGAAAACTTGGATAGGTTTTGGGGCCCCAGATCCAAGCACCTTGTTTTGTTGTTGTTGTTGTTGTTGCTGTTTTTGAGACGGAGTCTTGTTCTGTCACCAGGCTGGAGTGCAGTGGCATGATCTTGGCTCACTGCTGCCTTCGCCTCCTCAGTTCAAGCGATTCCCCTGCCCCAGCCTCCTGAGAAGCTGGGACTACAGGCACGCACCACCATGCCCAGCTAATTTTTTTGTATTTTAGTAGAGACAGGGTTTCACCATATTGGTCAGGATGGTCTCAATCTCCTGACCTCGTGATCTGCCCGCCTCAGCCTCCTAAAGTGCTGGGATTACAGGCATGAGCCACTGCGCCCGGCCAGCACCTTGGTGTTTATGGAGATGGCGATGTGCCTTGCTTCACTGGGGTATGGATGGGCGGAGTTTCTGTTCCAGACTTGCTTGTCTTCCCCAACCCTGCCTACCTTCTTTAGAGGAGGAAATATATGTTCAGTCTTCATGGAGCTAAGAAAAAGCCAGACAGCCGAGGAAGAAGCTAATAATTAGGCTTCTTTGGAAGGTATGAGACAAATTGGCAGCATGGTCACCCGGGAAAACACAGTGGGGCTTTGTCTGCAACTAAGAACTCTAGAAATCATGGTGTCTGGATACCACGGGGTTTAAGCTGTGGAAGCCTCAGCCTGCGTGTGGAAGCTGGGCTTTCTAATTGGATCACTGGCACACACAGTGCTGTTGCTTCTTCTCTGCCCATGTCCCCCAGAGCATCTATCTGCTTTTGTTACTGCATTGTTATGAATGCCCTTCTTTGGCGCCCTCCACTTTTCCTGAAGGCAGGCTGGGAAGCAGCCCTTGGCATGTGTGATGGCTGCGCTGCATGCTGGCCATCGAAGGATGTCCATCCAAGGAAAAGCTGCTCTCCCTCAGCCCTCACCCTTGGCTTTTGCCCCACCCTGCCTCCCAACTGCCGGTGCATTCAATTCCCTGCCTTTGTCCAAGGGGCAGGACAGGGCACGACCACTTTGGCTCCCCTTTTCCCTTTGGAAGCCAAAGTCACTCCTCCAGCTTCAGAACTGTGAGTTTCTTGTGCATGCCGCTGGCTTGGTGGGAATATGAGAATGGGAACTCTAACTCTCACTGTGTGAAGAGTTGGCAAGGGTGCATGTGCACGCTATTGTGTGTTATCTGTAAGAGAACTGCAAAAACAAGTGTCTAGAATTAGATTCAGTGCTTCAGGACCCCCTCTCCTTTCTCCATTTAGATTCCTCAACAGAAGCTGCTTTTCGCTTGATTAACTGTAACAAACTCTCTTTGGAGTTTTGTATTTTGGAAACTGCATTGCCAAAGGAAAATCATTATGTCTGCTGTAAAAGCCCCAAATAAATTCCTCCTAGGGTAAATGGAGGAAAAAGAATAGAAGGGTTTAATCTATCATCTTGCCTATTAGTGAAATACTTAGTGACCTAGTTCATTTACATATTAAATGTGCTAGACCTATTTGTGCCTTCTTTTTTTTTAACTTGTTACCTTGGAAACCATGCCCTGGCTCAGAAATTACACAAGGCCAACAGCAAATCTGCAGTCTGGTTTCTTCACACAGACAAGTCAGTTAATGGGGAAAGGTTAGATTGTCCCAAAATGTCTTCAGTCGTTAGTAGAAAAAGGAGAGGAAGGAGAAAAAGTGAGAAACATGTATTATTTTGGTAACATTTTCAAAATACTACTTTTAAACTAATTGGAAGGGATTTTACCTAGACTTAAGAAGAAAATAATAGTGTGGACTCTTAAAACTTCAGTCTGCTTTTAAAGAACTTTCCTGGTACATTTGGCAGCACTGGCATGAAAAGGATCAGCTATCAATTGACATTGAATTCCAGACCTACATTTAAGGAATCTTGACTCTCTCATTGCTTTGTTGTAATAGCACTGGTTCTTCCAGATTGTTTGGTGGTGTCTTATGTTCTCAGGCCAACTTTTCAAGAGTCTGAGAAGCAGAATTTAAAAATACGATTTAGTTAGCAGCTAGAGAGCAAAATTTCAGCCCATCTTCCCACCTGAATATGTAGCCTGCAAGTTCTGGGAGAACAAGGAACTTTACTGATCTTCTACAGTGTCTCATTTCACAGTGGAGGAGATTGGCACCCAGAGAGGTGAAATAAATTGCCAAGGGCATCCATCTGGTTTGGGGCAGTCTAGACTAGAAAACAGGCTTCTTAACACATCTTGCAGCATCATGGATGGAACTGGAGGCTATTATCCTAAGTGAAATAACTCAGAAACAGAAAGTAAAATACTACATGTTCCCACTTACAAGTGGAAGCTAAACAATGGATACACATGGACATAGAGAGTGGAATAATAGGCTGGGCGCAGTGGCTCACGCCTTTAATCTCAGCACTTTGGGAGGCTGAGGCAGGTGGATCACTTGAGGTCAGGAGTTTGAGACCAGCCTTGCCAACATGCTGAAAACCTATCTCTACTGAAAATACAAAAAATGGCCAGGTGTGGCGGTGCATGCCTGTAATCCTAGCTACTTGGGAGGCTGAGGCAGGAGAATTGTTTGAACCCCGGAGGCAGAGGTCGCAGTAAGCCAAGATTGCGCCACTGCACTCCAGTCTGTGTGACAGAGCAAGACTGCCTCAAAAAAAAAAGAGAGAGAGTGGAATAATAGACATTGGAGACTACCAAAGGTGGGAGGCTGAACGTTGAAGTATTGCTTGTTTGTTACAGTGTTCACCATTCGGGTAATGGGTACACTACAAGCCTAGAGTTTGTTGCTATGCAATATATGCACACCAGAAAATATGCACTTGTACCCCCTAAATGTATAAGAATTTTGAAAAAACTTTTTAAAAATTAGGTTTTTTGACTGCAGATCTAGTGCTCTTTCAACATTAGTCCTGACACAGATAAGTCACTTGCTTTGAGTTCTGTCAGAGGTAAAGCTGGGTGAAGAAATTGTGAGAAGAATGCTATTCTCTTTAAGCCAGCCACCAGCCAGCTTACTTGGGAAGCGGTGGAAGGAGGACACAGTGTATCCTCAAATGTTAAATCCCTTCTTAGTGGTATTTGTTGTGGATAGAAGGAATTAGATTGAATGTGGAACTTTGAGCACTCTGAGGATAAATTGTGCCTTCTCATTCAAGACACATTCAATTCTCTTGGTCACTCCATCTTTTCTGAAGTTCCTTTTACCATGCTTTGCAGTGGCGATAGGCCTATTGCATGAAGAGATAAAATGTCTTTTAGGCTTTTTCCTCTTAAAAACTTGGGATAAGAACAAGTTAGCCTGAGGCAATCACAGAGTCTTTATAAAGAGACTTTTAGCAAGGAAATGATTTTTCAAATACAGTACAGGATTTTGGGCATGACTTTGAACTGGAAAGTCTACATATATAAGTAGAAGATGGTGTGTAATATCTTTGCAAATACTTTTGTGTATTCATTCCTCATTTGTAAATGTTTTCTTACCTGCTGACTCAAGCACTGACAGTGTATTTGTTTGCTCATTCAACTATGGACTGTGAACATGCTTGGGAAACAGAGTTGAGTATTGTACGCAATCTCTGACCTCAGTAATACTTAGGCATATATGCTTATTCAGTAACTGGACATTTTAAAATAAAAAGAAATGAGTATTTTCACTGCTTGCATATAATGGGAATGATTGAATAACTTTCCCATAAGATGGCATTAGTTCAAGTGTCCTTATTTTAGTAAGAGTATTTCAGGCCAGGTGTGGTGGCACACACCTGTAGTCCCAGCTACTCAGGAGGCAGAGGCAGGAGGATCCTTTGAGCCCAGGAGCTAGACTCCAGCCTGGGTAACAAAGAAAGACCGCATCTCTTTGAAAAAATAATTTGGAAGCTCTCCGTAAAAATCTCACCTCTTATTTTCCTCAAAACAAGCTCTGGTGCATTAGGGTATATAGTAGGGTCCCCTGGCCTTTGGAATGGGGGGTTATTTGAGACTGGAAGGTGGGAGTGGGAGAGGGAGGGGGAGCCAGGGACAAGCATGGCAAAGTTCCAGATTCTCTGTATTTGTGTGAAAAATCACAAAACCCTACATTGACTGTGTAGTGGATGTCAGATGGGAAGAGGGAGTGGGGAAGCAATGAATAATAGCAATCACAGGTGCAGGAGCCACGTCTCCTCCTGGGCACTTTACATGCGTTCTCTCACTTATTCTTCTTTCTCACCCTGTGAGGCTTGGTCCAGTTGCTATTCCCAAATCACCCATGAGGAACCTGATGCTGTGAAGATCAGCAGCATGGCCAAGGCCGTGTAGTGAAGTGATGAGCAGGAGTTAGTCCCGGTCTTTCTGTTGTCTGAGCTTACCAGCTCTTGCCTTCACACAGTGCTCTCTCCTCTCTTATCAAGTTGAACGTGGGTCAGGACCATGAAGTTAATTTTCTTCCTCCTTTTAATCATCAAAATGGAATTTCTGTTTTGCCTGTTAGAGATTATTGATATAAGAAAGGCTGGGCGTTAAATGCTGAGAACACATGGACACATAGAGGGGAACAATCACACCCTGGGGCCTGGTGGAGGGTGGAGGGTGGGAGGAGGGAGGGGATTAAGAAACAACGAATGGGTACTAGGCTGAATACCTGAGTGATTAAACAGTCTGTACAACAGACCTCCATGACACAAGTTTACCTGTGTAACAAACCTGCATTTTAAAAGTTAAAAAAATGAAAGGCTTTATATCAATAAATAAGTGGGCCTAAAAAAGGGAGACAAAATGAAGGAAAATTATTCTGGATTCTTAAGAATAAAAGTGAAAATATCGGACTAAACTGATAAAATGAGGTAGAAAATAGAGGAATCACATACACAGTTTTGACTTCCAACCCACTTTGCCTTAAGTTATTTCAGTTGACAAGTCGAAGTTGGGTTGAGGGGATGAGGGTAGGAGGTGAGTGATGTATGGATAAATACAACGTTCTATTTTCTAATGGTAAGTATATCTGCCTTCCCTCCCTCCAGTGCTTTTATACGGTACCAAGGAATATGTTTTGCTTTTTGTCTGACAAAGGGAATTCACAACTCATAACAGCTATTTGACATCTTTTGTGGGTACCAAGCTCACTTTTCTTCTTTCCAGTGATAAGTGCCTTAATAGAACAAAGTCAACATAATCCTTGCCTCCAGGGAGCTTGCAGTTTAATGAGGGGGGCACATGTTTACAATATAGTGGGGTCAGTGCTGGGGAGGCATTGAGGAAGAACTTAGTGTATGAATCCATCTCCGAACTTCAGTGATGTGGAAAATAAGCTGTTAGAAAGATATCTTGGACTTCATTTTTCAAGCAGCTTGAACTCCTCAAACAATTGTTCTGCAGACTTATTTGCCACGAGATTTGTGACTTGAAGTCTAGTGTTTAGATCACAGTGAGCTTTTTGGAGATGAGATTTGTGCTCACATCTGTGGCAAGTCAACGTGTGGCAAATGCCTGTTTTGACTGTCAAAACGGAAAGCAAATCTCTTTGCGTGATTTTCTATGTCATTTTCTTTATTAGTGCACATGTCATGGGCGTTTCTTTTCCTTGCAGTTTTGTGTGAACTTAATCCTAGACAGAACCTCAGTTTGAGTGGTTAAGGCTCAGCATCCTGGTCAGCGTCTGAGCTGCTGTCCTCTGGGTCCCTGTTGTGCCGTCAGCTCCAGTGGGGATGGCACCAGGTTCAGGAGGCTGAAGAAGTGACCCAGAGCCAGCAAACGCAACATGCGGTTGCGTCGGGGGCTTACATACAGGGGAGAGGGCCCAGCGGCTATGCGCTGGACAAGAGAACCGCAATCACTTGCAAAAGCTATGCAGTTTATATTGCATTTTCACTTAGTACTCTGTTTAACGATTCCACCTGGCAACCTTCATTCATGCCAAAACTCGGGGCCTCCATTTCCCTACAGCCCATGTCCCACAAGAGATGGGCCGGGAGCTCAGATGTTCCTCATAGACAAGGAACAGATCTCTGGGGTGGCCACTTCCAGATCCCTAGCTCAGAACTCTGAACACATTCGGGGGCATCTGCCATACAGAATCATTCTTAAGAGTACGCTTAAGTTACTGCTATCAGGTGCATTTACTGTATACCCCTAAGTGACTTCAACTTCTAGTCAGTCTAATGAAATTTGATTTCATGCAGAGGGTCTCTTAGACAAAAATTACATCTATAAGCAAATTACTGGCTGCGCAGGTTACTTTGAAATATTTCTGGTGTTTTTTTAAAAAAATCAGTTAAGCTGATCAGAGACAAAGGGAAGAAATTACCCTTTTCTTTTTAATGTGCAGCAAAATGTGTACTAATGGTGCAATCACAGAATATTAGGTTGTTAATACAATCAATAAAAAGTTAATCCGTTTTGGATTTCATTGTATTATGTTTTTCTTGTTTGTGGAATAACGTAATTGTGACAGAGTAATTAATACCCTGCAGAGGGATTAGCCGTCAAGATTGAGATAAAAGAACAAGGAGACAAGAGCAGAGTTGCCTAGAAGACAGGGGCGTTTAGAAAGTGCTGAGGCATAGAGTTTCCTTAAGGTGATTTTTTACCTTTCCTGACTCTAATTATACATTTTTGCATCTAGTAGTGATACAGCTGGGTTGGTAAAACATATTATTAATAGAAGTGAGGGAGTTCTGAGGTGGATCAGATTTTTCCCTTTAAGCTTGGTTTCCAGCCAAGCCACCGGTCCTCAATTGGTATTTTGCTGTGTGTTCAGAATGGCTTTTTCACTTCTGTAATTTACTTATTTCTTATTATTTGTTATTCAAAGATCTTTTGGTCATTTATTCTGCACAAATCCTAGAAAATGAAAGCCAAATAAGGAGGGATTCCCCCAAATGAGTACTAGTTTTTATATCAGTGCATGGTGGGCCTCTCAGTGCCAACAGATTGTTCCCGTTAATTTTTTTTTCCCCTTTATATTGACTCTGGGGTTTCTAATGGTCAGCCTGTGCTTTCAGATTGGAGTTATTAACTTTGACCAAAACAGGAGTGGTTTGAGAAGAGGCAGTAGAGAGGAGAAAGTGGAGATCTAGCCAGAATCTTTTGTTTTCCACAGAAATTAGAGAGGGAAAAGACTATAGGAATCAGACTCTGTCAGCCTTGTCCTTTGTAGCCCCTACCCAGGCAGCAAAGAGGAAACTGTCTTCTTCCTGTACGGGTCTCCAATTGGCTGACATTATAAATAGTCTCAGTGGCAGGTTTCTCATTTTTGAATAAAAAAACAGGTTTTCATGCTAAATTATTAAACATTCTGTGGTTTGGCTTTAAAATCAAATAAATAACTCTCTTTATGAATGCATTAGACACCCTCCCTAGTTTCCTTTTAATTGTTTGTTCTCCCCTGTTCCTCATCTTGGACTTCAAGGCCATCATCTTGGTATTCTGGTGTCTGCTCTTCTCTTGCTGACTTCTCTCTGGGAAACCTTTTCCAGGTCGGCTTGTTCCACTATCACCCACCTCCCTGTGAAGGAAGATTGAAGCTGGTGTAGATGGGGCTTCCTGCCTGCCCTGGAAGTCTGAGCCAAGAGTAATTTTACCCTCATCTTTCCACAGTGTGTATAAGAGTAAAAAAGGTCAGCTGGACAACTTGCCTCGCTGGGATAGAGCAGTCAGAGTCAGATGATGTTTCTATGAACTGTTTTGTTGGGGTCAGATGGACTCAACTGTGCAGTCCACATCATCTGCCCCCATCTGCACTGACCTGATATGGTGGGTGGCCACATCCTAAAATAGTTTCTCAGAGACTTTGTGTGTGAAACATACATATAAATGTGTTCATGTTTATAATGTTGGTGTGCAAGAGTTTATTTTGCTTAAAGAAGATAATGGAAATTTTGGTTTCAACTAACATATCTATTTTCTCTCCACTAATGAGTATGGAAGGTTTTCTCCTAGATGAAAACATGGAGAGAATCACTAATAAGAAGAGAAAGCTGTTGAGTACTGTTAAAATATCACAAAACAGTTACTATTATAGTCATATATATGATACGTTCATTCTTTTAGAGGATAATTTAAACATTATTTTGGGTATATAGGGTTTTAAAAAATCTATTCAGCATCTAATATGAATGTGTGAAAAATTTCACATAAATTTTCATATAGTAATTGGGACCAAATTATTTGCTGTCTTTTGTCTCTTTCACATTGTTTATGAAGATCTGGCTTGAATAAAGGAGTCAGGAGCTTTCGCCTTCCATAGCTAAGCCCAACTGTCCTAATGCTGCATAAGACAGCTGGGATTAGAGAAACTCTTGAAAAGCAGGATTGGTAATGGGAAGTGATAGCTGTGTGTGAAAGCCTTAATGCTGAAGTGCATTCTTGTAACGCAATTTTCTTGTCTGCCTTGTTATCTTACAATTTTAGTGGGAAAAATAATAACAATGTTATTTCAAAGAAATGGTTAAAAAATAGTCAAACTTAATAGAAAGCAGAGCCCTGTCCTTTGGTTAAACACTCATTTACTCAGCTCTCTCTCTCTTTTTAAAAAACAGAACCATGAATCCTTCCTGTACAGTTGCATGGGTTGATATTAACTCTCTCTCAGCTTATTCACTGTCCACCTAAAAGAATAGTACAGGGCTCCAGAAATGTACCTTGCTCTGGTTTATAGGTAAAATGCTGCACTTGGGCATAGGTTTGTGGAGGGTGAGTATTGTTTCTCTTCCTGTGATGAAGATTGATGGCATTCCTGATAAAGGAAGAAGAGCGTGTTTGAGGATGCTGGAAGATGCTGAAGTGAAGCTGAGAACGTGACGGCCAGCCTGGGCTCTTGGGGGTGGAGGATGGTTGTGGATGCTGTGTTGCAGTTGACTATGCCCTTTCTGGAGGTGTACGGGTAGCACCTGTTCTGCTCTAACAGCTTTGTGGGGAGGACAGCCACCCACCAGAGCCCCCCATCCAGCACGTCTTCCTATTTCCTTGGTATTAGTAACTACATGGGGGATATTTATCTATGTTTTAATGCACACAGGCTAGTGCAGTCAAGGGTGTGGGGCATACAAAGGTAAAAAATAGATCATTGTTACCCTATAGAAGCTTTCAGTTGGCATGTGTAGTGGGAGGTGTGCTTTAGGGAGGTGTCATATGTAACTTAGAGGAAAGAATTCCCAAGGTGGCTGAGAGGACTGGGGAGGTGGGAGAGTCTGCTTTGGATCTGGAGGAAAAGTGGCACTGTCTACCTAAGAGAATAGTGCCAAAGACAATTTGCACAGAGTTTGGCATATAATAAGTACTAATAGGCTAGGCACAGGTGGCTCATGCCTGTAAGCCCAGCACTTTGGGAGGCCGAGGTGGGCAGATCACTCGAGGTCAGGAGTTTGAGAACAGCCTGGCCAATATGGCAAAACCCCATCTTTACTACAAATACAAAAATTAGCTGGGCGTGGTGGTGTGTGCCTGTAATCCCAGGGGTAGCTGAGACAGGAGAATCTCTTGAACCCAGGAGACGGAGGTTGCAGTGAGCCGAGATTGTGCCACTGCACTCCAGCCTGGGCGACAGAGCAAGACTCTGTCTCAAAAAAATAAAATAAATACTAATAAATACTTAATGAAAGAAGGAGAAAAGTCTAGGGAAGTTATTATTTGGGGAAGAGCTAAGAGGAATTCATCTGTGAATAGACAAACTGAATATCATTCCACGATTACTTTCACTTTAAATGTAAGTATTTAAGGGTACCGTGAATGAATTCCTTCACAGATGTGTTGGCTCTGCAGGGATAAAGGTGATGGGGTTTCCAGTTCATGTTGCAAGTTCATGTCTCAAGGGGAGGTTCTGTGAGACTTGGGCTGTGTCCTGACCACACAGCTTTGCATAATTGATTAATTCTGCATAACTGCTTGCATTCCTTTCCTAAAATAACTTTCACTTTCTAATTAGCTCTCCAGAATTAATAAGTGCCAAAAAATAGGATGTGTGTTGAATCTTGTGATCTAATGTGATGCTGCCAACTCACACAGATTTAAGGTATAATTAATAATGCTGAATCTCTGAGGGAATTCTTAATTCCTGAATTGGTAGACAGATCTCTAAAAAGTAGCTAATACTTATTGTGTTTACCATGTGCCGGGCACTGTGCTGAGGACTTTACCCAGTTTACCTCCTTGATCTGTTTTCATTATCACAAACACCCTAAGGATTAGTATTATGGGTATCTCCATTTCTAGAGAGGTAAAGTCACTCACACAGCCAATTGACACAGCCAGTGAATAGCAGAACTGGATTTGGGCTGAAAGAGTCAGGCTCTGGAGCCAGTGCTCCTAAAGGCCATGTGACATTGCTTCTCTTTTCTTTCTCTGGGGTGTTCCAGTTTTCCTCAGGGCTTCGTCATTGCTGCTTTCTACTTGCTGACACTTTTGTCAAATGTGATAAACAGCAAAAATTGATACAGTACAGGTCCAAAATAAACGGACCCTGATAGGTACCACAGGTAAAGTTGTTGGCAAATGACATCACTTATGTAATGGTAGGTCCTTCACTGGAGGTCAATTATGGAGCGATGCTGTGAGGGAAAGGTAGGTAGATGTCTCTGGGCTGGGAGAAGGCAAATGATGAGGGGACTTGGAGTTTCAGGGGGGGAAACAATAAAGATTCTGGTTGGCAAGTTTCTTGGCAAATTTTAAGGGTGGTAAACATTTTAAATCAGTATGTCAGTAACTTCTGCATGAGAAGTGCCAGGTACTTCACAAAACTTTAATATAATGTGTGAGCCTTAGGGTTGAAAGTAGGGATGGCACTGCTTCTGGCTTCTCTGTTAACAGAAATATGAGAGAGAAGTATGAATAATTTTTTCTCAAATTGAGTTTTAGATTGGGGTTTCATTTTTCAGCAGAATATAAAACAGTTATTTTCTATTTCCATGAATACCAGGAGGGGAGACTTAATAAAATGCAGTAAATATGGCCGGGTGCAGTGGCTCACACCTGCAATCCCAGCACTTTGGGAGGCCGAGGTGGGCAGATCACCTGAGGTCAGGAGTTCAAGATCAGCCTGGTCAACATGGCAAAACCCCATTTCTACTAAAAATACAAAAAATTAGCCAGATGTGGTGGCGGGTACCTGTAGTCCCAGCTACTCAGGAGGCTGAGGCAGGAGAATCACTTGAACACGGGAGGTGGAGGTTGCAGTGAGCTGAGATCGCACCACTGCATTCCAGCCTGGGCGACAGAGCAAGACACTGTCTCAACACAAACAAACAGAATAAAGTAATAAATAGGTGTATGCTGAAAGAAAAATCATTCTTAGTCCTGGCCTTTTTTTGAGACAGGGTCTTGCTTTGTTGCCTAGGTATCATCACAGCTCACTGCAGCCTGGACTTCCTGGGCCCAAGTGACCCTCCATCCTCAGTTTTCCAAGTAGCTGGGACTATAGGCACATGCCACCACGCCTGGCTAATTTTTTAGTTTTTTGCCCAAGCTGGTCTCGAACTTCTGACCTCAAGCAATCCTCCCATCTCGACCTCCCAAAGTATGTTGTCTGGGATTACAGGTGTGAGCCACTGCTCATGGCCCCATGACATTTTTTAAATCAAAATATCTAGATAAAAATCAACATATTCAGACAATCTAATTTGGTTGATATACAACTATGTTTTTAAAAATTTTCCCTTTTTGAAAAAGGCAATATTTGTGGTGATTGTAGACTTAGCAATGTAAGTTTAAGTTTTGTAACATTGCAGGTTGATTTTGAGTTAATTGAAACATTTGAAGTTTAATATGTTGGCAAAGTGGATTGTGTACATGAATTGAGGGGGAAAGAGGAAATTAATACTGTTTGATTTTTTTTTTAATTTTCTTGTAAATAATGTGAATATCCAGAAAGCAACAGAATAACCTAAGTTATCAGAGGCTGAGAAAGGACATAAAATAACCTTTATTATTATTATTGTTTTTTTAGATGGAGTCTCGCTCTGTCCACCAGGCTGGAGTGCAGTGGTGCCATCTCAGCTTACTGCAATCTGTGCCTCCCAGGTTCAAGCAATTCTCCTGCCTCAGCCTCCCAAGTAGCTGGGATTACAGGCATGCACCACCACACCCAGCTATTTTTTGTATTTTTAGTAGAGATGGGGTTTCACCATGTTGGCCAGATGGTCTCGATCTCCTGACCTTGTGATCTGCCTGTCTCAGCCTCCCAAAGTGCTGGGATTACAGGTGTGAGCCACCACGCCCAGCCACTTTTTTTTTTTTTTTTGTGGGGTGGGGGGCGCAGATGGATGGGAATGGCATTGAATACAATATTCAGGATATTGTAGATGAAAGAGGAAAAGTTTCTAGAATATTATGTGACTGTTGTGGGAGGTGTTGAATATTATAAATAAGGAGATTTTGCTGCTGTTGTTTTTGTTTCTGAGGAAAAGAAACCCTTGGATTAGCCCCAGTGGTTCTGGCTGGTGAAATTACCCAGTAAATAACCACAGACGTCTCGTTAGCAGAAAGAGAGAAGGGAATCAGCAGAAAGAGCTGGGGAACAAGGTTCACTGGGGGCTTTCAAACTTCTCAGGTAGTATGTGTATTGAAGAGCTTAGATCTGAAAGATTAGGAGTTATATTGTCTCATTGAAAAGAGACTGACAGTATGGGCTTTAAAAAAAAAAAAAAAAGAGCCCGCCAGCCTGTTAGAGATATACTATGTGCTCAAATACTTTTGTGAAAAATTCAGAAAGCCTATGTATAAATCTGAGAGAGAATGTGTGTGTGAGTAGCGATTATCTCTGATGACTTACATATTTTAAATAATTTTCTATATTTTTTGTTTTCCAGATATTTGTATATATGGATCCATTTTGTTCATGTTGAGTTTGTACTTTATTTTTAAAAATTTGCCACTACATTGTAAGCTTTCCCTGTGTCATGAGGTGTTCCTTGCAGAGGGGATTCACAAGACTCTGTTTCCTTCTCCACTCAGCGTGCTGGCTCTGGCTCTGGCTCTGGCCCTTGTCTGCACCTCTCAGCTCCTACACTCCGGAGTCTGTGCTTTTCCTGTGGCCCAGAACATTCCAGCTGCCACCCTCTTCACCTGGCTAGCTCTTAATCTTCGTGGTGCCCTTTTCTTTTTTAGGAGGACTTAAATGCATTGGACAGTGGACAAAGACCATTTAAATGGATTACAAAAAGCAGACTTCACCAGGCAGAGCGGCCTCTAACTTCTTCAGTAATGTTGCCATTTACCATGTGTCTGTTGGGGATCAGGTCCGTCGCTAGGCACCCTTCGTGCTTTTAGGTAATAGTCATAGCTACCCTGAATAAGGGTGAGGAGATGGCATTCCCATTTAGAAAAGTTGAAACCAGGATTGCAAGAAGTGTATGAGCCGGGATGGGAAGCCAGGTCTGTCTCTCTGCCCTTAGATCACGCTGCTGTTACTATTCTTTGTGACACCCTAGGACATTGCCGTGGAAGGAAGGGGAGAAACCTTGATAGGGCCCTTGGATGAAGCACTGCAGCTTATGCTAAGAAGATCAAGGCCCTGTTAGACTGGAAACATTCATTGTAAGACCTAGTGCCATAAGGTAAAGAGGTCTCTAGGAGAATGCTCAAGATCTCTGAGGGATAACTGTTAAATATCCTGTAAGAATTAGGCTTAAATTATACACACGTGAGAAAGGTAAGTGCTCTCAGTGCAGGGGGTAAAATAAACCTTTAGTGAAACTCTATGACGAGGAACCCTGCCCATCAACTGTTGGTAAGTTTAGAAAAAATGAAGAGATGCAATTCAAGGTCAGTAAGTAGGTGAAATATGATGTGCGCATAAACCTTTAAAGGTTTGAGAGGTTGGCTGTTTTTGGTAACGGGTTAACTTGAGGATTAATGAGTCAGGATATATGGAAAGTTAAAATTCCCTTCTCTGCACCATTCAATTCAGTTCAACAAATACTTTCCCAGGCCAAATGGGATCATTAGCCTTGTAGGAAACTCTTGGCCTTTTTAAAATGATGACATTGTGGCCAGTTTTGTAAATACAGTTGATGCGTGAATCTGTAGACCAAGGATCAGATTAATTTTGTAATGCCCTCAGGGAAGGCAGTTGATGAACTGGTTTCTCTGCATCATAAGAGCAGTGTTAATGATCCACTTGTACCATGAGATTCTAACATTCCTGAGTTACCTAAATGCTTCAGTGTTCCCTGCCATGTAATTTTAAGCTGTATGTACATTTTTGGGATAATTTTTATCCATATTTTGTTTAAAAAATGAACTAAACCAAACTAAAATTCAGAACATTTTGTACTTCTGCTTCTTATTAAGATTGTTTAGTCCTTGGTGGGTGATGTGAGAAGATCAGTACTTAACAGTTTGAGAATTCTTGCTCTCATAAATCAAAATAGTATTCGATGACAGTTTTCAAACAGTTTCAAGTGATGATTTAGATTCTCTTGTAGTTGTTATCTACTTTAGAATAGTGTTACTATGATTTAAAAGTTGGTATTTCGGCTGGGCCATGGTGGCTCAAGCCTGTAATCCTAAAACTTTGGGAGGCCAAGATGGGAGGATCACTTGAGCGCAGGAGTTCGAGACCAGCCTGGGCAACATAGACTCTATCTGTACAAAATACAAAATTTAAAAAGTTGTTATTTCATGAGTTTGCATTTTTAAATGCAATGGACAATAGATAGAACTGTTTATAAGATATATTTGCTTGTATGTTTTTCTCTTCATATTACGAGGTCAAACCACAGAGGAAAAATAAAATTTGGAGGCCCTAAGCCTATTTACCCAATGTCTCCTAGAAGAGCCCCCTTCAGAAACTTCTAGCAATTGTTAGTGTTGCTTGGGTTAATAGCCATGGTCAAAGCATGAACAGAACAAAATAAAAATTTTCTAAATATAAAGGAAATATGGTAATAACTGAGAAGCCAAGCATTAATAACTGGGAAGCCAAGCATTCTCTCAATATCCTCTTTCTCCATAAGAAACGTGTAGCATTTTCCTTGGAGAAGGGTCTATGTTACTTTTGTTCAGCCCTTGATGAAAACAACATATGGTTAGTTTTATGAGGACTTAGAGACAGATGGTGACCTACAGGCTAATTATGCAGTGGGCAAGATTCTTTAAACAAATCACTGTGATTGTGACATGGCCCTTTCTCATGAGTTAGACAATCTGGACTGTTCATTGTCACACTAGGTAAACATGTTCCAGGTGAATGAGGAAGAGGTGCTACGTGAGGGAAATGTATTTACAACATCTTTTCATCTCCATATTTACTTTAATGGGTATAAGAGAAAAGGAAGTCAAGAAGGTAAAAGGGGAGCACACTAAAACCTCAGCTAGTGCTAGGATTGTGTTATTTTGGACAGCTAACTTTTCAGATAGCTGAGGGGTTCCCCCATTAAGCATAAACGTTTTTCTTTTAATCACTTTGAATGAACTCTTTCTGAAGTCTTCCTTGCCCTCTGAAAACAGAATGTCTGAGACGTAGTAGGCTTTATAGTGTTTATGATCTTACTTTTCCTGCTTTCCCAAACGTAAGCTTCATGAAGGTAGCGGTCTCAGTCTGTTCTGTGCTGTGACCCTGGCCCCTAGAACAGTGCTGGTACACAGCCACATTAAATATTTGCTGAAGTAAGTGGGAATTAATTAAAGCTCTTTAATCTTCACAACTGTGTCACTGTCCAGGCTTTGTTCTCCCTGTTTGTAGATTGGTCAGGGACCCTAGAGTGCATTGTGCCTATGCTTACGGTCTTAATGTCCCTCTGCCCCAGTGTGGTGGCTCATGGCTGTAATCCCAGCACTTTTGGAGGCCAAGACCAGCGGATCACTTGAGATCAGGAGTTCGAGACTAGCCTGGAAAAAATTGTTAACGGCGAAACCCCGTCTCTACTAAAAATACAAAAATTAGCCAGGTGTGGTGGTAATCGCAGCTACTTGGGAGGCTGAGGCATGAGAATCACTTGAACCCGGGAGGCAGAGGTTGCAGTGAGCCAGGATCGCACCACTGTACTCCAGCCTGGGTGACAGAGTTGAGACTGTGTCTCTAAATAAATAAATAAATAAATAAATAAAATGTCTCTCTCATTATATTGTAATTGCCTTTTCTTGTCTCTCTCCACCACCGGACTGTAATATCATTGACAGCAGAAATTTTGGAGGTTCACTGTTATATCCACAATGTCTGGTAGTACATATTGTTACTTGTTTCTTGAACGTGTGAACAAACTAATTCACCAAAGGAAATGGTCACTGCCCTGGGTCCTTTCCTTTACAAAATCGTATGATGTAGATAGTTTGATGCCCATTTTACATACACACAGCTGAGAGGAGCAGCCGTGATTTGCATCCAGGTTTGTCAGCCTCAAGGCTAACCTTCCACCGTATGGGTAGCTCCTCACCTTTACACACACAAGTGCCCCCTTTCTGATGTCAAATTTTCCTAACCTTGCACAGTATGTGGTTTTTTTTTACTTACCTCACCCAGAATGGTATAATAAAAATGCTGTTATCAGTTTAGTAGTGCTTTTAGTTACTGTTTTTAGTCATTATACTAACATTGTAAATTTGAAAAAAAAAAAAAAAAGCCAGAACGGTTTGTGGGAGAACTTCTTGTTGGTTGCAATGCTCCAGGCTGCCTGGGGTTTGCCAGCCACCCCCCTGCAGTAACCCTGTGCACTTCCCCTTTCCCCAGACTCCCTCCTCCCCGCCAGCAGCCCCTTCTGCGCTCCCCCGTGCAGCCTGCCCTCCATGAGTGGCCACGGACTTCAGGGTCCACGCGGTTCTTCACACCGCCCTTTATGTGATGTGTGTCCCCTCCTTGGCTGTCTGGTTTTGCTTTTGTCAGTAGGGCTAGTGGCCAGCCCATCTCCATTTTGAATTTGCTGTTTTATAATAAGCCTTTGATTTGAAAGCCAGATGATCAGGGCTGCTAGAACTTGCTAGAATGAGGAAAATAGACAAGTGGTCCATTGACCTCTGAGTGAGTTACAGTAACTTTTACTACATGGATTTCTTTTTTTTTTTGAGATAGAGTCTTGCTCTGTCGCCCATATTGGAGCGTAGTGGCGCGATCTCGGCTCGCTGCAACCTCCACCTCTCAGGCACCCTGAGAGGCCCTGTTCTCAGGCCTTCTCAGGGTACTGGTAGGTGAGGCCCCAGCACGCGTTGCTCAGAGCCAGTTTGGCTCAGGTCTGTAGGAGGTGCGATGTGGACATAAGTGGGGTGGAGTATGAAAGAGGAGAGATGGCAAAATGGGAGAGCGTTTACCTGGTCAAGGGCTTAGGTCACATTAGGTTCTCAAAGGCAAATATGGCTTCATGTGGATACTTTCTTGAGTCCATCTCTCTCTGTTTCTGTTCCTCCCTCTGCCTAACCTATCCTGGCTCTAAGCTGGCTCAGACACTGCGTTTGTGTCTTTTCACGTGGCATTTTTCTTTTTTCCCTCCACCTTGCTAAGTGCTGAAATTTGCAGTCAGCATTTATATATGCCCTATAGACAAGGCACATTTCTCTAGTTTTACCTTTCTTGTCATTTGTGATCTTTTAAATTTTCAGTCAATGGAAAGTAATTGTTAATATGAATTGCAGTTTGGAAACTTTGTGCCAGATGATGAAACTGAATGAATCTGTGGTCTTTACGTAGGCAGTGCCTTACGTATGGTTTGGTTTTTGGCCCATGTACTAGATGTTTGCCTTTCTGTGGGCTGTCACAGATCTGGCATGTACCTTTATTTTTTTGGGAGTTTCTACATGTGTTGCTGCAATCTCTCAGCTAAGAGTATTTTTCAGTCCTCTTGCTATTTGTTTTTTACCACTTATAGGGTGAAAGGAAGTAAAATTAGATAGGATTTTGATGTTTGATTTAAAAATCAACATTTCCATGAATTCAAAACTTCAAGAAGATGAAAGGATAACATTGATTCTTCTGTTTAAAGAAAATTGATTTCCTTTGGCTGAAAAAGTTTTGTTCTCTCTCTCTTGGTGTTCATTATTTTAGATGTTCCCTTTGGACTCTGTGCACATCCCCATCATAGAACCTACTATATTTACTATGATAGTAAATTGACCTCTCTGCCAACACCACTGGACCATGTAAGTTCCTTGAAGGCAGGGGTCCCTAGTGACAGGCAGAGTAATATCTGGTACATTGTAGACACTCAGTAAATGTTTGTGAAATGAATAGAGTGACCAAGCAATCTAATGAATATGGTCCTATCATGGTCCCAACCAGTCATTGGACTGAGTATAGTTTTGATGGTGTCATCTCAAATGAACATATCTCAAATCACATCCAGGTTCAGCAAATTTTCTTCTCTGTCTTGCCAAGGTGGGGGCCCCACTCTGAGTCCCAGAGATAGAAACTCCAGTCATCTTTGCATTTCTTTTACTTCCTTAGTGTCTCTTGTATTTTCCTCTGTTTTTCTCCATTCCTACTGCCTCTACTCTAGTTTACACTGTTGGTCACCTTATGTCTGTAGCCTGTGAGCTAGCTTGCTGACACGAGCACCCCCAGCCATCCTGCACTCTGCCGCAGCCAGATCAGGCTGCCTCCCACATCCCTTCTAATAGGACGTCCCTGCAGATGGTCAGAGTGGGTTTTCCCAAGGAGTTCTGCAGGGCGGTGTGTTCCAGTGGACATCCTTGGTCCCCTGAGGACCAAGGCTTAGAAACTGATTTTATGAGCCTAGCCAGAGCTAATCTCTCCATCGTGTTATCCCAGTTCAGGAAGTGGATATATAAAACCAGATTGTCTGCTTACTGCCTTAAAATGAGAATAGAACTGTTTCTATTTCCATTTCATGGCCTGGGATTCTGGTGTGGGAACATCTAGTACACATTTTCTTCCTGTAGTCAGGCCTTCGTGGGAAGCCAAATCATAATCAGATGCTTACTTGGCTGGTATGGAATAAAAACAAAGAGAAGTGAAGTGTCAGATGGCATCAAGGTTAAGTCCGAGGCATCCATTTCACAGTCAGGAGGCTTGCCAGTGGGAATACCCCAAGTGAGTTGGCTTCAGCTGCCTGCATCCTTCTCCACAGTGAGGCTGACTTTGCCAGTGGGTCCTGACCCTCCAAGGCTCAGGAGGTTGCCTCAGGCCCTTTCTCACTACATATTGCTGGGAGTGGCAAGGCCATTGCTGTTCTCTTTGACTATCTGCTTTCCTCCACTTTCAAATCTGACCAAGCCCTTCTGATTGACATTCTTACCCTTAGATATAATACTTTCAATTCTTTAGGGCTTGGAGCTGTTTCTCCAGGATGATTTTGCATGTCTTGGCTTTTTAAAGTTTAACTCTAAGAGCAGTATGCTATCTTTATTTCAAAGCCTTTATATCTTCTCTCCCTCACTCACCATCTCCTTTCCTCAAAACCCTTTTAAGCCCTAACTGTTATTGGTGGGAGTCTAAATTTCTTTGCCTAGCCTCTGAGGTCCTCTGTCTGCCTCCCTGAGTGATCCAGACTTCTTTTCTTTTTTTTGTGGTGGGTTGGTGGTGGGCTGGGGGTGGGGGACTGTCGCCCAGGCTGGAGTGCAGTGGAGTGATCTCGGGTCACTGCAACCTCTGCCTTCTGGGTTCAAACGATTCTCCTGCCTCAGTCTCCCAAGTAGCTGGGACTACAGGCACGTGCCACCACGCCCAGCTAATTTTTTGTACTTTTAGTAGAGATAGGGTTTCACCTTGCTAGCCAGGATGGTCTCGATCTCCTGACCTCTTGATCCGCCTGCCTTGGCCTCCCAAAGTGCTGGGATTACAGGCGGGAACCACCGTGCCTGGCCTCCAGACTTATTTTCTACTTGTTTCCCTGTGGAATAAGAGGACTGGGTCAGAAGCCCCAGCATAAGTCATTCTGTCTGTCTGCTGGAGTTTCCTGAGCTCTAAAAACCCATCTTGCCTATCTCATAGGATTGTTGTGAGGGCCAAATACAGTGACAAGTGTTCATTTTCTCTATTGGTGCAAGATTCTGCGTAGGTGATGTGACTCCTTTTTTTTAAGCTATCATATATTGAGCCCAAGCAGTGTGCATGTATTATTTCATTTAGTCCTTTCAAGTAGATCCTGTTGTCATCCCCATTTTACAGATGAAGAAAGTGAAACTCAAAGAGGCTAGAGAAGTCTCAGGACTGATGGAGACCAGATGAGTCTGTTTAATCCCTTTAGTCTGCTCTGAACTTCCAGTACCCACGGCTATATTGGACTGAACACTCGCCTGACCAGGCCCCCCGCCCCGCCACCACCGCCAACAACTAACTGAACTCGTTTCTACTTCTCTGACCCACTGCCCTGGCCAAAGTCCTCCCTGCCTTTCCAGGCCCCTTTCAGGTTTCCTCTCTCTCCTTTTGTGTCTAGCCCTCATTGCTCACCATCATCTTCTCTGACCTCCTGTGGTACTTGAGGACATACTGGAGGCAGACCCATCTGCGATTACATCCCAACCGTGCTGTGTTGCTTTGAACAAGGCAGCCACATCTCCGAACCACTGAAAAAAGGCATAATAATGATAGCTGGATCCTGGGATTTCTGGATTCTGTAAAACCAATTGTGTAAAAGTTCTTTGTAAATGGTTAGATGTGCCTGGTTTCTTCAGTAATCAGTTATTTTTGAAATTATTTTTAATTTGTCCCATAGTAAGGAATATATTTTAATGTTGTGATGGGCACATACATTTTAATTAAGAGTTCCACAGGAACATTTTCTTCTTTTTTTGTGTGTGTTAAAAACAGTGTTTATTTTGACCCATTTAATTGATTTTGACTATCCACTGTAGGAGGCTACCCACAATTTGGAAGGAACCATCGGGCCTAGATGACAATAAACCCTTTGAGGGCAGGGAATGTATTTTGCACTTCTGCGTCCTCATAGGCCCAACAGGTTACGAGAAGATCCAGTCTGTTGATGGATTTTGTGCTGGGAGTAGGCAGGATGGAGAGACTTATTCAAATTTCAAATTATTTATTGAGTGCCCCTTTGCAAGAATTGGCCAGTTAAACCCTGGGGGGCAGCTTTGTAGCTGCACTACTCGGGAGCCTGCACCCTCTTGAAGACATCATGCCAGCGTCTCCTGCACTTGGCCGTGTAGGCTGCAGCACAGCTGTTTCTGCTACAATCAGCTCCAGTATTTGTATTCCTCCTCTTGAGGCCGAGGCTTGTTCGTTGGCCCCAGGGAATGTGTTGTGTTGGGGTTTGAATCTCCTGTCCTGCGTGCGGTGCCCCTGCCAAGGGCTGTGCACCCACCTGTCCCAGATGGGTCTTGCGTCATGTTTTCCCTGCTATGCTGGTGGTGACAGCATCCTGCTGTCTCAGAGTAAAGCTCAGCTGCATATATGCCACCCGCCCTCCTCCACAGCATCCAGGCTTCCAGTGTAAAAGCCTCTTACAACATCAGGCGGGAGAAAACAAGCCTGCCGCTTGTGGTGCCTTAGCACCAATTTGTCACCCACTTCACTCAGCCCTGGCCCCCTGCTTCTCCTCTGTATGGTATCTTTTTTTCCCATGGCTGCTCCAGCTGGGCTCTGGCCTGACACTGGAATCACATGTTTTGGCTCTAGCCTTTGGTATTATTCTCGAGGTTGTCAGCATACATCCCCACTGCCATCTTTTTCTAATGCAAAGGTCTTTTCATTAATGGATATTTTTTCCTGTGAGACTTGTTTAGGGGAGAGATGCATCCCTCATTTCCCCACCCCCACCCGCCATAAGGTTTTTACAAGCCAAGCTAGAGATTGCTTTCCAGCCACTTTCAGAAAAATGCTGGGGCTCCACTTTGTGTTTAGCACAATCAGCACACATAATTCTTGTTCTGCTTGGGCTCTGTTCAATGTCACTTGCTCCTCCTGACCCTAGAAAGAGTTGAGAATTATAAGCACGGATTATAAGGACTCATAATCTCAGTTGCCAGAGTAAGGGAAATAACGTTTTCACCGGTTCCCTGAAATAGACCTGGCGGACAGCTGTTGCCTCCCCTCCCCTTTCCTCTCATTTCCCCTGGAGATGTACTCTGCCTGTTTCTTCTCCTCGCTAAAACTAAGGAACTTTCCCTTGTGTTTTCTTTTGGCTTCTAGATTGTTCACTTGGCTTTTTATCTAAGCTTGTATTAAATTGCTTCATGATCTGTGCCTGCAGAGGCTTTGGCATAACATGGCTCACAGAGAAGTGTTGTTTGTTGTGGTTGGACCACTTTGTTGCAGCAGCATCTGTTCTTGTCTGAATGGGGCATGCAGGTGAAGCATGTACTCTAGGCCACTGAAAAAGGAGGGAACACAGGCACCTGGACTGACCATTGGCAGCTGTGATCTACTTATGTGACTCTCAGACAGCCTCTCAGCTGCTTGTGATAAAGGCTACAAAATTCCAGGCAGCTTTTTGGTCCCCATAACAAGTATATATAACTCCTACTTTAAGCAGTCCAAATTTAATACAGAGCAATGGGATGAGATGTATGTAGGTGGTGTCACATCCACAAGAATATCTTTAATCATTATTCTTTTCAGCAATTCAGTTTCAAGAGGAATAAGTGAATTTAGGAAATTTGTATATGGGAAAACATTGTCAATCAGTAAATGCGTGGTCTACTGTGTATATTTTCTCCTCAGTTCTTTAAGGCCCCCAAAATGGGATGAAAATTTGCTCAAAAGCTCTCATGCAAAATTATAAGAATATGGAGATATATTAGGAAATGGACAGATAAATATGCTTTCAAGAATCTTATTAAAGTGCTCAACAGTTATATGAAACATGCAAGTATAAGTTGAAAATTTAACTGACATGTGGACATTGAATGTTTCTGTGATTTTAATGAAAAAAAATTCAAGGAACAAGGGGGAAAAACACCAACCGTCAAAAGGAAAAATGCCCTCTATCTACTCATGCAAATAGTCCCCTTGTTCATAGCAGTCACAAAGGATATGACGAGCCATATTGTGCAGGATCCAAGGTTCATGAGAAGTAGGTTTGTAGGTGGCAGGTAGTGGGAAAGTGATTTATGTCCCATGAAAACCCATTCAGCTGTTGTAGCACTTCCAGGGCCTGTGACGTGTGAGGGAGCCATTGTCTTAACACTCAGGGTGAGGACAAAAAGGCTTCAGTTGCTGAAAGGTGCTGGTTTGAGATGGTGATATCCTGTCTCTTTTTCCAGCAGAAGCAGGAACATGATGTCTAGGGTTTTTAAAAGAAAAAGCTTTTGTTCTTTTTTATTTAGTGACAGTAGAAATTAAAGTAGGGCCTTAAAAATTAGAAACACACGTGAACCCCAGGGGGCGAAGCCTGCAGTGAGCCGAGATCATGCCACTGCACTCCAGCCTGGGTGACAGCAAGACTCCATCTCAAAAAAGAAAAAAAAAAAAAAATTTAGAAACACAGTCAATTTTAATGTCAAGACCCAAGCCTCAGCAGTTAAATCGGATGCCTCCTTAAAAAATGTGTGAAAGTTATTTACCCTCATTTCAATTTGGGGCAACAAATGAATGGCTACTTAGGTTAGGTGTGGGAAGCATTAATTAATAATGGGATAAAAGGACTCAGTGAGATTAACTTAGATCACCTATATTTAGCTTCTGATTTTACTTCATTCTGTTTGCTTCTTTCATTAATCTAAATTAACTGCCAGAATTGCATTTATTAGTATGTAGGAGAACAATAATCAAGAAGTGTTTTTATTTATATTCGTAGGAGGCTATGTTGTTATTCATGTGATTCTTAGAAAATAATGGATTTTACACAGGAAAAGATGTTTATACTTTTCAAAGATCTTACTCATTTGGGGTAAGAATTTGATAGAAATGCTAGGATTTGGTGTATAGAAAAGCATGTAAACTGTATGTATCATTTAGGTTTCTAATGCCTGTTATTGGCTTTCATGTAATTTGGATTGGGAGTCTAGAAGGAAGGCAGTGATAACAGGAGGGGCTGGGGAAAAGTGAAATTGTTGCCCATTTCTTCAATATAGTGTGATAACTGTCTCCCATTTAATTTTGTCTCATCACACGTTTTTTGTGTGTGTGTCTGCTTTTTGCCAAAAAGTACTTACTGGTTCTAGGCCTCAAGGAGCTTATGATTTAGCACAGATTTTCTCAGCCTCAGCACTGTTGACGTAGTGGGCCAGGTAATTCTTTGTGGTGGGGACTGTCTTGTATATTATAGAACATCTAGAGACTTCCCCAACCTCTACCCACTAGATGCCAGTGCACCCTTCCCCAATAGGGTGACAACCAAGATGTCTCCAGATGTTATCGAATGTCCTCTCAGGGAGGCCCAGAATTGCCTCCATTTTGGAACCACTGGTTTGACACAGCACGTCTTGCTATAGAAACTCACTAGCATTCTTTGCCATTACAGCTGTTCAGTTACTTATGCTTATTTCTAGTTTTGGAAAAGCCATTTGAAAATGCCCTGAAGTGATTTTTATTCCATTCTCATAATTCTTGAAAAGTGTGTGGAAAGCTAGAGGAGAACTGTTAACTGTGTCTGTGTGCATGTGTATGTGTAGGGGTGTTTTCATCATTGTCATCGTTATTTTATGAAGAAAATGGAGGCCTCAAATGTATGAGCCAAAGGACAAACACTGAGATGTCCATGAGAAAGCAGGGCGAGGACTGCTTTCAGGAAGTTCCTGATATTTCCTGTATTAACACAATCTGTTAAGACCCTGAAAGCTTAGGGCTTAATAAAATCGTTGAGATCTTAAATGTAGAGGATGTAAGATTTTTTATAGATCAGCTTTAAAATGAAGCCTAGGCAAAAATGAAGTAGATTTGCCCCTCTTCACCCTCACCTGCCTTCTCCCGGTTTCTTCTCTTTCCCTCCTCTCATCTCTGCTTGCTCTGGCAGTTCCTTTAACAAACATATTGTTATGTGATGACTTTGATGAATTACAAACAGGTACCTCTCTTTCAAGATACATTATATTCATCTACCAAAAAATGGTCGTAATAGCTGTACAAAGCTGCAGTGACCCACGGTAACTGGAGCCCCAGGAGTTGTGCAGTGCACAGCTTGCACAGCAGTAAGTGGTGGCTATGTTTGGGCAGTTTCATTCCCTCCCATGACATTAGCTTTCACCTGAATGCTGTTCTGTTTTTGACCCTAGACCAAACCTTTTCTGGGAACATCATGCCTATGTAAGCTACCTTTTGGACACATTCTTCCTAGAATACTCTAAAGCATCCCAAGTGTAACATATGCAAAATTGAATTACTGTTTTCCCCAAGCCTGGTTTTTCTTAAATTTAGGAGTCGTCTTAGTCTCTCTTTTTATATACTTATATACACACACTATACACATACACATGTATGTATCACAAGCCTTCTCAGTCCTCCCCGTATAGTTCTTAAATCCTGTTTTTTTGTTTTGTTTTGTTTTGTTTTGTTTTGTTTTGTTTTTTGAGACAGAGTCTCGCTGTGTTGCCAGGCTGGAGTGCAGTGGCGCGATCTCGGCTCTCTGCAACCTCCACCTCCCAGGTTCAGGCAGTTCTCCTGCCTCAGCCTCCTGAGTAGCTGGGACTACAGGCATGCCCCACCACGCCCAACTAATTTTTGTATTTTTAGTAGAGATGGGGTTTCACCATGTTGTACAGGATGGTCTTGATCTCCTGACCTTGTGATCCGCCTGCCTTGGCCTCCCAAAGTGCTGGGATTACAGGTGTGAGCCACCGCACCCGGCCTGTGATTTTCTTTCTACCCCTGCTTTCCTCCTGTTGTCTTATTTCAGTTTTCATCTCCTCTCTCCTGAGGCCTGGGCCATTGCAGTCATCTACTACCTGCTTTTCCTGTCCAGGTATCACACCCCTTCAAGCATGTTTCAACTAGAATGCTCTTGTAAAACACAAATCTGGCCTTACTGTTTCCCATCAGAGCTCTTTGAATTCCTTCTGTTATGCCATAGTTTATGCCTCCTTTATAGCCTTATTTATAACCTCATCCCCTCCCCTCAAATGTCTAGGCATTCAAAATCTGCAAAGTGCAGGGCCTGTTCTAGGCACTGGAGACTCAGCAGTGAATAAAACAAAGTCATTGCCATCATGGAGCCTACTTTTGAGGGGGCTGGACTATTCGCAGTTCTGTGAGCTGCCATGCTGTTTCGTACCTTTGCTGGAATGTGCCTGCCCACAGCTAATCTTCCTGGACAGTGTCTGCTGGAATTTCAGGACGCAGCGACGGTGTAGTGACCCCACTAGCATTACCACTCTTCTTTTTATGTCTTCCTTGTGTTGTGTGCTTCAAGCTTCCTCTTCACCAGGGCCTGGCCTTACCAGGCTTTGTGTTTCCAGCACCTATAGTAGTGCTCAGCGCATAACAGATGCTTCTAAATGTTTATTGAATGAAAAGCACACAAGCATGGAAACACTTTGGGATCCGTGTCCCTCAAATGTGTCATGTATTTTCTTCCTTTCTTTGCTTATACGCTTTCCACTGCCAAGAATATCCACCCCAACCATCCTACCAGGCCCTTATAAGCCACTTGCCCCATTCTTTAAAGTGTCGCTGTCATAAACCCCTGCTGAACCCTTGCCTCAATTACTTATTGACCTACTTGCTTTTTTCATGCTTTCAGTAGCATTTATTCAATAAATACTGAATATCTACCATTTTCCAGGATTTGTGCCAGGTCCTAGGGATATGACAATGGAAAAAGATCTGCTAATATTGTATTTTTAGTAGAGACAAGGTTTCTCCATGTTGGGTCAGGCTGGTCTTGAACTCCCGACCTCAGGTGATCCGCCCACCTTGGCCTCCCAAAGTGCTGGGATTATAGGCGTGAGCCTGGATGACTGTCCTTTTTGCAGTGATGTATAGGCCCAGGCCCTTTCCACGTTATGGCTCTGCTAGCCCCATTGTGTTCCGTTTTATGTGAAAGGGTAAAGAAGAGAGCATGGAGTGGATATATTTGTTTCTTAAAGCCTTGCCTCAGAAGTGACACCTACCACTTCTCTCACAGTCCATTGGTAAAGACAAGTCACAAAGCCACTCAAACTGCAAGGGCAGCTGAGACATGTGGTCTAGCTGGGTGACCAGAAAGACAAAATGGAGTTTTGGTAGACAGCTACCAAACTCGGCCACATACCTCATTATACTAGCTGCAAACTGTGTTATCGTTAGTTGCCTGCATATTAATTAGTTCCTTCTGCTTAGAACACTTTTATCTAGAATATTTGCAACATTTGCCACTCACTTCATTTAAATCTCAGCTCATCTGAAACTTCTTCCAAGTGTAAGACCACTCAGTCTGGAAAAGCTCCCCATCTTCCTACACTGCCTTTTTTACTTTAGAGCCCCTGTCACACATTATATTATATATATAGTTTAGTTTATTGTGCTCCCCTGCACAGGAATGTAAGTGTCATGATGGCACAGCATTTGTTTTGCTCATTGTTCTATCTACAGAATCTAGAAGAGTGCCTGGCACTTGTCTTCAAGGATTATCCACATCCTGAAGGCAGAGCTTTGTTGTTCACATTTCAGTGAATATTTGCTGAGCGGAGCCTCATGCTAGACAGGCCTTGGAGGCACGTCCTAAACAAGGAAAACACGCCCCCTGCCTCCCTCAATTGAAGATATTAGTCTCTTCAATCTCATTCAATTTTATTTCTCTGTGCTTAGCATTTAGAAGCAATTAAATATGTTTGTGGAATGAACAAACTAATTAACAGCATATTTAGAAAATCTCCCTGTAGTAAATATATTAAAGTTTTAGAAAATCATGATAATCTAAGTGAAATATTTTACAGATTATGGGGAAAACATGAGGGATGAAAATTTACCCTGCTCTGCTTTAGCTTTTGAAAAAGTCTGCTTATGAGCCACTCTCTTCATTGCTAATAATAACACCAGTGGGGGAAACTTGAAGAAAGAGGTATTTGTCACCAAATGGTAAGTTAGCAGCTTGTCTTGTTATCTGGGTTGGAACACAAAGTCATTAAGTGGCATTTGGACTAAATCTGATTGGAATTTAGAATCTACTTGGAGACAAACAAAATATACTTCTGCTTAGAAAAATTACATTTTCCACTTTAAGATGTTGTGGATTAGAAAATGATAAGAATTAATTTTAAGAGAACGCCTGTTTTTTGAAAGGATTGGTTATATGTTGGTGGAAATTCTTCAGGGAAGTGACATCTCTGGAGGGGGAAACACAAAAACAGCTCAATACAGTCAGTCAATTTATTCTACACTTAAGGAAAAAATAACTAAGTCTGCTTGCTGGTTTTCTGTGGGCTGTTAACAGCTGGTTGACTCAAATTTCTGCTTTCTACCAATTGTGAAAATTAAGCTTTAATTTAGAGGAGCACCTGGATGTTGAGACTCTGTCTGAAGATACAGGGGCTAAAAATGTTCAGATTCTGTCTGAAGATACAGGGGCTATGGCTTGTCTATGGTTACAGTTTTTGCAAATGCAGAAAAGCTTTTCGAGCCTACTTATGTTATGGAGTATTTCCAATAGTGGTTATTAAAGTAATTCAAGGAAAATCAGTAACTAATGATAATAAAAAAGTTGCCTTAAAATAGTGTTCAAGAAAATAGAGTGTGTATGTCATATTTTAGCACATAGAAAGGCTTAAACCCTCTTGTGAACTCCTACTTAACCATTTCTTTATTATACTCTTCTTACTCAGATTTATAAATTTTCCTTCCTTTCTGCAAAAAGACAGAGATAAATAAAGATACTAACTTTTCCCCGTCATTATATCACCCCATTACCCTGTTATGACAGTAATATTCATGTTGAATATCCGGTCATGTTTAGCCATTTGTATTGTGTTTAAAGTTATTTTTTATGATTTCCAAATTTGAAATACTGGAAAGGAAGATCCCAGCCTGATGGAAATTTTTACCAGAATAGTGATTCCTTTTTGCTGTAGAAAACATGGGAGGGAAATTGTCTTAGTGTCGTTACTGTCTAGTAATACTGTTTGAATTCTTGAAAGGCTTGTTTCCCACGGTGTTTTACTGCATTATATTCATGGAAGGGAACATGCAAGCCAGAGACAGTACAGGTTTTAGGCAAAGAGGCATGGGTTAGGATTCTGCTCTGCCACTCTGAAGGGAGTTATTTCTTCTGGCTTATTCTGTGTCTTTGTTATTTAAGTGAGGGCATTTACAGGACCTACATCATAGAGTGCTGGGAGATTAAACAAGAAGACATTCACAGGTTATGCCCTGCTGCTAAAGAAAAGGAATTACCATTTTCAATTTGTTGTCTAAAGACCATCTGAAAATCTTGCTGTCCCTCAGTTAGACTCTGGCCTATCCACAGTAGGTCAGCTTGCCCACATGGGTTTCAAGCAACTCCACTCTGCTCTGAGGCTCGCTAAGGGTGAACAGGTGATCATGAATGTGGAAGGCTGAAGAAGAAACTGGAAAAAGCTGAAACTGAATATCAGCATTTAGAAACTGCATTTGGAGTGCTGAGATAATAGAAAGCTTTCAAGGCACTTTGGAACTCTACATATGTTAATCAAGAGCCTCAAAAGCAGCCCATCGATTGGCAAACCAATCTCTTCAAGTGCCACCACATTAAAGTCCCTGGGGAAGCTGTGGATATTAGCTAGCAGCGGTGCACAAGCCGTTTACCCTCCCTTCGCTGCAACTTTAAAAACTTTTTGCCTAATAATCTCTGTTCTAAATTCAGTATGGATTTACTTAGCCAGCAGATTGAGATCCAGGGGGACAGTGTGAGACTTGGAAGAGTTTTATATTTACAGGAAAGTTGCAAAGATAGTACAGTTTCCATTTACTGTGCACCCATTTTCCCCTGTTACTAACACCTTATGTTAGAAATGCTTGTTCCCTGGTGCTGCAGAGAAATAAATGTATGAGCATTCGAACATACATTTAATAAAAATGGCCTTGCTAAGATGATTAAATTTATGTTCGAGTGCTGTTTCTTTGCGTCACCGGGGAACAAGTATTTCTAACACCTTACATGTTAATATACTGCATTTGTTACAACTAATGAGCCAATATTGATATATTATTATTAACTAAAGTTTGTACCTTATTCAGACTTCCTTAGGTTTTACCTAATGTCCTTTTCTGTTCCAGGATCTCACCCTGGGCACTACATTACGTTGTTCATGGTTTCTTAGGCACCTCTTGGCTGTGACAGTTTCGTAGACCTTTTTGTTTTTGATGATCTTGACAGTTTTGAGGAATAGTGTTTAGGTATTTTGTGGAATGTTCCTCAGATTTGTCTGTTGTTTTTCTCATGATTAGACTAGGGGAAGACCCACAGAGGTTAAGTGCCATTTTTGTTGTATCAGGGGTACATCCTGTCAACATGACTTATCACTGATGTGATCATGTCAACATAATCTTGATCACGTGGCCGATGCAATCCGCTGCCAGATTTCTCCACTGTAAAGTGACTCGGCCCACCTCCTTTGGAAGGAGGCCACTACGTACAGCCCTTGCATAAGGAATGGGGAATTTTGCCCTTCCCAGTTGTGGGCAGAATATTTACATAAATTATTTGGAATTCTCAGTTGTATTTCTAAGTGTGTGATTTTAAAAACTACTTGGATGTTAAAATGGTTACTGTTGTATTCATTATTGAGTGAATACTTACAAATGTGGTCTGATGAACATTTTATTCTACCTAAGGGAAAAAAACAGCTTCCCAAATTGCAGCCACCCTGCCTAGTTCAGAGACTGTAGAATTTGTATTCCTCCCCGAGTGTGTTCTTAGTAGCACGCCAGAAGTGCCAGATGCTACCCTCTCTTTTTCTGTGTCATGATTTAATACCATTTGTGCATTTTCTTCTGCTTCAGTTGATTTAGTGTCATTTTTGGAGACCACAGACCTATTTGTATTTTATATGTTACTATACAGTGTGTATTCTGTTTAGAAAAATAAAAACGCTAGTATGATAAAATGTACTATTTTATTATCTTTATTTTTAAAGTGTTACTATCAAAGACATCCTTTGGTGTCTCATAATTGGCTTTGACTTTGTTGCTCTCAATAAGAGTATATGATTCCAGATTTTCTGTTTAGTCAATGTTTAAACTACTTCATGTTTAACATTTATGCACATTATAATACAATGTGGTAATAAGGGTCATTTGGCTTCTTGGCTCTTTCAAAATATTGGTATAATTTTTAACAAATTTATTTTGAAATAATCATTTCACTTTTTGATGAGTATAAACTTGGTGAGAATTAGAAACTTCTTCAAAATATAGAAGTCTATTTTCCTTATCTTTGGCAAAGAATGATAATAATTGGACTTCAAAAGACCCAGCCCAGTAGTCCCCACTGCTAAAAATGAATAATGGCCTATCTCAATCCACAGAAGGAAAATAAAATGGGCTAATAGAAACTTTTTCAGTTTCATGTTTTTCTCCTGTCAACATTTCATAAGTGTTTGGCATTTGCTACCACATCTCTTTTGGTGAGTATTAGTGAAAATGAATGAATAAGTAGTAAAAGAATGTTAACAGAAAAATTTGGACACAACCAGTTAGTTTAATAACTCTATTATTTTATTGAGAACACGCAAGTTTAGGGTATGGTGTTTTTTTATTCTTTCTTAGGGTTGAAATAATCTCCCCTGCCAGGTACGTATAAGCTATGGTTTTAGATGGCATTCATATACTGCCATTTCTGCCAGAAAAATTATTCCTCGTTCATAAAAAGAAGCAAAGTATCTCAGTGTTTCATATTTTTCCTCAATAGGCAGCTCTGCTTCCCAGTGCTTTATCATCAGAGCAAGTTTGAAACCCACCACGTGGGTGAATGAGATGCAGTTAGGGAGTCTCTGGGAGCTTCCTGAGACAGGAAAGCATGGGTCATCCTAAAGTTGTATAACAATCATCTGTGTATCCTTCTACAGGAAGGATGGAATTGACTTTTCCACCCACAGATTTGGCATAAAATGTCTCTGCATCTGGGGCCAAGACAGTGTGTAAGGATTGTGAAGTCCCAGTGGTTTGGGTAGTAGGTGAAGATGCCAGTTCAGTGCTGAAGAGCCATTCCTACCTGTGTGTGTGTGTGTGTGTGTGTGGGGGTGCTGTGTGTGTGGGGGTGTGTGCTGTGCACGTGTGTGTGTGCGCACGCACGTGTGTGTGCGCGCGCGTGTGTGGAGTGATTTTTCAGTCTTTTTGCAGGGAGGAGAAAAGAATGAATTAGTAGCTTTGCTTTTGCTAAGGATATCCTAACAGTGTGGTGGATCCTTTTTGTTTAACAGGGTAGGTCAGATTACTGAGGAGCTGTTGGTTTATTGTTTTGTCATTAGTGCCATGAAGCTGCTACCGCTGGTTGTGGGTAAAGCAAGGCACATGAAAGCAGTCTGAAAATTTGTATTCAAGCTAATTTTTAATTTTTAACTACTTGTTTACTTATTTCTATATTTACCCTTTTAGCATAATACCTGAAAACTTAAGGGGTTGGGAAATATCATTCATACAGCCAATTTTTTTTAATACCTTCTGTATTCAAGGCACTGTGCTGGGGAAACACAAGTGGATAAGATGGACATGGTCTCCATTCTCATGATGCATACAGCCTACTAGGGGAGACAGCTGAAAAACAACTACAGATATAATTAGAAGGAATAATTTCAGGAAGTGTGGTTAGTAATATGAGGGGGGAATAAATTCGCAAAGGTGGCCAGAAAAGACTTTACTGAGTTATCATCTCAAACAAACCCTTAGGGTAGGAGTACCCTGTCTTTATAAAGGAGAGAAGAAAGAGATGCAATTAGCAGGATGATTGACGTCAAAAATTGCTTGATATAGTCAAGGAATAGAAAGTAGGCCTGTGTGACTGGAGAGAGTGGTATGATGTGAAATTGGAGAGTTGGTAGAAAGGAGAGCACAGAGATCCTTAGGGATTATGAAGTATCGTATGGTGCACATACTGATGGATTTTCACAAACTGAAGAAACTCTGTAACCAGCACCCAGATCACGAAGTTGGACATGTTCAGTACCATTGGGGCTGCTGGAAGCAGTAACCACCCACGCTGTTAGCTCTCTTGTGTTCACATTTCAGGGCCTTGCTTTAGGAAAACTTCTGGTGTTCTCAGGCTATTTCTTCTATTACCATCCAAGGCCTAACACTTCTAGCTCCAAGCAGAGTATCTTTCTGTGGGATTTTTATACTCATGTCACTTCCTCTCCCCAACCCCCACCTTGAACATGTATTATACATGGAATTCTTTGGTAAATAGAATGCAAATTTGTTTTCAAAGCTTGTTTGGCACATACTCTCTCCTTTAGAAAGCAAAGGGTGTCCTTTCAGAAGGTTCTTATAATATTTGTGGATCTGGCCTTCAGGTCTAAGCTGAAGCTTTTGTTTTCATTTGGACTTTATGCATGTATTAACAGTTTATATTTTCTGTGGTAATGGAATATTTTAGGGGTTGTTTCTTCATTATATTTAGATTCTTATATTAAAAAGCGTGCAAAGGCATTTAACCAAATTTAATCTAGAAATAAAGATAATATGGTAATTTCAAATAGCTTTTTGTTCAAGATGAGATTTTAAAAGTTATTATTCCACAGTGAATTTTAATGATGATTGTGTACAATGGCATTTATGGATGTGCAGCAATTGAATGAGTATGATTAGCGCGTTAGATTATGGATTTGTAATGTGAAATGAGAACTTTTTAATAAGCTTTCTCCATAATGGTTCACGCTGTGAACAAACAAAGTATGAGACACTGAGCTTCACTAAATCATTGCAGGGCTTTGGAATCAGTAGGTTCATGTTTTCAAATAGTTTCCTATTTTTAAAAACACCGCTAAAAAGTTAAGAGGCAGCTACATAACTAGATATCTTATATTTTGAGGAGTTGGAAGAACATGTTTCTTTTTATAATAAAAGGAAAATGTTATTGTTGAAGTATATTTATTGTTCAAGTATAAAATGGAATTGAAGTTATGCTTTGAGAAAAACTTGATTGCAAGACCTTATTAGGATTTAACACCTCATCAAGACTGCTTTTTACATTTTTTTTTTAATTTATTTTTTTTTTAGATAGAGTCTCGCTCTGTCACCCAGGATGGAGCGCAATGGCATGATCTCGGCTCACTGCAACTTCCGCCTCCCCAGTTCAAGCGATTCTCCTGCCTCAGCCTCCTGAGTAGCTGGGATTACAGGCGCCTGCCATCACGCCCAGCTAATTTTTGTATTTTTAGTAGAGACAGGGTTTCGTCATGTGGGCCAGGCTGGTCTCGAACTTCTGACCTCAAGTGATCCACTTGCCTCAGCCTCCTAAAGTGCTAGGATTACAGGCGTGAGCCACCGTGCCCAGCTGCTTTTGACATTTTCTTTGGGAGGTTTCTGGGGTACAATTAGCTGAAATCTGAAGTTTGGTTTTGCATGGTCTTGCCCAAGCTGGTGGTTGGTCATTGTGGCCTTCTGATCTGGTGATCCTAAGAAACATTCTGAAAACATACCCAAAAACACATAAAAGGCGTACCTTACCATTTAAAGGTTCTTTCAGTAAAGGCCTATGAGTAATTTTTCATGGAGGGAGCCCATTCTTACGAAGTTTTAATGGACAAACATATCATTATCTTTAAATTGTATTATTACGTTGTCTTTTATTTTTAAAAGCTCATTTTTCCCCATTATCAAGATAACATGTTCTAGACAGACAATTTAGGAAATGCATATGATTATTTTTGTTCTAATTTTCTGTAATACCACCACATAGAGACAGTAGTTTTTAAAAACTGTGTGATATTTAATGTATTGTTTTCATTTCCTTTAAGATGCAATTTAGAGTTTTAGCCTTGAACTTTAGTTTTCCTTCCTCTTGGAGATTTAGTTTGATGCTAAAGTGCTATCTTCTTGTTTCAACTTTTGCTTAATTTACTCCAACACTTTTAGACAGCAAATTAGGTAACTTTATACTAGTGTTATCTAACAATGTTTTGCTAACTTCCATTTTAAGATGTTAGCTCACAAAAAAAGCTCTTAATTTAAATACATATAAAATTTTGAAAATGTGTGACTTTAATTAAAGACCATTGTTGGCTAGCATCATGGAGGTGTCAAGAAAATTAATAGTAAATGGGCCAGTCATCATTTCAAAACTTTCATGTTACATGACAACTGAAATTCCAGATACCCTTTAAGAGGTAAACTAGTTATGGAGAAGGGATGGAGAAGCACAGAATCCTAAATTTACTGTGGTTAGTCATGCACTCTGTGAGATGGAGGTTATTAGCCTCATATACCTAAAAATATATCCAGTGACCAAACCATGTCATAGGGCTCTGTCCATTTCTTGCCTTTGCTTTCTCTTGGACTGGCTTCATTCTTAGGGTATCCTCATGTGGTTTCAAGGTAGCTACTAGCAGCTCCTATTGTCTTTCCCATGAGTTTAATAACTGTAGTAAATGAGTCTCTCTTTGAAAATACTTGAATAGAAATCCCAGGATGAGTCTTACTGGACAAGTCTTAAGCACCCACTAGTCCCAAACCAATTGTTAATGTGAGATAGGTGGAATGCTGTGATTGCCAGGATTGGGTCACATCCTTACCATCTTACTCTAGAACACCAGCTTATTGCCCAAAGAAAGACCAAGGTGTTGTAATTGGAAAAAGGGAGGCAGACTACAAGCACACAGGAAAACTTCCTGGGTGTTCACTAAAAAGGTCGATGAAGAATGAAGCATAATTCCTTGAATGAAAATGAAAATACAGCATAGTGAAACCTGTGAGATACTGCAAAAGCAGTACTAAGAGGGAAGTTTATAGCACTAAATGCCTACATCAAAACAGTAGGTCACAAGTTACCTAACATCACACTTGAAGGAACTAGAAAAATAAGAACAAACCAAACTCAAAGTTACAAGAAAATAAGCGACAAAGATCAGAGCAAAACTACATGAACTAGAGACCAAAAAACAATACAAAGGATGAGTGAAATGAAAAGTTGGTTTTTTGAAAAGATAAACAAAATTGATAAACCACTAGCTAGACTAACCAAGAAAAGAAGAGAGAAGATCAAAATAAACACAATCAGAAATGAAAAAGGAGACATTACAACTGATCATGGAAATATAAGATCATCAGAGACTATTATTATTAACAACTATATGCTCACAAACTAGAAAAGCTGGAAGAAATGGATAAACTCCTGGGGACACAACCTCCTGAGATTGAAGAAATAGAAGCCCTGCACAGACCAATGATGAGTAGTGAAATTGAATCAGTAATAAAAATCTCTCAACAAAAAAAGCCCAGGACCAGATGCAGTCACAGGCAAATTCTTTCAAACATACAAAGGAGGCCAGGTGCAGTGGCTCATGCCTGTAATCCCAGCACTTTGGGAGGCCGTGGTGTGTGGATCACGAGGTCAGGAGATCGAGACTATCCTGGCTAACACTGTGAAACCCCATCTCTACTAAAAATACAAAAAAAAAAAAAAATTAGCTGGGCGTGATGGTACCCACCTGTAGTCCTAGCTACTTGGGAGGCTGAGGCAGGAGAATCCCTTGAACCCGGGAGGCGGAGGTTGCAGTGAGCCAAGATCGCGCCACTGCACTCCAGCCTGGGTGACAGAGCAAGACTCCATCTCAAAAAAAAAAAAAAAAAGAAAAGAAAAAGGAAAAAACCATACAAAGAAGAACTAATACCAATCCTCCTGAAACTATTCCAAAAAAAAAAAACGAGAGGATTCTCCCCACCTCATTCTACAAGGCTAGTTATAACCCTGATACCAAAACCAGACAAGGATACAACAAAAAAGAAAACTAGAGGCCAATATCCCTGATGAAAATATATGTAAAAATTCTCAACAAAATACTAGCAAATTGAATCCAGCAGCTCATCAAAAAGATACTATACCGTGATCAGGTGGGATTTATCCTAAGGATGCAAGGATGATTCAACATGTGCAAATGAAGAAATGTGATACATCATGCAGACAGAATTAAGGACAAAAACATATGATCGTCTCAATAGATGCAGAAAAAAGCATTCAGTAAAATTCAGCATCTCTTCATGATAAAAGTCTTCAACATACGAGACACAGAAGGAATATACTTCAACATAATAAAGGCCATATATGACAAACCTACAGCCAACATCATACTTAATAGGAAAAAGTTGAAAACATTCCCCTTAAGAACTGGAACAAGAGAAGCATGCCCACTTTCATGACTCTTATTCAACATGGCACTGGAAGTTCTCACCAGAGCAATCAGGCAAGAGAGAATAATAAAAGACATCCAAATTGGAAAGGAGGAAGTCAAATTATCCCTGTTCACTGATGATATGATCTTATATCTAGAAAACCTTAAAGACTCCACCAAAAAACTCTTAGATTTGATAAATCAATTCAGTAAGGTTTCAGGATACTAAATTAACATATAGAAATCAGTAGCTTTTCTGTACACTAGTACAGTAATGATCTAGCCGAGGACCAAATCAAAAAGTCAACCCCATTTATAATAGCTACCAGAAAAAAAAAAAAAAAAACCCAGCTGGGAATATATTTAAACAAGGAGGTGAACTACAAAACACCGATGAAAGTAATCATAGACAACACAGACAAATGGAAAAATATCCCATGCTCATGGGTTAGAAGAATCAACATTGTTAAAATGACCATCTCCCCAGAGAAATCTACAGATTCAATATAATCCTTATCAAACTTACCAACATTATTTTTCACAGAATTAAAAAACCCAATCCTAAAATTCATATGGAACCAAAAAAGCCAGAATAGCCAAAGCAATCCTAAGCAAAAAGAAAAAATCTAGAGGCGTCACGTTACCTGACTTGAAATTACACTACAAAGCTATAGTAACCAAAACAACATGGTACTGGTATAAAAATAGACACATAGATCAGTGGAATAGAATAGAGAAGCCAAAAATAAAGCCACATATCTACAACTGATTTTCAACAAATTCAACAAAAATGTACACTGGGGAAATGACACCCTATTCAATAAATGGTGCTGGGAAAATTGGATGTATGTTGTAGAAGAATGAAACTGAACCCATACCTCTTATCATATACAAAAATTAACTCAGGATGGATTAAAGACCTAAACGTAAGACCTGAAACTATAAAAATCCTAGAAGAAACCTAGGAAAAACTCTTCTGGACATTGGCCCAGGCAAAGAATTTATGACCAAGTCCTTAAAACCAAGCACAATGAAAATAAAAATGGAGAAATGGCACTTAATTAAATTAAATTAAAAAGATTCTGCACAGCAAAAGAAAAAAATCAGGAGAGTAAACCTACAGAATGAGGAAAAAAAAATTCCCAAAGTATGCATCCAACTAAGGGCTGACATGCAGAATCTACAAGAAACTCAAACAACTTAACAAGAAAAAAACCCCAAAGAACCCCATTAAAAAGTGAGCAAAAAACATGAACACACATTTTTCAAAAGAAGACATACAAGTGGCCAACAAACATGAAAAAAATGCTCAACATCACTAATCATCAGAGAAATGCAAATTAAAATCACAACGAGGCCAGGTGCAGTGGCTCATACCTGTAACCCCAGTACTTTGGGAGACTGAGGTGGGCAGATCACAAGGTCAGGAGTTTGAGACCAGTCTGGCCAATATGGTGAAACCCTGTCTCTACTAAAAATACAAAAAACACTAGCTGGGCGTAGGGCACCTGTAGTCCCAGTTACTCAGGAGGCTGAGGCAGGAGAATTGCTTAAACCCGAGAGGCAGAGGTTGCAGTGAGCCGAAATCACACCACTGCACTCCATCCTGGGTGACAGAGTGAGACTCTGCCTCAAAAAAAACAAAAAAAAACAAAAACAAACAAACAAACAAAAATAAAACAACCACAATGAGATACCTTCTCACACCAGTCAGAATGGTTGTTATTCAACAGACTAAAAATAACAGATGTTGGTGAGCATGTGGAGAAAAGGGAACGCTTATACACTGTTGGTGGGAATATACGTTAGTACAACCTCAGTGGAAAATGGTATGGAGATTTCTCAACTAAAAATAGAACTACCGTTGGATCTAGCAATCCCATTTCCGGTATCTAACCAAAGGAAAAGGAATTATTATATTTAAAAACACCTCAAGTCATATGTTCACCACACTGCTGTTCACAATAGCAAAGATATGAAATCAACCTAAGTGTCCATCAGTGGAGGATCATTGGATACAGAAAATGTGGGTTACACACACACACACACACACACACACACACACACCTTGGAATACTATGCAGCGATAAAAAGGAATGAAATCTTGTCTTTTGGAGCAACATGGATGGAACTGGAGGCCTTTATCATCAGTAAAATAACTCAGAAACAGAAAGGCAAATGCCACACATTCTCACTTGTAAACGGGGGCCAAATGATGGGTACACATGGACAGACAGAATAAAATAATGGACATTGAAGACTAAAAATAGTGGGAGGATGGGAGGGAGGTGAGGGTTGAAAAATTATGATTGGGTAGAAAGTTTACTATTTAGGTGATGGGTACATTAAAAGCCCAGACTTTACCACTAGGCAATATATGCATGTAAGAAATCTGCACTTGAACTCCCTACATGTATTTTTAAATTTTAAAAATTAAAAAAAAAATTGCCACTGTGCCATTAGCTGGTACCATGTAATTTAGCATATAACTGTGTACGGATCTCTTTTCTCCATCATTGCTTCATCACGTTAATTTTGTTATGATGAGGGACTGTCTTTTACTTTTTTTATATTCCTCTTAGCACTAAGCAAATAACAGGACCCTAAACACTTAACTGATTTTTCATTTCTGAAGTACAATAAAGATAAGTAGGAAATGTTAATATCATTGTTTTGTTTGTTTGCTGGTTTTGTTTTTCAGTAGGTGTTTGAGAGAAACACTTAACTCTCTAAGTGAACTAATTTTTTGCCATGAATGTGTTCGGCACTAGGAAAGGTGATACATACTAGAACTGAGGAACTTAACTGGGGGTTCATATGCTTTCTAAGAGACCGTGGGAGAGTTTCTGGGCATCTCTGCACCCCTAAAATCCTAGCAAAATTGTGTATGTGTGCACGCTTTTGTGTTTTTTTCTTTTTCTTTTTCTTTTTTTTTTTTTTTTGAGACAGAGTCTCGCTCTGTCGCCCAGGCTGGAGTGTAGTGGCATGATCTCGGCTGTCAGCTCACTGCAGCCTCTACCTCCAGGGTTCAAGGGATTCTCCTGCCTCAGCCTCCTGAGTAGCTGGGATTACAGGCACCCACCACCACGCCAGCGAATTTTTATATTTTAGTAGAGACGGGGTTTCACCGTGTTGGCCAGGCTGGTCTCAAACCCCTGGACTCAAGTGATCCGTCTACCTCGGCTTCCCAAAGTGCTGGGATTACAGGCGTGAGCCACCACACCTGGCTTCTTTGTGCATTTTTCCTGAGTAAGGATGTGTAGCTTTCATTAGATGCTCAAAGGAGATCCTTAATCCACAGAAGGTTCAGAGCCACTGATAGGAAATATTTAACACTGACAGAAAATAGTTCTGAACTTTGCGATTAAATAATTTATTGTGAGTGGGAGGAGCTAAAAGAGTGATGCCACTTAGGAGAAGCACAAAGGAATCTGAGCTCGAGGATGAATTGTTAATCTATGTTAATGAATTCAGTCTGTACAGGGTTCAAACAAAATATATTATGGATGAGCCTCTAATAAAATGGACTTCCTCTGCTCTGCCAGTCCGACAGTTAATGATGGCTGGCAATTTTCTGCCGGCTGATTTTGGCTCAGTGCTTTGGAGCAGGCACAGGCCCAGTTCTCGCCACTTGGAAGGAAAGGGAAAGTGATAGTTTGTTACTTTGCTCTCATAAGCAATTTATGACAACAGTTTAATAAAAGCTTAAGAAGTGTCCTCTTCCTGGGCGGGGAGAGGAGCCGAGGAGCCTCAGTGGGAGCACCGCGTGGGATGTTAAGCCCCTCAGCATCTCCTGGGGCCGCCTGACGCTGCCACACAAGAGAAGAGCGAGGGGGAGCCAGCGAGGTGTTTCTTTTAGCCCAGGCAAGGCTACTGTTATGCTTGCCAATTTGACTTTTCCCCAGCAAACTCAAGCTGTCCTGTGAGTTTCCACATCAGCCGTGTGCCTGGGGAGCTGCTCCGAGCTTGGGCTCTGGTGCTGTCTGCTGCATGGACCTCATTAGCGCTCACCCAGCAGATTGCTTTCATATCGCTGCTTCACCCTTTTCAGTTTTGAATTACCACATAAACATCAGATATTGGGGGTTTTGTGAAAGGATCCTTAGTCTCTAATATTTAGTTAAGGAAAAAAGCCCTCTTAGGGAATCAGATAGATTTGCTTAGAGGATTTCCTCAGGAAAATACATTGCAGTATGGGTCAGTTCTAATTTTCCTCAATTCCTGAGGCCATTTAGTTTTCACTTCTCTCTCTCTCTCTCCCCACCTCAACCCTGTGAGTCCAGGTTTAGGGGATTTTACAGCCAGCCTTCACACAACTTTCTGCTCTACATTTGTGGCCTTAAAACTTTATGATTTATAGGAAAGTATATTTCATGTCATGAACTGGGATATAAATATGTATGTATATATGTATAAGCAAAAAGGTTTCACAAGGCAATATTTGCCCTTATATACCATAGTCTGATATTTTCTATTCTGTCGGGGAATACTGCTGGTCTTCACTCATTAAATCATTTTCATGGCTCACCAATGGTTTGCACCCTGCAGTTGGAAAACACCTCTCAGGGATACTCAGGGATCCGTCCTTTCTATCACTGTGTTGAGGGATGGCTCAGGGCACCGTGTAGTGGCTGAACCTCTTTATGTGGTACAGCAGAACCAACTTTATGTATTTTCAGTAACACTTCTGATATTCTGGAGGGAGTAGAGCATAGTGATTTAAGAGCGAATGTTCTAGTTAGAATATGCTTGCTTGGTCCTGGGTCTCTGACCTACCACCTGCTCTGGTGTTGGGCAAGTTTCTTAACCTCTCTGAATCAGTTTGCCCTTCTTTAAAATAGATATAATTTGAATACTTATAGCGAAACATTGTGAAGATTGAGATGTATATTATTAATACATTATTAATATATCCTAATGCACATCTATTAAGACACAATACAGAATTAATATTAATAGCAAACATTTGTTCAATGTTACTATGTGTCTGTGGTAAATTTAACAAATGTTTGCTATTAACATTATTAATACTGTATCTTAATATTTATGTGTATCTCCAGTTGGATTACATTTTCCTTCTGCCCTTTGAAATAACTTATGTTGAGCCTATTAAGAATATGTGGGTTGGGTGTGCTGGCTCACGCCTGTAATCCCAGCACTTTGGGAGGTTGAGGTGGGCATATCGCTTGAGGCCAGGAGTTCTAGACCAGCCTAGGCAACATGGTGAAACCCTGCCTCTACAAAAAATACAAAGAAATTAGCCAGGTGTGGTGGCACACGCCAGTAGTCACAGCTACTTGAGAGGCTGAGGTGGGAGGATCACCTGAGCCCAGGAAGCAGAGGTTGTAATGAGCCGATATCACACCACTGGACTCCAGCCTGGGTGACAGAGCAAGACCCTGTCTCAAAAAAAAAAAAGTCTTATGTGTAGAAATAATCCCTATGTTCAAAAGCATGAACAGTAAGCAGTGTGGTTAAATGAAAAAATATATATATTGCAGCTAGATAGTTACATTTTGAATTAGGACATTTTCAGCTCTAAGTGACAGAAACCCCAATCAAACTGGCTCAGGCAAAAATAGGAATTTACTGATTGACGTAACAGAAACATCTAGGGATATTGCTTTTGGCATTGGCCATTTCCAGTTGCTCTGAAGGTATCAGCAGTTTTTCTCTTCATTTCTTGCTCTGCCTTTCTCTGTTGGCTTCTTTTTCAGGCAAGCTTGCCCCCAAGCAGTGGCAGAAACAGCCACCAGCTGCTCTAGGTTTCTGTTTCACTAGCAGGAAGAAAAACCCTCTTCTCTGGTAATTTCAGCTTAGTCTTGCATCTGATGGACATGGACTTTGGTGGGCTAGGCTCAGCTCACCCCTCCTGACTCCTTGCCACTGTCGGTCACGGAGCCATGAGAGGCACTGGTCATTAGATGTCCTGGGTCATGTACTTGCCTTGTAGGCTCAGCCCTGTTCAAGCCACAAGGTCAGAATGGAGGAGGGCTGCTCCATGGGGGCATCTCAGCAGATGCCCATCACACACTTCCACCATCCCTCCCCTGAACATAAGACTTCCTACATAGATGTTTTCTTTGAATAATTCAACTGAGAGTAGTGTTAACACCTAGATACTTCTTATTCCAAGATATACCTCATTTCCACTCTTAATTTAAATTATAGCTATGTTCAAAGATGTGTCATCCCTTCCTTCCTGATCACTGCTAAGATGTTCTTTTTAGCCACCCCGTCTTTGTATTGCCACTTAAAAGTCATCATTTCCTTCTATCTCATTTTATGCCTCCCTCTGCTTTCGCACACCTTTAGTACTTGTTGCCGTCGTTATGAACAGCAAAATACAGACATGTGACACCCCACCTCCTCAGCAGTCTATCCTTTTCATTTTGTGCTCTAGCCAGCCCAGGGGTCAGAACTGCATTCTGCAGCTTTTCTTTCATTCTCTGGCTGTGAATGAGGGTCCCTGATTTACCAGACTACATGAGGTTGGGACTGTGAGTTGTTGGACAGGCCATGGCTTCCCCTATACACACACACACACAGACACACAGATGAAATGGTTGACAGTGGACAGTTTGGTTGCAGTAGGGACTCCAGATGGTGAAGTGTGTCTGCCAGGGAGTTAAAGAGAATTGTGGGTCTGGAGCCAGTGAAATTGAGGGCACATTCCAGAGCTTACGTCTGCCATGTGCAAGATATGTTTAGCTTGCTAATTAAATTAGGAACAAGGTAAGCACTTGTTTGTTCATTCATTCATTCATTCATTCAGAGACAGGGTCTTGCTCTGTCACTCAGGCTGGAGTGCAGTGGTGTGATCATAGCTCACTGCAGCCCTGAACTCCTGGGCTTAAGGAATCCTTCTGCCTCAGCCTCCCGAGTAGCTAGGACTACAGGCGTGCACTACCACACTTGGCTAATTTTTAAAAATTTCTTGTAGAGACAAGATCTCACTATGTTGCCCACTTTGGTCTCGAACTCCTGGCCCCAGACAATCCTCCTGCCTCGGCCTCCCAAAGTATTTGGGATTACAGGTGTGTGCCACTGCACCTAGCTGACATTTTTTAAGCCCAATATTGTGATCTAATATTCTATAACTGTATAGGATGGATAAATCAAATGTCGTGAAGTTCACATATAGAAAAAGGTATGGATTCAGGTAGTCTCAAGGTATGCATTATTTGGGGGAAAATTAGAAAATTCCCTAAAGACATTTAAAAATTCTAAAGTAGGCTGGGTGCAGTGGCTCACACCTGTAATCCCAGCACTTTGGGAGGCCAAGGCAGGTAGATCACTTGAGGTCAGGAGTTCAAGACCAACCTGGCCAACATGGTGAAACCCTGTCTCTGCTAAAAATACAAAAAAAAATTAGCCTGGCGTGGTGTCGGGAGCCTGTAATCCCAGCTACTTGGGAGGCTGAGGCAGGAGAATCGCTTCAACCAGGGAGGCGGAGGTTGTGGTGAGCCGAGATCACGCCACTGCACTCTAGTCTGGGCGACAGAGGGAGACTTCATCTCAAAAAAAAAAAAAATTCTAAAGTAGCAGAATTGTTATGTATGTATTTATGGATGGGTGTATATATATGTATATTAAGAAATGCTAGTCAAAGTGCAGATATGATTTACACATTATCTAATGGAAGCTTTCTAACCCCCGACCCCATAGGCACATCCACGATGCGAGAACACAGGCTCATGCAGAGTTGAAACGCTGTTGCCAAACTAAATCAAGACTGATAATTGGCCAGTTAGCTCAAAGAGTCAATGAAAATGATGAGGGTGTGTGTAAAATGACACATACTTTACACATTTTATTTTAAATGAAAATACGATTTTGAAGTAGTATATTGTCTAGCATTTTGGTTTTTTCCCTGCTCGTGCTGTGTGCATGGAGACTCTGATATTTTTCCCCCAGTGGTATGTCACTTGCTGTAATATTTTGAGTACTAGGAATGTTTTGAGATAGGCCCAAGGTCTTTTTCTTGTCTAAGTGTCCTCTGACTGAAGTATCTTCCTTGTGTAAACTTCAGCCATAATTTGTCAGCCACAACTTCCATTTACATTTTTTTAAGGTGGACCTAGAACTCAGCAATACTTGCAAAGTAATCTAAGTCGGGAGGTTTTTCCAGAATTTTTCCAGTGTTATGCAGTTGTCTCCGTCACACCTCATTCAACAGCAAACTTTTGTCATGGTTTGCCTTCATGGAGTCTTTTTTTTTTTTTTTTTTTTTTAAAGAGATGAGGTCTCACTGTCACCCAGGCTAAAGTGCAGTGGCACGATCATAGCTAATTGTAACCTTGAGCTCCTGGGCTCAAACGATCCTCCTGCCTCAGTCTTCTGAGTAGCTAGGACTATAGGCATGTACCACTGTGCCTGGCGAATTTTTAAGTCTTTTTGTAGAGAATGGGTGTCTTGCTGTTTTACCTCGGCTGGTCTTGAACTCCTGGCCTTAAGCGATCCTGCCACCTCTGCCTCCCAAAGTGCTGGGATGACAGGCATGAGCCACTATGCCCAGCCTGCCTTCATGGAGTCTTTACAAGGCATTTAGCTTAGTTTTTACAGAAACAACTATTTCTTGACTTCCATATTTAATTGATTTTATATAATGCTTGCACAGTATGCATGCAAAGCAAGTACACTTGGCACAAAAAGATTTGAAAGGAAACATAGCTCACCTGGAATAAGCACACAGCTCCATGGGTGGAACGGATGTGAGCAGATGTGTTGGCACTAGGACCACTGGTAGCTCACACTTAGGTGGGGCTGTGTGTTCTAAGTTCTTTGTATACATTGACTCATTTCATCTTCACAGAACCCCGTCAGGTAAGATATTATTATCCCTTTACACAGATGAGGGAAGTTATGTACAGAGAGGACAAGAGATTTGCTTCAGAGTGGCCTACTAGCTGCCAGCATTCAGCCTGCATTGGGCTTTAGACAATATGTTTTGCGAAGGAAATGAGAGCATTTTGTGTGGGGGTAAATTAAGAGCACAGAGACACTATATAGAGATAATCCCTTAATAAAACCCACCATAACACATAAAGACTTCTGAAATACTCTCCATATCTCTCTAAAATTAGAGTCTAGGCTTTTAGAGGTAGAGATGACCTTAACGTATCCCCTGCATATCCCAACAGGATAACCAAGACCCAGATGGGTGAGGTGATTTGCTTCACAGGCACCCAAGAAAGTGTGGCATAAAGTTTAGTTTCCTGATTTAACCCCCATTTTCCTTCTCTCTCTCTCTCTCTCTTTTTTTTTTTTTTTTTTTTTGAGACAGAGTCTTGCTCTGTCACCCAGGCTGGAGTGTAGTGGCATGATCTCGGCTCACTGCACCCTCCCCCTCCTGGGTTCAAGCAATTCTCATGCCTCAGCCTCCTGAGTAGCTGGGATTATAGGCATGCCACCATGCCCAGCTAATTTCTTTGTATTTTTAGTACAGATGGGGTTTTTCCATGTTGCCCAGGCTAGTCTCGATCTCCTGGCCTCAAGTGATCTGCCTGCCTCAGCCTCCCAAAGTGCTGGAATTACAGGCGTGAGCCACCATGCCCAGCCTATCCCACATTTTCTTATGGAAGAAAAGGATGCATTGTAGTGTATATGTAATCTTCTGAGAGAAACATTCAGGAAATGAGCCTCTCAGAGTTTGCCAAGAGAGCAGGAAGGTTGGTGGATAAGGACCACCTTAGTGTTATCAAATCCACATCTCTCCTGCAGTCAGAGTAAAGCCTGTACCAGGTAATCTTAGGACTAGAAAGGGTCTAGCGATGTGGTTTTATCCACCCCTGTCTAGAGAAGGAGGGAATGAGGCCAGCTGAGCACCAACAAGGTAGATGGTTTTGTCACTATTTTATGGGTAAGGAAGTTGAGCTTCAAAGAGAGAAAATGATTTATCCAAAATCACACTGCTAGAAGGAAATGGAACCAGGACACAAGCCTGGTCTTGCTGAAGCTAAGGCCCGTGTTCTTTATGCCGTGCTAATTGTTCATCCTGTGCAGTTGTTTAACCACAGTTTTCTTGGCTAGAAGTTCTTCCTAAAGTTAACCCTAAATATCTCTTGAATTTAAATGTGTATCCTTCTGTAGTCCTCAGTCAACAAAAGAAGCGATTGATCAGCCTATTTGAGAGGTTATAAGAAGACACAGATTGGCAGTGTTTGAATGTCAGTAGTACTCATCAAATAATCCCAGGATAGAAGGCATTTTGTTCAACTCCCCATTATCCCTGCTCACATTTGCTCTGTAGCATCCCCACGAAGCCTGTGCTGGGTAGTTTTCAGTCCGGGAATTAAGAGATATAAGAAAGAGGGGGCTGGGCACGGTGGCTCACGTCTGTAATCCCAGGACTTTGGGAGGCTGAAGCAGGCAGATCACCTGAGGTCAGGAGTTCAAGACCAGCCTGGCCAACATGGCGAAACCCCATCTCTACTAAAAGTACAAAAATTAGCTGGGCATGGTGGCACGTGCCTGTAATCCCAGCCACTCAGGAGACTGAGACAGGAGAATAGCTTGAACCTGGGAGGCGGAGGTTGCAGTGAGCCGAGATCGCGCCACTGCACTCCAGCCTGGGCTACAACAGTGAGACTCCATCTCAAAAAAAAAAAGGAAGAGGGAAGTCACCACCTTAGCCCATCCCATCTTCTTCCCAAGAGGTCATACACACATATGCCGTCTTTGATTTGTATTTGCAAAAGTAATTCATGTTTATAGTAGAAACTTGGATCACTGAAGAAAGCTCAAGAAAGAATTTGAAAATCTATGTGTATGAGTTATCTATTGCTATATAACAAGTTACCCCAGAATTTAGCAGCTTAAAACAAACTTTTATCTCCCATAGTTTGAGAGTCATTAGTCTGGGAGTGGCTTAGCTGGGTAGTTCTCTCATGGAGTTGCAGTCAAGCTGTGAGTTGAGGCTCTAGTCACCTGGAGCTTTGTCTGGGGCTGCAGGGTCTACTTTCAAACTCACGTGAGTGTTGGCAGGAGACTTCAGTTCTTGCCATATGGGCCGCCTCATGGAGCTGCCCACAGCATGGCTTCCCACAGAGCCATGTTGATGAGAGAGAGAGAGAACACGCACTAGAGAGCAACCAAGACACAGCCACAATCTTTTCTACGCTGATCTTAGAAAGGATGTTCCTGCACTTCTGTTGTATTCTGTTGGTCACACAACCAACCCCGGTATAATATTATAGGAGGGGACTACACAAAGGTGTGAGGACCAGGGATGGGAATCATTGAAGGCCATATCGAAGGTTGCCTACCACAGCATGTAAATTAAAATTATGTTGCAATAAATTACATAAGTTTTTGCCCACAGTTCTCCTTTTCTTCCCCCTAGAGTATTGCAAGATACAAAAGATCACCAGGAAAAAAAAAATCTAAAGGGAATGCAATGTTGAGGCATGAATGTCCCAGTAAGCTGTTTATTCCTTTCTCATTCTAGAGGAGCTTCTTGATTTTATTCCAAGTCTGCCATGTCAAAATTGTGGTTTGGGGAAGAGGGGAGTAAGGGCAATAGAGTGGATAGAAGCATGTGGATGCGCCTTGGTCCTGACATTTGTGTTTTGGTGAACCTGCTGCCTCTGAGAAAAGATAAGGAGTTTAGGATTTGGTCCAGGCTGAAACCTGGGAGAAGCTCATGGCTCCTGGACCTCCTTATTCTGCTTTTAGATGCAAATAAGAAACAGAGATTTGTAAATGATATTCTAATTTTTACAAATAATTATTTGAGGAAAAAGATTTGACTACTTCAAACATACAAGCATTGAAAGTAACATAAAAGGTTTTTTGGTTTTTTTTTTTTTTGGTGGGGGTGAGGGGGAGAAGCATTTTGTTTATGCAAATACAGGGTACAGAGATCCAGAAGGAGATCATAACATCTGGACAAGCAGTAGCATTCCCCAGCCTCCCACCCCCAACTGTTACAGATAACAGAGGAAACTTGTGGGTAAATAAGTAGTAGGTAATACAGGCATTTATAGATAGGGGACGTTTTCATATCAGACACGGCAGAGCTTTTTTTGAAAAGCACATACCTGTATGATATTTTGATGAATAAAGGTAATGCAGAAGCAAACTGTAATATCAAATAAATTTGAGTGAATTCTTCTACAGTACCTACAGTCAAAGGAAATTTATCAGTGAAAATCAGTATACAACAAACAGCAAAATGGAATAAATTTGAATAAATTCCTGCACAGGCAGTCACAGGACATGTTGATAAATATTTCAGTATAAACTGATACAAAGTATAGCATAAAATATTAATTTTGAAGGAATTCCTATGTCATGCCTTGAATAAAAGCTAATATTTCACTGAATAGTGTGTATGTACCAAGCAACGGGAAGAAAACTGAATTAGTTTTCACAAAATGGCTCTAACTTAATGTGTATAACCATTTTTCAGCTGACTTTGAGCCACAGGTTGCAGTAGTCATATGGATGTGACTCTTAGATGTCAGAGGAATGGCCCTGCTCTGGTGGCGGGGTGGCTGTTGGCCTCTGTCCCTGTCCATCCTGTGGACCTTTTTGTGGACTAAGGAGCTGATGTAGTGAACTGGTACTGCTGGTGTGTGGCTTTCTGGACCTGCCTCCCTCAGCCAGAGGAGACCCTTGGATTTCTCCATCCTAAGCCAGACTTACTGATGGCCAAGAGTGAGGAGCAGGCAGAACAGCCACAAAGTAACTGCTTTGCTCTTTGGCTATGCCCTAAAGTGTCCAAAGTCATTGTTCTAAAGTGGAGCAACTACATAACTGACAGTTAACCTCTAGAGCCCTGTACAAATCCTTCCTTTTAGTCCAGATGCTATATGAGTTTGGGGAACCTGAGCCTTCCTGTGTGCACGTATTCCCCTATTGCTGCTGATGCAGGGAAAACTGTGCCCAGTAGTGACACCATCCAGCACCTCAGGTGCCAAAGTCCCCAGGCCGTGATCACAGAGCATGGGGCTGAGCCCCTCATAGGTGGTCACATCACCCTCTTTGTCCTGCTGTCGGCTGGAATGTGTCCAGCCTAGCTCAGCATGGAAGAAGGTGAACCCCACCACCTACCATGAGCAGCACCTCAAATGACAATGCCACAGAGAAAATGGAGCAAAACCAGGATGACCTTGCCAGCTCTTCATTGTAGGATCAATGCATTTAGGTGCAGAGGGGTGTGGATGGAAGCCATGGCCTAGCTTGGCTTGTCGCAGACCTCTGTGCCAGGCCCTTGCCACCTCCTAATGCAGACAGCAAATACTGGAGGCCTGAGCATCAGCTCTTGAAGTAGCTCTCTGGGAGGGCGGTGAGGCACATGTTGAGAGCATGGGATTTGCCAGCAGAAAGATCTTCAGTGAATTACCTAAGCTCATTACACCTTAGAGTCCTCATCTGTAAAATGGGGCACTTGCCTAATGAGGGTGTTATGAAAATTAGCATATTTAAAGGTACTAGGGCTGTTTCTGGCACATTGTCAGGGTTCAGTAATTCTAGTTAAAAATAGAAAAGTGGCTTCTGGCTGGCAAGATGGCCGAATAGGAACAGCTCCGGTCTGTAGCTCCCAGCGAGATCGACTCAGAAGGCGGGTGATTTCTGCATCTCCAACTGAGGTGCCCGGTTCATCTCACTGGGACTGGTTGGACAGCGGGTGCAGCCCACAGAGGGCAAGCCGAAGCAGGGTGGGGCGTCACCTCACCCGGGAAGCGCAAGGGGTCGCGGAATTTCGTCCTCTAGCCAAAGGAAGCCGTGAGGGACTGAGCCTGAGGAACTCCGGCATAGATACTGCGCTTGTTCCACAGTCTTCGCAACCCACAAACCAGGAGATTCCCTCCGGTGCCCACCCCACCAGGGCCCTGGGTTTCAAGCACAAATCTGGGTGGCCATTTGGGCAGACGCCGAACTAGCTGCAGGAGTTCTTTTTTTCCATACCCCAGTAGCACCTGGAACGCCAACGAGACAACCATTCACTCTCCTGGAAAGGGGTGCTGAAGCCAGGGATCCAAGTGGTCTGGCTCGGCGGGTCCCACCCCCACAGAGCCCAGCAAACTAAGATCCACTGGCTTGAAATCCTCGCTGCCAGCACGGCAGCAGTCTGAGCTCCACCTGGGGCACTAGAGCTTGGTCGGGGGAGGGGCGTCCGCCATTGCTGAGGCTTGAGTAGGTGGTTTTACATTCACAGTTTAAACAAAGGCACTGGGAAGTTCGAACTGGGCAGAGCCCACTGCAGCTCAGAAAGGCTGCTGGGGCCAGACCGCCAGATTTCTTTTCTCTGGGCAGAGGATCTCTGACAAAAAGGTAGCAGCCCCAGTCAGGGACTTATAGATAAAACCTCCATCTCCCTGGGACAGAGCACCCGGGGAAAGGGGTGGCTATGGGCGCAGCTTCAGCAGACTTAAATGTCCCTGCCTGACAGCTCTGAAGAGAGCAGCGGACCTCCCAGCACAGTGTTTGAGCTCTGCTGAGGGTCAGCCTGCCTCCTCAAGTGGGTCCCTGACCCCTGTGTATCTGGGAGACACCTCCCAGTAGGGGCCGACGGACACCTCATACAGGAGAGCTCTGGCTGGCATCTGGCAGGTGCTCCTCTGGGACAAAGCTTCCTGAGGAAAGATCAGGCAGGAATCTTTGCTTCCGCTGGTGATACCCAGGCAAACAGGGCTGAGAGTGGATCTCTAGCAAACTCCAGCAGACCGGCAGCAGAAGGGCCTGACTGCCAAAAGGAAAACTAACAAACAGAAAGGAATAGCACATCTGCTTAAAGACCCCATCTGAAGGTCACCAACATTAAAGACCAAAGATGGATAAATCCACAAAGATGGGGAGAAACCAGCTGAAAAAGGCTGAAAATACCAAAAACAAGAACACCTCTTCTCCTCCAAGGGATTACAACTCCTCACCAGCAAGGGAACAAAACTGGATGGAGAATGAGTTTGACGAATTGACAGAAGTAGGCTTCAGAAGGTGGGTAATAACAGACTTGAGCTAAACGAGCATGCTCTAACCCAATGCAAGGAAGCTAAGAACCTTGAAAAAAGGTTAGACGAATTGCTAACTAGAATAACCAGTTTAAAGAAGAACATACATGACCTGATGGCACTGAAAAAACAGCACAAGAACTTCGTGAAGCATATACAAGTATCAACAGCCGAATCAATCAAGCAAAAGAAAGGATAGCAATGATTGAAGATCAACTTAATGAAATAAAGAAAGAAGACAAGATTAGAGAAAAAAGAATAAAAAGGAACGAGCAAAGCCTCCAACAAATATGGGACTATGTGAAAAGACCAAATCTGTGTTTGATTGGTGTACCTGAAAGTGACAAGGAGAATGGAACCAAGTTGGAAAACACTCTCCAGGATATTATCCAGGAGAACTTCCCCAAATTAGCAAGACAGACCAACATTCAAATTCAGGAAATACAGAGAACACCACAAAGATACTCCTTGAGAAGAGCAATCCCAAGACACATAATCTTCAGATTCACCAAGGTTGAAATGAAGGAAAAAATGTTAAGGGCAGCCATAGAGAAAGGTCAGGTTACCCACAAAGGGAAGCCCATCAGACTAACAGTGGATCTCTCTGCAGAAACCCTACAAGCCAGAAGAGAGTGGGGGCCAATACTCAACATTCTTAAAGAAAAGAATTTTCAACCCAGAATTTCATATCCAGCCAAACTAAGCTTCATAAGCGAAGGAGAAATAAAATCCTTTACAGACAAGCAAATGCTGAGAGATTTTGTCACCACCAGGCGTGCCTTACAGGAGCTCCTGAAGGAAGCACTAAACATGGACAGGAACAGCCGGTACCAGCCACTGCAAAAACATACCAAATTGTAAAGACCATTGATGTTATAAAGAAACTGCATCAACTACCAGGCAAAATAACCAGCTAGCATCATAATGACAGGATCAAATTCACACATAACAATATTAACCTTAAATGTAAACATGCTAAATGCCCCAATTAAAAGACACAGACTGGCAAATTGGATAAAGAGTCAAGACCCATCAGTGTGCTCTATTCAGGAGATCCAACTCACATGCAAAGACACACATAGGCTCAAAATAAAGGGATGGAGGAATATTTACCAAGCAAATGGAAAGCCAAAACCAAACAAACAAACAAAAAACAGGAGTTGCAATCCTAACCTCTGATAAAAAAGACTTTAAACCAACAAAGATCAAAAGAGAAAAGAAGGGCATTACATAGTGATAAAGGGATCGATGCAGCAAGAAGAGCTAACTATCCTAAATATATATGCATCCAATACAGGAGCACCCAGATTCATAAAGCAAGTTCTTAGAGACCTACAAAGAGGATTAGACTCCCACACAATAATAGTTGGAGACTTTAACACCCCACTGTCAATATTAGACAGATCAATGAGACAGAAAATTAACAAGGATATTCAGGACTTGAACTCAGCTCTGGACCAAGCGGACCTAATAGACATCTACAGAACTCTCCACCCTAAATCAACAGAATATACATTCTTCTCAGCAACTCATCACACTTATTCTAAAATTGACCACATAATTGGAAGTAAAACACTCCTCAGCAAATGCTAAAGAATGAAAATCACAACAAACAGTCTGTCAGACCACAGTGCAGTCAAATTAGAACTCAGGCTTAAGAAACTCACTGAAAACCACACAACTACATGGAAACTGAACAACCTGGTCCTGAATGACTACAGGGTACATAACGAAATTAAAGCAGAAATAAAGATGTTCTTTGAAACCAATGAGAACAAAGACACAACATACCAGACTCTCTGGGACACATTTAAAGCAGTGTGCAGAGGGAAATTTATAGCACTAAATGCCCACAAGAGAAAGCAGGAAAGATCTAAAATTGACATCCTAACAACAAAATTAAAAGAACTAGAGAAGCACAGCAAACAAATTCAAAAGCTAGCAGAAGACAAGAAATAACTAAGATCAGAGCAGAACTGAAGGAGATAGAGACACGAAAAACTCTTCAAAAAAATCAATGAATCCAGGAGCTGGTTTTTTTTTTTTTTTTTTTTTTTAAGATCAACAAAATGGATAGACCACTAGCCAGACTAATAAAGAAGAAAAGAGAGAAGAATCAAATAGATGCAATAAAAAATGATATAGGGGGCCGGGTGCTGTGGCTCACACCTGTAATCCCAGCACTTTGGGAGGCCGAGGCGGGCGGATCACGAGGTCAGGCGATCGAGACCATCCTGGCTAACATGGTGAAACCCTGTCTCTACTAAAAATACAAAAAATTAGCCAGGCTTGGTGGCGGGTGCCTGTAGTCCCAGCTACTTGGGAGGCTGAGGCAGGAGAATAGTGTGAACCCGGGAGGCAGAGCTTGCAGTGAGCCAAGATCGCGCCACTGCACCCCAGCCTGGGCGACAGAGCAAAACTCTGTCTCAAGAAAAAAAAAAAAAAAAAAAAAAGATATAGGGGATATCACCACCAATCCCGCAGAAGTACAGACTACCATCAGAGAATACTATAAACACCTCTATGCAAATAAATGAGAAAACCTGTAATAATGGATAAATCCTGGACACATAACACCCCCCACAAGTCTAAACCAGGAAGAAGTTGAATCCCTGAATAGACCAATAACAAGTTCTGAAATTGAGGCAGTAATTAATAGCCTACCAACAAAATGTCCAGGACCAGATGGATTCACAGCCGAATTCTACCAGAGGTACAAACAGGAGATGATACCATTCCTTCTGAAACTATTCCAAACTATAGAAAAAGAGGGAATCCTCCCTAACTCATTTTATGAGGCTAGCATCATCCTGTTACCAAAACCTGGCAGAGACACCACAAAAAAGGAAAATTTCAGGCCAATATCTCTGATGAACATTGATGCAGAAATCCTCAATAAAATACTGGCAAACAGAATCCAGCAGCACATGAAAAAGCTTATCCACCACGATGAAGTCAGCTTCATCCCTGGGATGCAAGGCTGGTTCAACATACACAAATCAATAAACATAATCCATCACATAAACAGAACCAGTGACAAAAACCGCATGATTATCTCAATAGATGCAGAAAAGGCCTTTGACAAAATTCAACACTCCTTCATGCTAAAAACTCAATAAACTAGGTATCAATGGAACATATCTCAAAATAATAAGAGCTATTTATGACAAACCCACAGCCAATATCATACTGAATGAGGAAACACTGGAAGCATTCCCTTTGAAAACTGGCACAAGACAGGGATGCCCTCTCTCACCACTCCTATTCAACATAGTATTGGAAGTTCTGGCCAGGGCACTCAGGCAAGAGAAAGAAATAAAAATAAAGGTTATTCAATTAGGAAGAGAGGAAGTCAAATTGTCCCTGTTTTCAGATGACAGATATTTAGAAAACCCCATCGTCTCAGCCCAAAATCTCCTTAAGTTGATAAGCAACTTCAGCAAAGTCTCAGAATACAAAATCAATGTACAAAAATCACAAGCATTGCTATACACCAATAACAGACAAACAGAGAGCCAAATCATGAGTGAACTCCCATTCACAATTGCTTCAAAGAGAATAAAATACCTAGGAATCCAACTTACAAGGGATGTGAAGGACCTCTTCAAGGAGAACTACAAACCACTGCTCAAGGAAATAAGAGAGGACACAAACAAATGCAAAGACATTCCATGCTGATGGATAGGATGAATCAATATTGTCAAAATGGCCATACTGCCCAAGGTAATTATAGATTCAATGCTATCCCCATCAAGCTACCAATGACTTTCTTCACAGAATTGGAAAAAACTACTTTAAACTTCATATGGAACCATAAAAATCCTAGAAGAAAACCTGGGCAGTACCATTCAGGACATAGGCATGGGCAAAGACTTCCTGACTAAAACACTAAAAGCAATGGCAACAAAAGCCAAAATAGACAAATGGGATCTAATTAAACTAAAGAGCTTCTGCACAGCGAAAGAAACTATCATCAGAGTGAACAGGCAACCTACAAGGTGGGAGAAAATTTTTGCAATCTGTCCATCTGACAAAGGGCTAACATCCAGAATCTACAAAGAACATAAACAAATTTACAAGAAAAAAACAACCCCATCAAAACGTGGGCAAAGGATATGAACAGACACTTCTCAAAAGAAGACATTTATGCAGCCAACAAACATATGAAAAAAAGCTCATCATTATTGGTCATTAGACCACAAATCAAAACCACAATGAGATACCATCTCACACCAGTTAGAATGGCGATCATTAAAAAGTCAGGAAACAACAGATGCTGGAGAGGATGTGGAGAAACAGGAATGCTTTTACACTGTTGGTGGGAGTGTAAATTAGTTCAACTACTGTGGAAGACAGTGTGGCGATTCCTCAAGGATCTAGAACTAGAAATACCATTTGACCCAACAGTGCCATTACTGGGTATATACCCAAAGGATTATAAATCATTCTATAAAGACACATGTATGTATGTTTATTGCAGCACTATTCACAATAGCAAAGACTTGGAACCAACCCAAATGTCCATCAGTGATAGACTGGATGAAGAAAATGTGGCACATATACACTATGGAATGCTATGCAGCCATAAAAAAGGATGAGTTCATGTCCTTTGCAGGGACATGGATGAAGCTGGAAATCCTCTTTCTCAGCAAACTATCACAAGAACAGAAAACCAAACACTGCATGTTCTCACTCATAAGTGGGAGTTGAACAAGGAGAACACACGGACACAGGGAAGGGAACATCACATACTGGGGCCTGTCGTGGGGTAGGGGGTAGGGGAGGGATAGCATTAGGAGAAATACCTAATGTAGGTGACAGGTTGATGGGTGCAGCAAACCACCATGGCATGTGTATACCTATGTAATGAAACTGCAAGTTCTGCACATGTACTCCGGAACTTAAAGTATAATTTAAAAAAGAATAAATAAAAATAGAGAAGTGTGCCTGTAATCCCAGCTACTCAGAAGGCTGAGGCAGAAAGATTATATAATACCAGGAGTTTGAGGCAGCAGTGAGGTATGGTCATGCCACTATACTCCAGCCTGGGCGACATAGTGAGACCGTCTTTTAAAAAAATTTTAACATTTAGCCGGGTATGGTGGCACATGCCCCTAGTCCCAGCTACTCAGGAGGATGAAGCAGGAGGATGGCTTGAGCTCAGGAGTTTGTGGCAGCAGTGAGCTATGGTCTTGCCACTGCATTCCAGTCTGGACAATGGAGTAAGATCCTGTTTCTAAATATGTGTGTGTGTGTGTGTGTGTGTATAATATGTGTGTATATGTTGTGTAATCTTAAGTGAATCTAATAACTGCTCTAGTTTACTCTGCAAATGAAAAAACTAGACTAGACAACCTCTAAAATCTTTGTTGATTCTAAATATCTGTGTCTCAGTTTAGCTCCCATTCCCTTATTCCCAAGTCCAATGCACATCCCATCACTTTGTTTCAACTTTCATGGCCGAAGTGCAGGTGGGGTGGAGTGTGCCTCTAGGAAAGTGGAAACGGCTGTGGCTTTTCCACTGTGGCTTCAGGGAGCCCTGGCCTTAATCAAGCTGCTTTCTAGAGCTGTGTTGCCTCTGAGCCTGTTTCCTCATTTGTATGATGGGGATATCATTGTCTCCTTCACAGTGTGATGACAGTTAGTCATGTACAGAAGGCACCTATAGCTCCTGGCACAGGCTGATGAGCAACAAAAGTTCACCATTATCACTTTCTCAGTGTCTAGGGGACATTTCATCCCTGAGCATCTCTGGCCATTTCAGGATGTGCTCACTGTCTCTCATTTGCTCTGGTCCCAGTGACCTTGTTAGCTCCTGGCAATGTGTGTGCAGGCCCTTCTGCCTACCCAGTCAGGTGATGGCCTGGTGAACAACAGCAGAGTAGGCCCATGCCTGATGCTCAGTCATTTCACCATCTTTTTCCTGCCAGGTGCCATGTCCAAGATACAACACCTACATCAAGGAACTCAGAGTCTGAAGTCAAGGCTGCAGAAACTGTGGTCTAGCTTTCTGACCAAAGCTGGGTTTTGTGCTTCTATGGCAGTGTAGATTCTTTTACTTGAACATACTCAAAATCTTAGTTTTTAATTGGTGATTCTTTTTAGGATTACAGCAGTTTTTGGTCTCAAAGCCAAAAGATTCTGAATTATTACAGATCTTGTGTTATTTTGTGGCTGTATAACATCTCTTAACCAACCAAACAAGATGAGTAGGTTAGAGATTAAACTGGCTGCAGAAGTCTAAATGAAACTGAATCCCCAAGTTCTGAGACGCAGTGAGGAGAAACTGTATTGCCAATAGATCTTCTCATCCTGCATTTGGAGTGGTCGGGATTCTGGAGTCAGATGCCTGGGTTTGAATTGGGGTTTTCCCAGTCACTAGGTAGGTAGCAACTCTAGTCCAGGCTACTTAATGTCTCGTAAGCTCAGTTTCCACAGTTGGAAAGTGACGATATGGTGTTTACTTCAGTGGTTGTCCTGAAACTTTATTGAAATGACACAAGTTCGTAACTGTGCCAGTTCCATTGTAAGGATGCAATAAATGTTAGCTCTTGTTTTTATTAATGACGAGGATATAATGTTTAAACTCAATGCCCACTTCGGGCAGTTTTTTACCCTGTAGAAGCAGTTGTAATCATTTTCAAATCAGGCTTGCTACACCCTTCCAGCTGGAAAGAAAAGTCTCTAATTTCATTGATTTTCGAGGGCACATGCTTTAGTTGAATGAGTAGTAACCAAATGGAGATATGTAGTAGGCGGTTAGAAGTGTTAGCATCTTTGGGATCATGTGGTCAACCACATTATAAATGAATGCTTGGATGTAAGGGCAGACCTGCATCTGTGTGTGTGTTTTCAGTGGGTGGATGGGGCCATGTGGTATCACAGCGTGCCACACAGGGATTTACGGTGGTCAAGAAGCATTTGTGGTACAGAGCTTGGAGTTTGGAGTAAGGCTTCCTTGTTTTGCATCCTGGCTCTACCACTGTCAATCTGTGTGACCTTGGGTGAGTCACTTAACTGTTTCCTCACCTGTTAAATGTGAATAATAACAGTACCTCTCCCCTTTTGTGAAGACTGAATGAGATAAATGAAAAGCTGTTTGCAGTATGGTCATACTAAAATGGGAGCAGTCAGTACCCTCCCCCCATTTCCAGCAGAGTGGTGGGCAGGTCTAGCTAGCCCTTGTACATACACCTTGCAGAATAGTTTATAGTAGTGAGCATAGCTGGTAAATGTACAATAAAAAAAGTTCCTGTTTTTCATTTCTACCTGATTGAATGAGACACCTATTTAATGCAAATTTCAATAATGCTCTGATACTAACTCTGTTCAAGTTAGTAAGAGAGCTTTGTAGAGTTATTGTGACACCTGGGTTAAGTATGGCTGACTTTGGGTTAAGTATGAGGTCTAATCATCCCAGTCTGTCCTCTAGATTTTTTGCTGTTTTGTTCAATATAATTATGTAAACAGGTATTCTCTATGTAAACATTTGTGAAAGTTAAAATACCAAAGCAGATTAAATATAGAACTAGACTGGATGCCTACATCAGTGTTTTAGTGACAGCAAAAAAAAAAAAAAAAATCATCTGTTACATTTAATTATTTTGGCTAGTTTCAGTTCTGTTGGTTTGATAGTATTCTTTTTAGTTGATATATAAATTTGCTTGGGGTTTTATACCAGTCTTCTATTTCTGCATATTTAAGGAATATTTTAATAAATAATAACTTATGTCAACCTTGAGGATCTATGACTTTTTTCTTTTAAAGAGAGTTCATATATTAGTCCATAACCATTGAATAGATCGTTCAGAGTGTATGAAGAAGAGCATAATCCTGTGCACAGCTGGCTTTTCTGATTTGCAGGGTATTTAGTGTACATTTCTCTATCCAGCTCATATGCCGGACAGAGGAACACTTTACCCTTCTGGTCTCTCTGCCTGTTGGGCAATTGGGTTATTCTGGGTATGTGGAGGAGCTTTTTTGATTCTTGTTGTGAGGGATGCTTTCAACAGAAAAGAGAGGAAGAATATTTGTCTTTCATTGCTCAATACCCAGATATTTCATATTCATCAGAAATAGCTACTTCTGAATTCTTTTTTCCTCTTTAAATTAGACACAACATTATCCCGTCTACTGTTATTTCTTTTTTACATTTTTATATTAGCAGTCGACTGTTGGCATGTTCTCTCAGCTGCCTCTAGTGATGACATCCGGGCTTTTAACAGCCATGCTTTTCCAGGGAGCCCTGTGCACTTCATAGATTACACCGTTAGTCCTCACAGTTGTTCCCGGAGGTAGGTAGGATCAGACAGAGCACGTAGGGGTGAGAACAGAGGGCTGGGGCGAGTCAGTCTGAGAAAAGCAGTGGGTTACTTCTTTTATGTTAGCATTTCTGCTTTAGGCAGAGTTCTGCATTTCCACCTATTTTCATATTTTCTTCAAAGCATTTTTCAAATGATAAGTCATTAGCTTCATGGCTGCAGAATGAAGTAAGGGGATATTAATATAGCTATTGAGAAATAAGAACCTTCACTGAAATATTTTTAGGGTCGTTAAGAGCAGTTTTAACTCTTGGTTTGGGTGTGATTTTTGCCTAGAATTTGGAGTGTATTTAAATTGATTTTATATCTAAATTGAGTGATCAAAAGAAACCTCTCTAATGATATAGTTGTCTAATGTCTATTCAGTGTAACTCTTTGAAGGTGCAAGATTAATATTCCTAAAGCCCAGCTCTGATCATTTCATAATTTTCTTTTGTGTCCTTTTTAACATTATGAGCTTTGGATTCAAAAGACCTGGCTTCATTTTATGGGCTGGTTATATAACCTGTCTGATTCTCACTTGCCTCCTCTATAATGGAGGTAATAATACCCAACTCAAAGAGTGGTGGTTACAATTAAGTGAGATCATGTGTGTGAGATACTAAGCACAGTCGATGTCAATAAAGCTTTAAAAAGGCAAAAAACAGTACAAAATCCAGATTCTTTGATGCTATGTTTTAGATGCTGCCTTGGAATCACCTCATAACTGAGTTCTTATTTTCCAGCCAAATACAAAACCTCACTCTTCATTTTTCATGAAGCAGAACAACCAATACAATTTACATGAGGCTAAAAAGCTTCATGAAATAGTACTTTATCTTGCCACATGCTATAGCATTCTATTCCATTTCATTGAGGAAGAAAATGGCCATTAAACTGTGATATCAAGCAAGTTGCAACCTGTTTAAAAAACAGTGGTCTAGAAGGCCTTCCATCTCCATTTCTTAGAATTCTATCCTCCACCCCCCTTGAGACCTGTACCCCCTCATGAAATCTTCCCTCATCTTGGCATCTGGTGGCCTTCTCTGAACTTATTTTTTCTCAGTCTCATTTATGGCATTTACTGCAAATTGGCATTTAGGTTCATTATTGATTCATAACTTATCTCTATGGTGAGATGATAAGTACCATCAGGGCATGAACTCCATTGTGCCATCATTTATCAACCTGTGAACATAGCAAGATGTCCTGCCCACTGAAGCCCTCAGAGGTATTTGTTAGGAAATTGCCTGGTGTCTTGGATGCTTCCTTACCTTTGTGCTGACATTTGAAAGCCGTAGAATTAGAGTTTGTGTGTTTACCCTTGGGAGCGGGTTGCCTCTCGCCATGACTACTATCTAGTTCAGATGTTTTCACCTGGCCTGCCTTGGATTTCTTGTGTATGTGAAAAAGAATGACATTAGGTTGAGATTGGTATTCTGGCTTCTAAATGGAGATTCTCAATTTTCCTGTTTCCTGACTTGACTTTGTTGGGCCTCAGAGGTTCCTTTCAGTTCTAACGGTGTTTGAGCAAAAATCAGCCTCCTTTCTGATGAGACCCAGCCTGATATCTTTAAACCTTGGACCTTTGCAGCATGTAACAGTTAATGATTTTAGCCTATGAGACCTGCACTTTATAGCCTAGGACACCTTTGATGTTTCTGTGTATGTACACGGTGATCTGTAGATTCTATATGTGAGTATATTTATATGCAGTATTTTATTCATATAGAGCCTTTCATCTACAATGAGAAAATAGTATACAGACAAGAATGGAATACTTATATCTTAATTATACAGATACAGTAAGTCCTCACTTAAGATCATCTATTTGGAAACTGTGACTTTAAGCAAAATGACATGTATGTATAAGAAATCTAATTTTACCATAGGCTACTTGATACAGACAAAAGTTGAAGTTGCTAGGACATATTTCTGGTCACAAAAACATCAGCAAACTAAGTAAAGATTCAAAACACTTTTAATATTAAACATTGAAATAAATGTGAGCTATATATACAGAACTCAGGAGGTGGAGGTTGCAGTGAGCCGAGATCTCACCACTGCACTCCAGCCTGGGGGACAGAGCAAGACTCTGTCTCGAAAACAAGAGAAAGGATTAATAAAAACAAAATAATTATTTACTCAATGATTCCATGATTTTAGTTCAGGGTTGAGAGTGGCTGGAGTCTGTCCTGGCATATCAGGGCACAAGGCAGGGACCCACCCTAGACAGGACACCATTCCATCACACATCCACACTCACTCAGACAGGGACCGTGTGGACACTTCAGTTCGGTTCACCTAATGCACACATCTTTGGGATGTGGGAGGAAACCAGAGTACCCAAAGAAAACCCATGCAGACGTGGGGCAAATGTGCAAACTCTGCACAATGGCCCCGGCCTCTCATCAATGTTACTGAAGGAAACGACATTGAACAAAATGACATTTCTCGAAGACCTGCTGTACACCACATCTCACATTTGGAGCCCAGTTTTGAGAACCTAGTGATAAGATTTTAGGAAGAGCAGGACCCATTTTATGTTTACACAAATTACCTACTCAAGGGTCAACCTCATTTAAAGGAACTGATTTAATTTAGGAAAGCTGTTTCTTTCCCTTTTAAATCTAATTTAAGAAGCTTGACTGAAATAGTAATAGATACCAGAGAAGTGACTGTGCAGCTACGTAAACTAACAGACCTGGCCATAGAAACATCTCTCTTGGGACAATACCTTGATAAAATACATATCAGAAATATCTAGGAAATTATAGATAAAAAACAGATCATTAACAATTTAATGACACACAGTAAAAAGATTTTTAAAAACATAACTGCATAGTAAAGTCTGGGAAAAGTTACTGACTGGTACACAGGTGTAGGCAGTAAATCTATTCATAGTCAGATTTTTCTCTTTTGAGCATTGAACAGTTAATAGGGACTTATGAAATGAGTTTTGTTAATTCAGTACTCAGAATTCTCAGACAAGCTTCCTTATTTAGATTCTTTCCCATCTAGTCTGCCATTTACCAGAGCTAAAGTGTGTGTCAAAGGAAGCAGGATTTATCTTAAAGGAGATTTGGAGGAAATCTTCCTTCAATATTTAAGTGTTTGACAAAGTCATGCTCACATGGACGTCAGTTTTAAGAGGAGGAAGTTTAAAATCAGGTGGCTTATTTACGTTACTGGCTGAAAGCCTGTCTGATAGGATTGACATGGAGCACTAATTAATCACCTAGGGTCTCCTCATTTACTAATCATATTGCACAAAACTTCCCTGCTGACTGAGGCTCAAGGGCAAACTGTGGGCTTCCAGCCAGCTTATTTTTCATAAGCATTATGCTACCACTGTAAATTAATGTGAACCTAATATATTCTGTCAGCGGTTTACTTTCCCATGGCGACCCTCTCTGGTTAAACAGCTTTAAATGAAATCTTGTATCAAAAATGAAAAGAAGTTTCTTGCAAAAGGAAAAAAGGATTTTAGGTCCTCTTTGCAATCTTTTTTCCCCATAGTATATGCTATTTCGGTTCTGATACAAATCTGCTAGATTAACTGAATAATGCACAGATGATGTGATAGTTTCTTTTTGTTATCTGAAAAGTGACCTTATATTGTGCTTAGGTAAGAGACTTTTTAATTACACTTTTAATGGCAATAATAGTGTGTTTATTGAGTGCCTACTATACATAAAACACATACCTTAACTCATTGATCCTCATATCAATGCTATGTGAATGCTAGGCAATAGTCTGTATTTATGGGAGAGAAAATTGAGAGTGTCAGCTTGCCCAGGCCACATCCATTAAATGCTGGGGCCCAGATTTGAACCAAGGTTTGTCATCAGAGGTCAGGCTCATTTGGCTGTGTCACTATTTATAATTTGTATGGTCCCTTTATACTTTCTGTTTTAACTTCAGGAAATTAGCAGTCCTCTTAATTTTTAAAGATAAAAGCTGGGCACGGTGGCTTATGCCTGTAATCCCAGCACTTTGGGAGGCCGAGGCAGGTGGATCACTTGAGGCCAAGAGTTCATGTTGACCAGCCTGGCCAACATGGCGAAACCTTGTCTCTACTAAAAAATACAAAAATTAGCCAGGTGTGGTGGTGCACACCTGTAATCCCAGCTATTCAAGAGGCTGAGGCAAAAGAATCACTTGAACCCGGGAGGCAGAGGTTGCAGTGAGCCGAGCACGCGCCTCTGCACTCCAGCCTGGGCAACAGACGGAGACTCTGTCTCAAAAAAAAACCATAATTTTTATTTCCATGTTGATTTTTTAATATTCATCTGAATTAGTAAATCATTTTAGAAGCTTGCTGATCTCTAGCACATGCTTTTATATCTTCAACTCACTTTAATGTCATGCCACTTTTATTCAGAGAACAAAAAGTTATGGATGTCTTTAAACCAGAGGAAATAAGGGACGCTTATTCACATCCCTCATGCTGTTGTTCATCAGGAGACTCTTCCAAACAATTCTAACAGAAAAGGAAAATTCCAGAGTGCACACACATGGATAGTTTCCAAGGCAGTGCTTGTTGAGAACCCAGCCTTCTCTCCTGAAGCTGTGAATAGTTTGTCTTATATGTAAATTAATTTCCAAGAGTCTGTGCATTAAAGTCTTATATAAAAGAACATATAAAAGAATGATTTGTCAAAACCCATTTTCCTTGTAAAAAATACCTAACTAAGGAGAGAGGATGATATTCGGTGGCTTCTGTGGGCTCTGTGTTAAGCCAGTACTTTACTTCTTAGTATGCAGTGCTGATGTTCTTGGTTGAAAGGAATCCATTCCATTTCTTTTTATAGTATCATGAAAAGTTGGAAAGAGGAAAAACTGAGCTGAACATACAGAATAAATAACTAAATGGTGTCGTCAGGCTGCCCTTTTGTTTTCAGACATCCCCCCTCCTTCCTCCTTTGTGAGTCACTGAGCCAGTAAGATGGATCAAAGATGCCTCAGTGTATAGAACATTTTATGTGGAGGTTATTTGTCATCCACAACAAAGGACTAATTGCCTCTGTGCCTTCTTTCACATGATAATCAATGGATTGGGATCTCCTGATTATGCCCCATGCATCCTGCATTCATCTCTCAAGATGTTTTAGGTTTTGATTGAATTTATAAAGCATCAGAAAGATGACGTCAGTTCAGTGCAACTATTAAGGGGATTTTAAACATGGGTATGGAAATATGAAAACAGAGCTTGAAGTGAAGGCACCTGTCATCATTCTTTTTGTAAATGGTTGATTTGATCGGAGGTATAACTTCTATGATAGCTATTAAGAAGGGTCCTGGCATTTTTAAGATGGAGCGTTTATTTCAAAAGGCCCACCAGGAGAAAATTCACTTCCTGTTTCAGCGTGGACTTGAGGTTCTCAGAGATGACTTCTTGGATGACTTTGTTGCTAATGTTATCAATCAGGTTTCATTTTAAAGAAGCTTTCTGAATTCTAACAAGAAGTCAGTGTACTCTGAGTATAGTTTTCTGTAGTGGATTTGCCTAATGTGGGGGTTGGGCACATAGGCCACGGGAGCGTGTAAGTGTAGGAAACACCATTCAGCTCATTCTGTACAATGTCTGAAGCTTTGAAGTTACATTCTCCTGGCATTTCAATTATTTCAAAGGCAAGATGTTTACTAAAATGTACCTGAAACATGGAGTTATTTCTTAGGAACTTTTAATATTTACAGTTAAATTAGAACACTTTAAAATGAAAGAATGATATATTGACTGTAGCACAGACATCTGTTTAATAACAGTCACTTTTCCTCTCTTTAAATGTATAAATGTCCTGTGTTTCTTAGAAAAGAAAGATTTCATCAGTGAAACAAACAAAAAAAACAGAACCCACAAAAACAAAATAAAATTCAAAAACACACACAGATATATAGGCATAGAGAGAGCATTTGTGATAAGTGTTTTAAAAATAGCTATTAATATCTCAGCAGCCTCCTCAGCTCTGATGGTGCTGACATCCCACAGGGCAAGCTGAAGCAAGCCAGGGGGCTGGAGAACAATCTAAGACACCAAACTCTTCTGTGGAACAATAACACTGAGTGTCAAGGACTGTGAAGGGTCTGAGATTTCACCCTGCATGCCAGCAAACAAGTTATCCTGCCACAGTGTCACAAATCCTGGCAGAAGGCATCACACTGCTGGGGCAGACACATAGGACTTTATTAATCACAGCAATGCCAGGAACCAGAGGATCAATATTTTTGTACACTTTCCCTGAGCCCTAATTCTTACAGGGTGGTGCAGAGAGGGCCAGGTGATACATAGTGAGTTGTATTCTAGGAGAGGAACCCTGAACTTAGGGAACTCCGATCTTTTATAATGGGCAGTAAGTCTCCCTGACCCTTGCTCTGTAAAGAAACACTGAATCTTTCAAGGCTATCTGCTGTTCAAATTTTCTTGAAAAGATAGTAACGAAGGACTCACTTGTAATGTCAGTGCCTTGCTGATAAGGTGGCTCACACCTGTAATCTCAGTGCTTTGGGAAGCCGAGGCAGGTGGATCACGAAGTCAGGAGTTCAAGACCCGCCTGACCAACATGGTGAAACCCTGTCTCTACTAAAAATACAAAAATTAGCCAGGCGTGGTGGCACGCACCTGTAATCCCAGCTACTCAGGAGGCTGAGGCAGGAGAATCGCTTGAACCGGGGAGGTGGAGGTTGCAGTGAGCCGAGATTGCGCCACTGCACTCCAGCCTGGGCGACAGAGCGAGACTCTATCCCCCCCACCCTGCCCCCCAAAAAAGTGTAGATGTGAGAATTGTCTCCCCACACAAACTCTTCTGGAAATAGGCACCAGATAAGTACCGATTCCATGAATGGCTAATCTGTGCTGCCTTCTAAAGGCAGTGCAGGTACCAGATGACACAGCCATAACTGCAGCGTTATATCTCTGTTATTTTAAGAAATGGATAAAAGGTGGTATTTTAATTTATCCTGTATCTATGCAACATATTCTTTTCCAAATGTCTTCCCTGTGTTTGACAGTCACAGTCTTGTGACATTGCAGCAGGTGTTATTACCCATTTACACTTGAGGAGACTATCATTCAGTGACTTGACCAAGGTCACACACAGTTACTCTGCAGCTCGCCACTACACCTGGGGGCTCCTGACTCCCCGTCTGATGGTCTTTGGAACACATTGTGTAACACTGCCTCCCTTTTGTCTCCTACGTAAGGTAACGGATATTTCCAGATATTACAGAGGTGCCCCCAGGCCAGTCCTGAGTTCCTTTTTGGCAGTTTCCGTGCCTCCCAACTCATCTTACCTAGCCACACAATGCCCAGTGTCTGGTGGTCATGCTGGACTCATTTGAGTTGAGGGAAGTTACTTTTTTAATGCTTTCTTGTTGCTCTATGTTTTAATTTTCACTTAACGGAACACAAACAGTCTCCACTGTTGCCACCCCTTTGCTTAGTAGAGCTGGCCCCTTCCCCTACTTAATGTGTAATTGCTCTATGGGCTTTGGTGGCACCTCTTTCTTGGTTTCCTGCTGCCCTTTTATCTAATTCTTCTGAATCTCCCCTTTTGGTCCCCTCTGTACACTGCCCCATACATCTTCATGCTCTCTAAGACAATGCCTTGATCCTCTTTCCTCCAGACTATATGTAGCCTTAATGATAACCACAGTCAGTTATTTATTGAGCCAGGCATATGCCAGGCACCTTTTCATGTGCCACACACTTTAAGCACGTTATTTGAGCACATGCGTTATCTCATTTAGTCTTCCCAATGACCCCACGAGATAGATTCCACTTGTCTCTGTGTTTTGTAGAGGAAGAAGTAGAGGACTGACAAGTTAAATTACTTGTCTGAGGTCACACAGCCAGTAATGGTGGAACCTGAATGCTAAGCTAAGTTTGACTCTAGAGCCAACTGCTGTCCAGCCCCCAGATTTCCTTGTGCAAGAGTCAGAATCTTTCCACATCAGTGTCTGACATCTGTCTTGGTAATAACGCCTAAAACTGAAATCTAAAACTGATATTTCTCTCCAAATATTCTCCACTTCTAGTATTCCTAACTTTGTAAATGACACCAAAAGCCTGCCAAGTTGTTTAAGCTAAAAACTGGGACGTTTTCTTAGACTGCACTCTTTTCTTCACCTCCCAGGACATTCCCCTTCATCCATTCATTTTTTTCCTTGCCTTTCCTCTTGTTTTTCCTTTCCTTTCCTTTCTAACAGACTCACTGTCTCACTCAGGCTAGAATGCAGTGACGTGATCATACCTCAATGTAACCTTGAACTCCTGGGCTCAAGCGATCCTCCCACTCAGCCTCCCAAGTAGCTGTGACCACAGACACATACCACCATGCCCGGCTAATCTTTTTAATTTTATTTTCATATTTATTTTTTATATTCACTGTGTTGCCCAGGCTGGTCTCAAACTCCTGGACTCAAGCAATCCTCCCACATTGGCCTCCCAAAGTGCTGGGACTACAGACTGAGCCATTGCACCTGGACCTAAAGGCCCATAATTTTAACCTTGTACCCTGCTGCTTCCTGCCACTGAGTCCATAGAGTCTCTGCCTTTTCATCTGCTGTCTCCATCTTGCTGCGGCTGCCTCTTCCTTTTTCAGCTGATGTCATTCTCACCAAATTAGTAGCCTCCCAATTTGTCTTGCTACCTGCAGTCTCATCTCTCTTCAATTCATTCTTTGTACTGTGCTGGAAAGATGTTTCTGAAATGCAAATCTGATAACTTGTTTTGCTTAAAATCCTTGGTTGGCTTCCCATGGCTTGCTGGTCCCTTGGTACCCATAACACATACAGCTATGCTGATCAGGCCTTAACCCTTCTAGCCCAGAGGTTCTCAAACTTCAACACATGTCACAATTACCTGCAGGGCTTGTTAAGAAGACAGAACTTGCTGGGCCCTGCCCCCAGAGTTTCTGATGTAGTAGGTCTCGAGCTGCCTCAGAATTTGCATTTCTGACAAGTTCCCTGGTGCTACCACTGGTGCGGGACCATAGCCTGCCTAGTGCCTTGTCTGGCTCTCTCTGCTCCAGCCCTGGAACCACTTGCAGGTTCCTGAAGGGAGATGCTGTTTCAGGCTTTGATCCTTTTGGATAAGCTGTTGCCTCTACAGGAGATAGTCTTTCTATCGCCGTCTCTTTAAAATACAGTTCAAGTGTCACTTCCTAGGAAGCTTCCTCTGACCCCTGCAGTGATCTCATAGTTTCTGTGGCAACCCATGTGCATCTCTGGGAATGCTCCATTTCTGTAATTGAGTTGTCATTTTATTTATGTATCTCCCACCCACTCCCACCAGACCATTAGCTCTTTAAGAAAAGATATCATTCATTTTCTTTTTCACCCTTCTATCCCTGGCACCTAGCATGGTGGCTGGTATATACTGAAGATATTCATTAAATAAGTTGAATGATATAATCCTACTTTTACCTTAAAGAATAATTCTATTTTGGTTTTTATTTGCATTAACCTTTATCATACCTTGTTTTTAAATGTCAGGATAGACTGGGTGTGGTGTGGCTCACGCCTGTAATCCCAGCACTTTTGGAGGCTAAAGGGGGGAGGATCACTTGAGCCTAGGAAAAGTTAAAAAAAAAAAAAAAAAAGTCAAGATGTTTCAACATAAAAACAGTGTGCATCTGACAGTATTAAACTTTCGAAGCTACCATTAGAGAGAGCTTATAACTCAGCTGTCTAATGCAAACCGCAGTTTATTCCTACAAAGGCTGATGTTTGTCTATAGATAACTTACTTCTCATGCCTCTGATTTGAAGTGCTTGAGTTATTCCTCAGTCTTTCTCAGCCTTCAGAACATTTCTCTGGTATGTTTTTCAGCCTTGGATTTATCTAATCAGGGAGTTACAGATGGAATAGTGCAAGCCTTTCTTTTACTGAGACAAGCAAAGATTAGTGGGCTGTAAACTTGCAGCCTCCATGTTTCCATCCAAAAGAGGATGGCTCATCCCTCACTTTCCCTTTTACGTGCCTGCATTGCTTGGGTAATTTCCAAGAAGAGTATCAGTTTGATTGCTTGCACAGCCCTCCCTTCTCTCCCCTCCCCATCTCAGATGACTAGTCCTTGCCAAAATGTCAAGTTCCAAACCCTAACAAAAGAGTTTGCAAACAAGACTGTCCCTGGATTGTAGACATTTCTTCAAGGGGTGCCTGGCCTTCTCCTGGTGTAGTGCAAGTTCAAAGGCAAAGAGCCCTTTCATCCTCTGGGAAAACAGAGAACACAGTTCCAAAAATGCTTGGATACCTCCAAATAGACCTCCTCCCCTGCCTCACCCCTTTCCCAGGCTCTGCTATGTGGTGTTTTTCAGGAACCATTCTGTGGATTTTAGCCATATCATTCTGCTTCCATAGTTCAACAAGCAAGCAGCAGACAGCTCTTTCCTGCAAGTGGATGTGTGGCTGAATTATATATTCCTTACACAGCAAGTAACAACATCTTGCCCAGTAGTTCAGAACAACTGGTATCTCCATTCAATTATTTGGAAAGAAATTTCCCTCTGCCAGAGCATGATTAGTCTCTGAGCACCATCAGTCTCATGCCTGTTTTGCATATCTTGTAGCTTACTGTAAGCTTGTCACAGGATTAAAGCATGAAAGCAATTGATCTGGTCTCTTATTTATGTCTTAGGACCAGTCTTAATCTGTTTTGTGGTGTTGCTACAATAGAATACCCGAGACTGGGTGATTTATAAAGAAGAGACATTTACTTAGCTCATGGTTCTGCAGGCTGGGAAGTTCAAGGGCATGGCCCTGGTTTCTGGCAAGGGCTTCCATGCTGCATCATAACATGGTGAGATGCACAAAGGGGAGACAGACACGTGCAAAGAGGGATCAAACAGGAGAAGGAATCTCACTTAATGCCAACCAACTCTTGTGGGAAATAATTCATTCCCAGAGAACTAATCCAGTCTCAGGAGAGCAAGAACTCACTACTGTTAATACAAGTGTTCAGTTACCTCTAGAACAGCTGCAAGCCATTCATGAGAGCTCTGCCCCCATGACCCAAACACCTCCCACTAAGCCCCACCTTCTGACACCACCACATTGGGGATCAAATTTCAACATTCATTTTGGTGAGGGCAGACAAACCGTGCTCAAACCATAGCAGAATGCTTTTGGCTGCATGTAACAGAATGCCCCCAAAGTAGCTTTAGCTAAGATGAGAGGCGCTTACTTAAAATAGGAGCCCAGGGGATTGCATGGAACCCAGCATAAGGAGTGCAACCACAGGTCCCGGGATAAGAAGCTGGAAGCAGTCAGGAACATAAGCTACTCTGGGTCTCTTTTCTACTTTCTATATCTACATAATATCCCCCAGTCTATTCTAGCATGAGGGAGACTAGGCTGAGAAAAATCACTTTGTCCAATACCAGACTCTTGGGAAATGGGAGACTCTGGCCCAGCCTGGTATTCAGTGGAACAGCTCTTCCTGAGTCATATGTCTGACCCTAGTGACTCATCTGTCCAGAGAGTGGGAGAAGGCCCATCCTCCACAAATATGCGTACAGGAGCCCCTGTTGGGGCAGGGCCAGTTTTCAGAAAGGGGGATGTAGATGGAGGAGCTAACTCGATTAATATTGGTTATCATTTGTATCCCACGTTCTTCTGAAAGGATTCTGTAAAAAAATAGGCACAATGAAACCAAACCCATTCACACAGGATATCATGCAAAAACCAGGAGCAATAAGGTTACGGAGAGGAAAGATGCATCTAGAAGCCCTGATGGAGAGAAACTTCTTTAATGCAGAAATTAAATTAATCAAAATTAGTGGATTTAAAAGTTCTGGGGCTAGTCATCCAGAATTCATGAACTAGGTTGCTAAGAAAAGCAATGGAAAAGATGTGAAATTAAGTACCATATGAGTATCTGACTAGAGTGTGTTAGTTTGTTTTAAATGCATGGGATACTGTATACATTTTTTCCTGGAATGACCCTCAAGCTGAAATTGAGGAGAGAAGATAAATGGGAGGCCGGATGCTGCCACTTCCTGTGAGCACATGCTCTCTGGTTAGGACAGGCCCCATCACTGATCTCTGTTATCTAATCCCAGGTCACATCACTCCTCCATAATCCTCTGTGTTTGGGTGTGTGTGTGTGTAAATGTCAAATAAGGGCACATGCAGCAAGTGATACAGAAGTTCAGGAGAGGGAGAGAGAGAGAGAGAGAGAGAGCCTCTGATCACTGTGAACTAGTATATTTTCTTGTATTTGGAGGAGGCAGGACGTGAAGCTGCATTTCATTTTGACCAGTTGTAGATGGCAGGGTTGGAGGGGCAGGTTGAGAAATGTGTCAGGAGGGGGGCAGGAACTGATATTAATGACAATACTTGCCAAGCACTCAGTGCTCACGTGGTCACATCAACACACACAATTGCTTTGTGCAGTTCTGAGGTGCCCTTCTTATCTGCATGTGACAGGTAAGGACACCAGAGCTCTAAGAAGTCAAGAAACCCTCCAGTGATTCTTTGTCTCAGGAGAAACCAGAGTCCTCACCACAGCCTGCAAAGCCCAACACAACCTGGCTCCTATCATCCTCTGTGCTGTGTCTTGCAGCCACTTGGTGGCTGTGCCTCCAGACTTTCCCTGGAATGCTGTTCCCCCGACACCTGCCATTCACTCCTTCACCTCTTTTGTGTTTTTGCTTATATGTCACTTTCTTAGTGAAGACCTCTGTTATTTGCTCTGCTTTCATATTGCAGTGCCTCCTCTGTCTTCTGCCACATGACAAGCCCGTGACACTGATCTCTTTCCACAGCACTTCCCATTTTAAAAAATTCCCTGCATCTACTCACTTATGTTTCTTTATATTGCCTTTCTCTTCCTGCACACTTCAACTAGAATGTAAACCCCACAAGACCAGTCACTTTGTTTTGTTTCCCAGTTTATCCAAAGCCCCTAGATGACCTCCTTGCTCATGGTAGGTGCTCAATAAATATTTGCCAAATGAATGAAGACCCTTTCCCAAGATCATGAAACTACGTAGCACTGGAGTCAGGGTTCAGCAGGCAGAGTGCACTCGGGCCACACTGAAAGGAGGCCATCAGGATGAAGTGACATGAGAGATGGTGACCCTGGCTGGATGGGACATGTCCTGTTTACAGTTTGAGCTTTATCAGTCACGCCATCTTACCATGAGGACTCCGGACAGTTTGAATGTACAAACTGGGACACGGGGACCCAATGGGAAAACTGGGATTGACTTTCTGCATATTGAATTTTCCACCAGCCCACAGTTACTCCTTTGACATGGCCAGAATTATCCCCAGAGGTTTTTTTATTCCTGAAATAAGTCCCTCCTCTATAAAGACATTTATTTTGTTATTATAAGTATTTAGCACATTTGTGTGGACCCTGCTAAAACGAGTGTTGTTCAGACTAAAGTGTCAGAAAATATATAATACAGAGTACAGGTGCTGCAGCTTCAGGAAAATACAACTTTCCTAATGGCACTTCTCCCCTTGCCTCCCTTCTATGCTAAATTTTTAAATGCATTTCTCCTGTTTATTCAGGCAGGGATTAACATTTTCTTAAAGACTTCATCAGAATGTTGGGTTTTTTTCCATTCATTGTTATTTAGGATGATATTTTTGTGACTCCAATTTAGGTAAGAAGATTGACTTGATCTTTATTTTCCTCTATCATATTTACCTTGTGTGCTGTTATTTTGAGTCTGTTCACAGGATCCTGGGCAGATGCCATCAATGTAATTGCTATGTTTTTAAGCAAAGAGGATTGAAAGTGTCAATTTAAGAATTGTCTAGGAACTTGATATATACTATCTATCTATCTATCTATCTATCTATCTATCTATCTATCTATCTATTTGCTTTTTATGAATAAAAGTAGCAGGGGTGTTGGAAATATATGTATATTTTTAAATAATTTATTTTTTAAAAGTATACAAACCGAAATTTATTTCAAAGAGAATTCAGATAGCAGCCAAAATACACAGAAAAGAAAACTGTCCTTCAGAAGTGCCACTAGATCAAGCTAGTTATGAAATTGGCACCTGAGAATAACTTCTGTCAGAGGGGATGTAAGTCTTTGGAATTTTGAAGAGCCATAGTCTCTGTAGAAGATGCCAGAAATGTAGGCATTATCCTTAACACTTCCTTTTCCTTCCCCTTCCTCCCACCCCCACTGAAAATGTCAGTTTTACTTCTCAGTAGCTCTCAATTCCGACCGTTTCACCGTATTTCAGCCCAGGACATGATCACATCTTGCCTGTATTACCAAAGTCACCTCCTTTTGATCACTGTAGATGCACTCAGACTCTAATCTTTTCTGCGGCCCAGATCCTCATTTTTCCAAAGCCCAGATCTGCAAAGACCTGCCTGCCTACCCCACCCCTGCTCACCACACATAGCTGGCCTTTAAATGGCTTCCTGGCACTTGTAGGAGAATGACTGGATTCCTTAAGGTGGGCTACAAGGCCTGCATGGGCTGGTCCATGCTCGTGTCTCTAATTGCAAACCTGCTGTACCTTCCCCACTTCCCCCATTCTCTGTGCACCAGCCACAGCAATTGCCTTTTAGACCTGTTTACTTGTCATGCTTCTCTCTCTACTGGGACTTTGTACATTCTGCTCTGCCTGAAACACTCTTCCTCCTTTCTTTGCTCATTAACTCCTTCTCATCCTTTGGACTACATGTACGCATTTCTCACTCAGGGAAACCTTCAGATGCCCCTCCAGGTCAAATCCCCCTGTTATAGTTTCTTTGGCCTTATTTGTTTCTCCTTTGTAGCACCATTAGGAATGATTTTACGTTTTACTCTTTATTTGAGGACTCTCTCTCTCTCTTACTGGACTGTATGCTCATTGGAGGCAGGAACTGTTTCTGTTTTCTTACCTTCATTTATCCCAAGAGAAAAGTAGTGTCTAGTACAAAATAGGAACTCAAGAATATTTGTTGCAGATTATAAATGAATGGATGAATGGCCTCTTGAAGTATCCATTTTTATACCAGTTAGAATAAGGCACTGTACCAATTTCAAAATGTTGGAGGTTCAGCAAGGAAGAAAACCACCAGATAGGGAGGAAAGGATCTTCCTTTTGTAGAATTCAGAGAAAAGTGGGGCAGATGTGTCCCTCCAGAGGTAACTAATCGCCCTCATCACATGCTGGGGCCATTTTCTTCTCCAGCTGTTCCCAAGGGTCAGCTCTGCCGGCTGTCCTTCTGCTATGCCTGAAGGCTTCCATCAGCCTGCCTGAGGGCTGTTCTCATTCCTAGGTGGGAAAACATACCTTTGATGCCTAGAAATTAAAAGAGTAATTTAGAGACTTAGGGCATGAGTTTCATTACAGTTCTCCGTCCCTGAGCTTGCTCTGTGGACAAACATTCTGTGCATATTAGGAAAGTATAATAGTTTTGGTCTTGGGCTAAGGATTCAGATTTTCTGAGCAATGTAGCTCAGGCACCTTTATGATCTTGGGAGGAATACTTAAAATTTCTTTTTTTTTTCTTTTTTGTTTGAGACGGAGTCTTGCTCTGTCGCCAGGCTGTAGTGCAGTGGCGCGATCTCAGCTCACTGCAACCTCCGCCTCCCAGGTTCAAGCGATTCTCCTGCCTCAGCCTCCCAAGTAGCTGGGACTACAGGTGTGCACCACCACGTCCAGCTAATTTTTGTATTTTTAGTAGAGACGGGGTTTTACCATGTTGGCCAGGATGGTCTCGATCTCTTGACCTCATGATCCGCCCACCTTGGCCTCCCAAAGTGCTGGGATTACAGGTGTGAACCCCTGCACCTGGCCTTAAAATTTCTAAGCCTCAGTTTCCTTATCTATAAAATGGGGATTAAAACAATATCTAGTGCCTGGGATATTGTTATGGGATACTTTGTACCAACATTATTCTATAAAAATATAATGCAAACCACCTATGTAGTTTACGTTTTCCATAGCTATCTTTAAAAAGTGAAATGAAATTAATTTAAATATTTGACCCAGTATATCCAAAATGTTATCACGTCAAGATGTAATCGATAATAAATATTAATGAGATATTTTACATTCCTTTTATTCATATTAAGTTTTCAAAATTCAGCCTGCACTTTACACTTACCAGTGCAGCTCAGTTTGAAACAGTAGTCATGTGCCATATAATGATGTTTCAGTTAACAGCCAACTGCATATACAATGGTGGTCCCATAAGATTATTATATTGTGTTTTTACTATGCCTTTTCTATGTTTAGATACGTTTGGATGCCAGATACTTACCATTGTATTACAGTTGCCTACAGTATTCAGTACAGTGACATGCAGTATAGGTTTGTAGCCTAGGAGCAATAGGCTATACCATATAGCCTAGGTGCGTCATAGGCTGTACCATCTAGGCTTGTGTAAGTACACTATGATGTTTGCATGACTACACATTTCTCAGAACGTATTCCCTTTATTAAGCAACACGTGGCTGTAGTTTAGCCATACTTAGCATTCAACAAATGCCGGCAAAATTATTGTTATTTATTTTAAAACATCAAAATTTGGGTTGACAAACATTTGTACTGTACATTTGCATATATTGCCATGTGGGAAGATGCCTCAGATAAGATGCCTCAGATATATTTTTTTCCATTTCAAAAGAGTAAAGGGTTGACTTTAAGACTTCTCAGCTATTTCCTGCAAGTGGGCCTCCCTGGGTTTCAGAATGAGGTCAGTTTCGTGGTTTATGGTTGTCTTTTCTTTGGGAGGTGGGAAGGGGAAACTGAATGTGCCTCAAGTATTGCATGCCTGTCTCTGTTTTTTGGCTCTTCTCTGTTTAATTATTGGGAACTGGAACAACTTGATTTTAAAACAAAACATATGGTCTGAGAATAATTGGGAGGACATTTGCTAGTGATGTAGCACTGAAGGTATGTATCAAGTTGAGGCCCAGGCTTGCACCACTTGCTTGCTTAGGTATTGAGTGTTTCCCTTAACTTCAAATTGTGTTCTTTCCCAGTTCTTAAACCCTTGTTTGGAAAGTCACAGTCAAAGCAGGAAATATGGGAGCAAGATTATAAAGGAAATTGTCTGTGAGTCTTCTTTAAATCCCTACTTTTTTTCTCTCTCCTCTTTATGGAAAACCATTGGTTTCCAAGCTATTTATATGGCTCGTGAATGAAAAAAGTTGTCTCAAAGTGCCAAGAGGAGAGACGAAAACTTTATTTAAAAAGGAGAATGTGGACCCACCATTGAATTTCTCTGTTCTTTTGCTTAACTCCATTGTGGACACCAAAGTGGGGAATTTCTGTTCCACAGCCAGTTCTTATGTGAAGGCAAGGTTTTTATCTCTCTTTACCTTTTCCACACCCCTTTGCTTGCTGGGGGAGGAATATATGATATGCTGATCATGTACCATGTAATTCCAGCCTGAATGCCTCAACTTTTTATATCATGGGAGCAAAGGGGAATTTATCAGGACTGCTAAGAACATGTATTTCTCTTGTTCAAGTCTCTGCTCCTCTGCTTAGAAGCTATGTGCCTCTGAGCAAGTTATTTAAACTCTCTAAACCTCATTTTCCTCTTTCCTAAAAAGGGGATAATAAGAGCGCCTATTTCAGAGTAAAATTGTTGTGAAGCTTTAAAGAGACATTGCACACAAAGCACTAAGCATGATGCCTGGAAAGTAATAAAAACAAATCTTAGCGATCAAGCAGAGGCCTTCGGCAGGAACATGTCCACACCATCAGCAGCAGGAGGGACAGTGAATACTGCGTCAGGGAAAATAACCAAACATTTGTCCATGAGGAGCTTCAGCATTGGAAAGTCAGCCATTTCACTGGGTTGTGTTTGATGTCAATGGGTTGAAGTCAAAGCCTTAACTCTGTGCTTCTGTGCTTCCTAGGTCTCATGGGAGCCTGTACACTCACTTGTCAGTGGTCGTTCTCTTTTGCCCAGCACCTATAAATATGAGAGTAACATGCTGAATTGTTTTACTTTTGTGCTACAGAGTCCTAAGTACCTTTGAGTCTTTTGGAGATTCACTTGTTTTGGATCTGAAATGTAAAATGAAATAGCTCTCTGACCAGGGCTGAGCACGGTTTTTCAGTTGGGATAGTAAAACGAGAAATCTTTCTGAACACTTTCCAAGGAGTCCCCTATAAGAGCAAGGGGTAGGAAGAAAGGGGTCTTCAGTTCTTGCCAAATCAAGGACATGATTTTCTGTATAGGGCTCAGAATGTATTGTGTGTTGTCTTGCTTCAATGTCAGATGAGTGTCGAGAGCTTCGGGAAGGTCTGCTTTTTAAAAACACCACTATGTTTTCGGAGCAGCTAATTGTCTTTTGTCAGTCCCCTTTTCTTTCTGCTCCTGCCATCTGTCCAAGTCCCGTTTGGATTTATTAGTGATTGCTTACAAAGTATCAGGAACTCCCTGCTGAGAACAGTGAAGCCCTTGCCCAGTGGGCAGGTCTCGGATTTCCCTGGAACTGTAAAAAATAACCACTCTCACTCATTTTTTTCTCTGCATACCCCTCTCAGTGGACCACTTTCCTCACATTAACTTAATCAAGATGTTAGTAAAATAAACGGTGTGCTGCCATCACACTGAAACTTCTTGTCTCTTTTCAGTGTTTGGAAAGGAAATTGAGAGTTGCTATTGATAATAAAGATGAAGCATATCTTTACTCATGGCCAATTACACACAGTCCTGATCATTGGATTTTTAGTGGGTGGACAGCTCTGTACAATGTGTCATCAAGTCTGTGTCGCCCCAGTTACAAAACACTCCATTGTTTTCTATATCAAGGGGGAAAAAATTATGAGATACCATGGATTTTAAGATACATCCCAATTTCAGATGTGTTCAAATGTGGGGAAAATATATGTATCTTATAGCAGATGGAATACAGTGAGAATTAATTAAAATGGAAAGCCCTAGTCCGGGAGTGGTGGCTCACACCTATAATCTCAGCATTTTGAGAGGCCGAGGCGGGAGGATTGCTTGAGCCCAGTAGTGTGAGACTAGCCTGGGCAATATAGTGAGGCCTTGTCTCTACAAATAATTGAAAAATTAGCCAGGCATGGTGGCATGCGCCTATGGTCCCAGCTACTTGGAAGGCTGAGGCAGGAGGCTCGGTTAAGCCTGGGTAGTTGAGGCTGCAGTGAACTGTGATTGAGCCACTGCACTCCAGCCTGTGTGAGAGAGTAAAACCCCATCTCAAAAAAAAAAAAAAAAAAAAGAAAAACAGTAAAATGGAAAGCCCTCCTGGTTATCACCTGTTCCTCTCCTGGCATTCCCCCAGTCCTCAACACAGCTAATTGACAGAACGGTGAGATTTGTGGGTATGTATGAGATGTGCCTCTGCCTTAGGGCTGAATGCGTAACTCAGTCCCATGTGTTGTATACTCTGTGTATGCATGAAGTTGTGGAACTGAGTCAAAACCAAGAAGGGTGGTGGGAGGTCCTCTGAACTAAAATTTACACAATCGAAGTTTCTGAAAACAGAACTTAGGAATTTTCTTTGGGTTACATTGATAAGATTCTTGTTACCTTTGGAAGGCATGATCAAAGAGGGACATCCAAGGCTCTACATGCCCCTCGCTGACCTGGCCCATTTGTAATGGCTCAATACTGAAGAGAAGATCCCAGTTCCTCTAAGTTAATGCCTCTGCTTATCCATTTTCTAGTGACCACAGGCCTCAGATCCATGGGGAATCCGTTTCCTCCCCTACCCTAAAAGGCAGCATATTAAATGTTATTGATAATTTCAGTGTACTCAGGATTCTACCTAATTATTACTCTTCATAATCTGAATGACTTCTAACCAACTGTGTGTCTCCAGCCCTTCTTAATGCTGTAAAAATTTTAAGTAGGGGGATTATGGTATTTATTTTCCTGGTAAAGATAAGTGCTCACACTTTAGGAAAAGCTATTTCCCAGCCAGGTAAAGTGACAAAAGAATTGATTGAAAAGTTTCTTCTTTATATTAGCGGCATTTTCCCTTATATTTACACTGCTTTCTTTCTTTTTCAGTTTTTGGGAATAACATTTCTTGGAATTGGACTGTGGGCATGGAATGAAAAAGTAAGTTGAATATCATGACAATGCACACATCGTGGTTGTTAGAGGCTGCACATCATATTATGTATTATCCCCCTTTCTCTTTGACAACCACAGAGTATAAACATGGCTCTTTAACAAGAAAAAGTGTTGGTGGAAGATTAATGTCATACTCTCAAAGACACTTTAGGAATTGTGCCTAAATTGATGACTGCATCAAAATAATTACTGAAGTAACAATACACGTGCTCAACAGAGAATATACCTTGGAATTTGATCAGTTAGCCAAAGATCGATGTTCCTATGGGATATTTTCTCACTCAGGCACAAGAATTCCAGTAATGATTATAAATATCACTAAACCACCTGTAGCCTTTTTTTCTCTTCTGCTTTTTTTCTTCAACTCTTTGGAAGATAACTCAAGATAAAAACGATTTTTTTTAGTGTGTTATGTGGTAAACAACTATTAGCATGTGGATTGAAGGAAGTGGGATATAACTTCATGTTTGAGTATCAAATACACTCATCATTAATGTAAATAATGGGAATGTTTGGCTGCTGGTGGCAAGTATTAAGAAATATTCAGTTTATGATCAAATACAGTATAATAAAAGGAAAATCTGGAAATACAGAGTAATCTATGTGACAGTGAAGATACAATGTTCTGGGCAGTTTCTGCTCTAAGCAACGCACTCATGCAGACACCCCCTGTGTCCACACCTCTCCTTCCCATCGCACCTTCTAATTTTTCTCTACAGCTCCCCCTACTGAGGCCACCAGTGGAATTCAACAGTGAATATAAACACCCGCCCCCTCCTCCCAGCTTTTTTCCTTCCTTCTTTGCAAGTGAAATCACCTGCAGCATTTCATCTATCCTTGTATCTGGCTATACACAAAAGCTTTATTATCTCCCACGTAAGGACAAGGGGATGTATAGAATGGTTAAAAGCTGCCATAAACTAAAATCTAGCTTAAAATTTCCCAGAAGACCATTCTTTGATCCCGTAGGTGTTTCACCCTCTAGCCTGACCCTGGCCTGAAGCTGAGAGTTCCTTTGAAGTGGTAAATGCATTAAGAAAGGAGAGAAAAACTGGGAAGGTCCAGTCAACAAAAGCCCCTCAGAGGCCAGTAGGCATTTCCACAACTAAAACAATGTTCAGACAGACCATATAAAACAAAACTCAAAGCAAATCCTGAGTTTTGCAAATGAACCATCCTGTATTTATTTACAAAATTCTTCTACAGAATGTAAAATGTTTTATGGAAAACAAACTACTTTTTAGCAACAAGAGTAACTGAGGCTACCTGGAGTTTTGAGGCAGGGCAGTGATTATGTATGAGGGGAGACAAATTAAGTTCCCAAAACAGAGATAATTTCATCTCTAGAAACTTTTACATTGAATATCGGTTGATCTTGTCTTGGATTATGGTTAACTTTTGCCTCAAGCCTATTGTGAACTTGGAAATTTGTGGAATCTGGGAAGTTGGTTAGATGCCAGATAACACAGCTTTTTATAACTCCTTTAATAAGAGTCCATTTCTATCTGCTTTGAAAAAATGCTGGAAGGCATTAAATGAACTAATTATCTGTTCTAGCAATAAACAGCAGTTGGTAATTTTGAAGTTTTTTAATTTTCTCTTTATGAAATATAATTATCTTTTTGTTTCATCAGTTGCCTCAAATGTCTCTTCTCTGATAAAATCACAAACTTCTAAAACTGGCAGTGTCATACAAATATCAGAGCAAGGGGTTGATGCGGTCTTTAGGGAGGGATGAAATAGCAGTTCCTTTTTTGTAAGGGCCACCATCAAGATTTCTCTTGAGATCCGAAGTTAACCTGGCCAAGGTCACCCAGCTCCATGTAGCAGAACTCCATAAGCAGGGAACAAATAGAGGCAGCAGAGGGTGAAGCGGGTGTTAGCCGTGCACCAGCCCAGTTTGGTGAGTGCTGGCCATGTGTCTGGGGCCTGAGTGTGGGGAATACGACAATGAGGGATGCAGAGTCCATGCCTCATGGAGCTTGCATTCTGGTGGGTCACCAATGAGAAGCAGTTACTGCCCAAGTATGTTTGTCCAGATACTGGTAAGTTCTGGCAGGAAACATCAAGTTAGAGAGTGGTGGGAAAAGGAGTCTCTTTTAGATGAAGTAGTTGCCAACAGCCTCTCTAAGGAGGTGGCATGGGAGCAGAGACCTGGATGAAGGAAGAAGGATCTGCAGGGTATGGGGGAAGAACATTCTAGGAAGAGGGAAGAGCAAGTGCAGTGGCCCTGAGGCAGGGACTTTGGTGACTCCAGGGAACAACAAGAAGGCCAGTAGGCCTAGAAGGGAGAAAGCAAGGACAAGAAGAGGTGGGTTGTGTTGCCAGGTAGAGGCCAGACTGGGCAGAGTCCTGCAAGAAGTTTGGATATATTCTAGGTACAAGGGGAAGCCACTGGAGCATTTTGAAAAGTCTAATATGACTTTTTTTTTAAGATCACTCTGGTTGCTGGGTGGGAAAAGAGCACAGCTTTGTGGCTTTGCTATGGACTGAATATTTGTGTCTCCCCACCCTGCCAAATTCATATGCTGAGGCCCTCATCCCCAATGTAATGATATTTGGAGGTGAAGCTTTGGCGGGGAGGTAATTAGGTCATGAGGGCAGAGCCATCATGAATAGGGTTATTAATGCCCTTCTGATAACAGAAGAGACAAGAGAGATTATTTCTCTGTCTGCCAGGTAAGGACATAGCCAGGAAGAAAGCCCTCACTGGACACCAAATCTTGGCGCCTTGATCATGGACTTCCCAGCATCCAGAACTATGAGAAGTAGATGTTTGTTGTTTAAGTCACCCAGTTTATGATCAGTGTTATACAGCCGACTAAGACAGGGGTAAACAGACCTGAGTTCAAATACTGGCTCCTCCAGTATTTGACATGTGTGGAATACACACATCTCATCTGTGTGATGTTGGCCAACTGAGTTAACTTCTCTGAGATGCCATTTCCTTGTTTGGCAATAGGTATACTGTTCTCACCTTATAGAATTGTTGTGAAGATTAAATGAGACCTCCCTCAGCACAGTGTCTGCTCTAAGGCAGATGCCCACTGGAGACATGGCTCCCTCCCCTGGACACATGACCATAGGCTGTCCACTCTTAATATGGGGCAAGAGCACAAAGGTAGTTTTGAAAGGCAGCCTCAAATTTTAGGAGAGTTTCAGGCTCCAATCCATGGACCAGAGAATTGGGTTTGTTTTGTGGTCTCTTGAGGAGGATGTGAAGTGTGTTGATCTCCTTGGTAACTGCAGAGACTGCTCTCTCAAAGCCCTTTGGGTTAATTTCTGAGTTCGGCCAGGCCTCTGCTGGAGTAAGTTTTCAAGGTGAACCCCAGCCTGGTAGACAGTGTGGTGAACACTGCACCTGCTGAGCTGACACCATCAGCCCATGAATCAGTACATCCCCTAGACCCAGATGTGGCGACATTTACTTGTAAGAGGCCTGGAGGGTAAATCCCCAAACTGGATCATAGCTGGAAGGATGAGATTTCCACTGGAAGAAACACATTTTCTTAGCAGATAGGACTTTCAGCATATTCATGTGAAGTACAGAAGCATTGAAAGCAAAAATGATTACCCCATACTTAATATCAGTCTGAGTTTTAAACCTAGGGCTAATATTGCAGTTCAACATTAGACATAATAATTTAAAGAATTCATTTTGTCTGAGTTTTAAATCAACTGTAAAAATGCAAAGGATGAGTGTCTCCAAGGGAAGCTGATTTATGTGCAATTGTTCAGAGATCATAGGATCTGCTGTTTGGAAGGAACATTAACAATTATGTGACATGAATCACCTCCACAACACCCTTGACAACATCCAGTGACAGTCAACTCATTCATTCAGATAACATTTATTGAGCACATAGCATGGGCAGGGCTTGTGCTGAATTCTAGGGAAATGTGGATGAAGTGACCTAGTTTCAGTCTTCATGGAGTTTATCCAGTTGTAGGAAGGGTGTGTGCATATACCTAAAATAATACACTGCAATAAATGCTACTTAGGGGTGTATATATGTTTAATGGTTCCCACAGCAAAGTGCTCAGCATTTCTGTCTCTTTAGGTTGCCCTTCCTGTTGGAAAGACCTTCATTCCACCGAATTAGAATCATGTCCCACTAGTTTTCACTCATTGATTCTGGATCTACCCTGTTGGATCCCACAGAATAAGTCTTTCCACATGTTAGCCCGGGAGGTATGTCAGGGTGAGGGCCTGGTTCCTTCTGAGTTTCCAGGCTAAACATCTGCTTCTCTCTAGGTGGTCCTCACAGGATGTGGGCTGGAGCCCCTTGTCCATTTTGTTGGTGCTCATCTGGCCCCGCTCTGGTGTCTTTTCTGCACCATGGAGAGGAAGCTTTAGGGGCTGTAGAGAGTGTGGCTGGATTGCGTCCTTTCTCCCCTCATCAATCTAGCTTGGGATCCACTGTAGATCACGGTGTCTGCAGCTCACTGAGAGTCCCAAGTAGGTTGCAGACCCAACTGGTTACCCCATCCACCTCACCTATGGCTGATTTTCATAGGCAGTTGCAGGATTCCACAATGACACAGTGATATTTCAGCCCACCTGTCCACCTGCTGAGATCACTCCAGAGCCTCTATCTAGCATCTTCCCCATTCCGCCCAGCTTGATTTCAGCTATACATTTTGATCAACCTCCTCCCTCTATTCCTTCTGCTAAGGCAGACTGTCCTTTTGCCCCACCATGCCACCTGGGAAAATTCTGATTCAGTAGGTCCAGGATAGACACTGCGATGCTCTATTTTAACAGGCCTACTAGATTGTTGTGACTGCAGTCAAGTTTAGTTATCATTGATAAAAGCCAGTGACATGCTGTTGAGCAGGCCAAGGACAGAGCCCAATGACATGTCACTAGAAATTTCCTTTGGGGTTGACACTCATTCACTTATGTGTGCCCTTGGGTGTCATCAGTCAAGGAGTTTCTCATCCATCTACTTGTCATTACATCAGACTATATTTCTGCATCTTGTCTTTGTAGATAGATGGTATCTTTCACTTTTTCACTGGTTAACTGGCCTAGGCACTTAACTGAACCTAGCACTTTCTTATTGAACCCATGCTGGGTCCTGAAGCACATCATTTTCTCATCCAGGTACTTGGGAACCTTTATCAGCAAAGCAAGGACTAAGGCATAATACATCACTCCTCAATTCGAGAAACGTTTTCCTCACTTGGCTTCCAGGATATCACACTCTCCTGGTTTCCATACCTCACAGGTGGTGCCTTCTCACATGTGTTTGCTAGTTCCACCTCATTTCCCTGACCTCTAAATTTTGGAGTGCCCAAGGCTCAGTCTGAGCTTTGACTCGTCTTAAGAAATCTCATCTAGACTTGGGGCTTTACATGCCATCTGTCACTGATGACTTCCAAATGAATATTTTTGCTTCCAACCTCATCTGAATTCTAGACTTGCATAGCCAGCATCCACACTGAAATGCCTGGTAGGCTTCTGAAACTTAACACATTCAAAACAACACAAGTGATTCTCATGCCCTCCCAACCTGCTCTTCCCAATTGCGGTAAAGAAACAACTCCACTCTTCTACTTGCTCATTCCTGACACTCTGCTTTCTTTTCTCCTCATACCATATTCAGCCCATCAGCAAATACTGTCAGCTCTACTTTGAAACTATATTGAAAATCCGATTTCTTCCACCACCTCCGCTGTTATACCCTGTTCTAAGTGGCCACCACATCTTGCCTGCATTTGTGCAGAAGCCTCCAATTATCTCCCTGCCTCTGCTCTTGCACCCTGACCCTCACCCTAGGGCTGTCTCTGTGCAGCAGCTGGAGTGATCCTTTGGAAATGTAAGACAGATCCTTTTACTTCTCTGCTTCTAGCCCTCCAGTGAGCTTATCTTCTCACTCAAAGCCATATATGGTGCCCATGGCCTGTGTGACATTTGCTTTCATACTGTGTGCTTCCTCACTGTGTCCTATGGTCCTACTTATCAACTTGCTATTCCTCCCGCATCCCAAACATACCCCCACAACCCCAGGGCCTTTGCACTTGCCCCTGACTGGCATGCTCTTCCCCAGAAAACCACATGAGTGCTATCTTCTACTTCCTGGTTTCTTCTCAAATGTCACCTTTGACCTAGCCCTTTCTTCCCCTTCCTTGTGTTTTTCCTTCTCATGCGACTCATCACTTAGACGCTAACAAGTTTATTGCCTGGACTTTTTATTTATTACCACACTCTAGTACCTAGAATGTTAGATGGCACATAGCAAGTATTCAAGAGGTATTGCTTATGAAAGAATGAATGAGCAAATGAGCAATGACAGCATTCTTTAAAACACTGGCTATGTCATGGAGTTATAGAAGTCAGTACTTGCCTCACATCTCCAGTAAGCATACTATATTAGCGATTCTTACAGAATAAAAGGAGGTAAATACGTGTGGTTTCTGAAGTCTGATTTGAGAATAATACGGGGTTAGAAACAAAATATATATATTGTCTATATCAGAAAAGAAGAAAATTACTTCTCTCGTAAAAGTGGAAATCTATATATGATTATCTCATTTCATGGAAAAATTAGGGATGCCATTCCTTTTCCGTTTTGCTCAACTCTTATGCTTATTACTTAGTTCTTAAGTGGGAGCAAGAGGGAGAGTGATCACTCACAATTAGAAATAAAGGTATTGGGGCGAGGGAGGACTCAGCTTTTCAGAGGAGGGAAAATGCCTTTCCCTGGTCCTTAGTGTGAATTGAATGTTCCCATTCTGCCCCTGCCTCCCTAATACAGCACCTAGCCCACTAAGCAGAGTGGATACCTACTCCTGGCTTGTCTGGCCTGGAAACTCCTTGAGGACAGGAGCCTGTCTTTGCCCTTTATTCTCAGTTCCTACCACAATGCCTCCTACACAATGGATGCCCAGAAGCTGTTTGTGACTAAGCCAATGAGAACATGCAAAAAGAGCTTTACACGTTGTAAAATGCTACACAGGAAAAAAATACCACTTTTTATAAAGGAGTTGCATTTGCACTTCCCTGACTTCTGGATCCCCTCAAGTTAACTTTAAGAGAATGACATTCTATTTCATAGGTGGGGAAACCAAGGCACAGAGATGTCAAACTGGAAGTCTGGCCCTCTCCCTCCCAGTCCTCTGGCCAGTCCCCTGTCATCCTCCATTGCACTCACTACGCTGGGTTCTCTAGGGGTGATTGGAAGGAAAGAACTGGTGCCCAGTGCTGATCCCAGTAGGGAGAAGGGGGAATTAGAGGAGCTCTAGCCCCCATATTGCTTTTCTCCTTGGCTTTGCTGTAGATGATGTTTCTTTTTCCTGGAGGGTTTTTCCCAGCCCACTGTCTGTGATTTTAGGTCTCAATGCAGAACACTCCAGTTCTTCCTGTCACAATTATACAGGAGACTCACCTTGGAAAACCTTTCCCTATTTGCCGAGGAAGGAAAATTCAGTGAGATTCATTGATTCAGGAATGTCATAGCAGTACAGGCCAGTTTCTGTTGCCTGAGGGAGGCAATAGAGGAAAATGGTTACTCAGATGACTTGAGCAGAAAAAAATAGATTTCTTAACATTGAAACTTCTTTAAGGAGACATTACTGAGATGCTGAAAATACTTCTATGAAGACTTGGTTTTATTGACTGAAAGTAGATTGTGATTCTTTTCCTCAATTATCCCAATGATTCCCTCAAGTTCTCTGTTGTATCTAAAGAGCTGGAAACCGGCCGGGCGCGGTGGCTCACACCTGTAATCCCAGCACTTTGGGAGGCCGAGGCGAGCAGATCACGAGGTCAGGAGATCGAAACCATGCTGGCTAACACGGTGAAACCCCATCTCTACTAAAAATACAAAAAATCAGCCAGGCATGGTGGCAGGCGCCTGTAGTCCCAGCTACTTGGGAGGCTGAGGCAGGAGAATGGTATGAACCCAGGAGGCGGAGCTTGCAGTGAGCCCAGATCACGCCACTGCACTCCAGCCTGGGCAGCAGAGTGAGACTCCATCTCAAAAAAAAAAAAAAAAAAAAAGAGCTGGAAACCAAACAGCTCATGGTCAGTACCTGGAAGCTATGTGATCTGATGTGCTCTAATCAGTAATGTTTCACACACACATGAAGTATATGGGAAGAAAATTTAATGTTTCTCTATGTATTCCCCTTTAAACTGTATTCAGTGGGGTTTCTTAGGGATGAAAATTTAGTTGGGTCAAAAATTCAATGACTTTGTTGTTCACTCTCAGATATCACAGTCCTTCTCTCACTTTGAGGCACAGATCCAGGCCCAGTGATTAGACAGGGCTGGATAATAAAACTGCAAACCTAACTTTGCATTAAAATGTTCTCCCTGCCGAGCCCATCAGCCTTGGCCCCTGAGGAGGGAAGGGAACATGGGCCCTTGCCCTCTGCATCCTCCTTCTGGCCCCTGGCCCTGCCCAGATGCCTCTGCCCACCGCCTGCCCGGGCAGAAGCTGGGGTGGGCTGTGCTCTCTGGGCCTGGTGGAAGTTAAAGAGGAGAATATCCTGGTCTTTGTGAAGCTCCCCTGCTGAGTCCCTGTGCCTAGTGATTTCCTTGAGCTTGGTAGCCATCTCAATTCCAGGTGACCACCTGGCAGCCCTGCTCATCCCTGGCCACCTTCCTCAGCCAGTGCACCTCTGAGCTCTGCCCTCTGAGGTCACTTCTTCACACGCCTGCAGGCAGCCCTATCTGACAGCGTCCAGGATGACCTCAGGCCACCTCTTCCGTGCTGTCCCCGTGTTTTCTCCAGGACATACTCATCTGGGAGCGAGGTCAGTGCCCCCAGAACAGCCCATTGCCTGTCCTCACCTACTTCTGATACCAGAGCAGCCAGCCGGCCCTTCTCTCTCTAGGTTGCAAGGGCAGGAGGCAGCCCACAGCCCCTTCCTAGGCAGAGTCGGGCCCTAATGGCTGTGCGGGTCAAGTGCAGAGAACCACTTCAGAGCTCCCGGGAGGTGCCCTTGGAACTCCTCCTAAGGTTTAGGGTGAGAAAGAGGCTATCCACACTCCACCCCCAGGCCCTGGGCAGTGGTGTCACAGCACAGCAACTGCTTTCTCCAGAGAAACCTTGCCTCTCAGTCCTCCTCTGACCCCTTTTGTCCCTGCCAGATTTCACCGAGGCGCACAAAAGAAAGATGTCCTTTGTCGGCGGTGGTGGAGGTGGGGTGTGGTTGGGAGGTCTTGTCTCCTACTCACTTTGGTTTTCAGATAGTGATCAGTGAAATCAGAGGCAAGAATGTTATAACATATTGTGTATATTTTTCTTAAAATTTTAGAAACATATGTATGATGTTACGTTGGAAATAAGAATCCTCCTGCCAGCTGCTACCCCAACTTCCAGCAATAGATCACAGGGAGTGGTGTGAACCCTGCTCTTGGGTCAGGCGGCCCAGGCTCAGAACCCTGCTCTGTCACTTCCTGACCTGGGCTACCTGGGCATGTTAGTTCCTCTCTGTGTCTGTCTCCTCACATGGGTAAGAGTGCCTGCCTGGCTGGTTTCTGGTGAGGGTGAAGTAGTCCAGGTAGCCCAGTGCCTGGCTGGAGTCACTGCTGAGAAGTGTAGTTCTTTTGGTGCTGCTTTTATTCAGGCCTTCAGCAGATCTCACCCGGATCACCCCAGAGCCTGCTAGCTGCTTCCACAGCACGTGACTGCCACCTGAGCGGGCTTCTAAATTCAGAAATGGCCTGGAGCTTCCTCTGCTCCAAATGCCCTCAGATACAAACCCAGCCTCGCCCAACCAGCCTCTTCATCTCTTCTCACCGCTTGTCACATAGAGGCCCCACTGGGCCAGATCCTGTCGCTTTGTCTGCACTCTTACTGATGGGACCTTCTGCCCCTCCCCATGCACCCCCATAACACCCACTGCTTGTGCCTCTGCTCCATGCACTCTGTTCTTAACCGTCTCCCCTCTAGACTCAGCTCCTGAGGGTGTCACTGGATGTTTTGCTAGAAATAACCCTTGACTGACATAATACCTGGCAACTCACAGGTGATCCTCATGAAAGTATTTGCTCAATAAATGAACGAGTCTCATATTTTTGAGGTCCCAGAATAGAGGGTCACCTGCCGCTAGTCCAGACTTCACCTTTTTTCACTTGAGTTTAGGGGCACCATGATCAGAGCCTGTTTTAGCTCAGGCTGCTGTAACAAAATACTATAGACTGGGTGGCTTAAATAACAAACATTTCTCTCTCACAGTTCGCCAGGCTGGGAAGTCCAAGATCAAGGTGGTGACAGATTCAGTTCCTGGCGAGGGCCCTCGGTTTGCAGCCGCCTTTTTGCTGTGTGCTGGCATGGCAGAGTGAGAGAGGGAGGGCCCTGGTCTCTTCCTTTTCTTTTTTTTTTTTTTTTTTTGAGATGGAGTCTCTCTGTGTCACCCAAGCTGGAGTGCAGTGGCACGATCTCGGCTCACTGCAACCTCCGCCTCCTGGATTCAAGCAGTTCTCCTGCTCAGCCTTCCGAGTAGCTGGGACTACAAGGCGCACGCCTGGCTGATTTTTGTATTTTTAGTAGAGACGGGGTTTCACTGTGTTGGCCAGGCTGGTCTCAAACTCCTGACCTCATGATCTGCCCGCCTCAGTCTCCCAAAGTGCTGGGATTACAGGTGTGAGCCACTGTGCCCAGCCTCTTCCTTTTCTTATAAAGACACTAATCCCATCATGGGGGTCCCACCCTCATGACATCTTCCAAACCTAATTACCTCCCAAAGGCCCCACCTCAAAATACTACCACACGGGGGCTTAGGGTATCAGAATGTGAATTTGGGGGAGTCACGAACATTTAGTCCATACCAGAACCTCTATTAAATCTTTCAGCTTAAACTTTACACCTAGGCTGGAATGTTTCTAGGTATGTCTCCCGTCTTCTGAATGTAAATGAAAATATCTGGGAATGGCTGAGAACATGGGTGATTTCTGAAAGGCTGCGCTTTTGCATGTGGCTGTTTCCACGCTGATGGGGCAGTGGCTCTCACCAGAGTGTGTAGAGATGGTAGTTTCCCTGCCTGTGAGCAGTGCCACCTGATGGAACTTGGTACCGCTGGCCTCCCCAGCAGCTACTTGATTGCAGGATTGTATGGAGACCTAAAAGATGACTACCCCTCCTTCTCCTCTTCTCCTCAAAGGCAGGTCATGGCCACTTTTTAATCTGCAAAAAAAGGATTACTTGAGTTTCACTAATGACCTTTTTTGACAAGAAAAAATGGGAAGGAGCCATGCACCTTTGAAGCAGCTAGTCGTCTTTTATCCTTGTATCTCTTTGCCAGGCATGAACTAAGCTGCTCTTGCTCCCTTACATCTCCCTGGACTGTTCAGGGCCTGACAGGCTTTCTTCTCATTCCTAGTCGTCACTCTGGCCTCTGCAGCAGTTCCTTAGATAGATGGATGTTTGGAGTTTTACAGAGTGGCGGAGCATCTTTGACAAGTTTTTATAGGGGCAGGTTCCTCTGTGGCCCTGTGGTCTCTATTTGTTCTTACTGTGCATACTGTTTAGAACCACATTTCTAACTCTCCAGGATCACCCCTCGCTGAGTAGCTGTATTTTCTTTGAAATGTCATTCCTCGTTACCCTTTCTCACTAGGGAAATCCTTCTCTATCTCTTACTCTAGGAAAACTGTTGTCAGTAGGATCTGGTTTATGGAGGGGTTGGTGAATCAAGAGCTAGTCTCATAAATCTCAAAGGGGTCCATCTGGCCCAGCTTTGGGTACACATTTCATAGGCCTGTCTCTCTCTCTTTCTTATCCAGCAGTTGGAAGGAATGTGCTTGTATATGCAAAAGCAGAAGAGTCCCAGACCTTGGGGTTTATTAATGCTATTTTTGTATTTCTTTTCTGTGTGGGTTGCGAGAAGAAGCTTGCCAGGTGGCACACAGAGGCTCCTCTGTGCTGGTGATGAAAAAAAAAAACACAGACACTCCTGAAGTTTATTGGTGTGGAACCCTTCTGGAGTTTTGTTTGCCTTTTCGTTTCTGCATGTGCATAGAAACCTCTTTCAAGAAGAAATAGTTACTCAGAACATATTCCTTTATTGCAGAAGCATGGGGAAGAAGCTGCTTAAATTCCAGAGACAGCTGAATGAATAAGGCACTAATGAGGAGAGGGAAGGTTAGCTGGTTTGTCCTTTTTTTTTTTTTTTTTTTTGAGACGGAGGCTCTCTCTGTCTCCCGGGCTGTAGTGCAGTTTCGCAGTCTCAGCTCACTGGCGTGGGCAAGGTCCGCCTCCCGGGTTCATGCCATTCTCCTGCCTCAGCCTCCCGAGTAGCTGGGACTACTCCCACCACCACACCTGGCTAATTTTTTGTATTTTTAGTAGAGACAGGATTTCACCACGTTAGCCAGGATGGTCTCGATCTCCTGACCTCTTGATCCACCCGCCTCGGCCTCCCAGAGTGCTGGGATTACAGGCATGAGCCACTGCGCCTGGCCGGTTGGCTGGTTTTTCACATTCTTACTGAGACATACTGTGTTCATCAAACCACTGAACAGCCAGATCTAACGGGGATAGAACATAGTTCAGCCACTGGAAGGTCACTCCAGAGTGGTGACTGACAACCAGTGTGCCAGTCAGCACCCCAGCAACAGAGGTATCCTTGCTCCTGGTTCCATGTGCCACCATCGTGGCAGCACCACTGCTGTCTTACCGCAGTCACTGACTCCTCCCTGCTTTCTTCTCTGCTGCACCACTTCTCAGTACCCTAAGCTTCCACCACTCATGGCTTCTGCCTACTCCTGGCTTCAGCTTCCTCATGGCCTCCCTCTTCTGCCTTTTCTCTCCATGTCTTAGATTATTTCCAATTCCCCCCAAAAGAAGATCTTATTAACAAGTTAGTGACTGTCACCTCTGTTAGGCATGATCATCAACTGTGGCCATGGCTTTCCTTAGAGGGGGTCAGGCAGGGCAAGTACCCAGAGCAAAACAGTTTCTTCTCCAGTGCAGTTGGGTTAGACACTCCTCCTGGGTGCCTCTACAGTGTCTGGTGTCTTCTTCTTGTTCTAATAATTATATTATTAATATAATAGTGATAACAGTGATTATGGCAATATACTTTTATTTAATTCTTATTATATTCGAAGCACTTCACATCGTGTTTGGATTTACTTGGATTGTTTCCATCATCCTCATAATAACCTTAGGACATAGAGTACCATTTTCACAGATACAGAAATTGAGGCTTAGGCAGATGAGGTAATCTGCCTAAGATGACACAGGTAGTAAGTGCGATCTTAGGCAGGTTACTTCATCTGCCTAAGCCTCAATTTGGCTTAGCATTGGGATTCAAGACAAGCTAGTCTGTATTAGTGTCTGTCTGTTTGTCTGTCTCCCCCATTGTCCAGGCTACCCCACTTTCTGAGTTTTGGATTTACTTGGATCCCAGGGGATATTGGAGGTGAGCCTCATTGGCTTAAGTACAGTTCAGGATGGTTTGTTCAGGAGGAGGTTGATTCTGGAATGCTCTCTCTGCCCCACTCTAGAGCAGGCTAGTCTAAGTGGCTGGAATATCAGAGTCTCCCTTGTACCACGATGGGTGCAAATGGATACATTGTTGCTTGTTGGCTCTCTAAACTTCTGTTACAATCCTATTGCCTCAGACATGGACCACTAATGTGTCTTATTTCTTCTTAGACATATACTGGTCTCTTTGCTAAGTTATGAGAGATGCTGTCTGGTACCTAGTGGATAATGGAAATCTCCTATTGCAGAATCATCTCTTAAAGGCTTCAAGTGGATATGCCAGAGTTAGTTGTCCAAAAGCTAATTTGCAGAATGGCCAATTTGTTGAATATATTTTTTTCTTTCAACTTTTTAAATTGACTGCTATTCATTTTGTCTTTATAGCAGCACTTTATGTTATGGTCAATTTGTTTTTTGCCTCTGCTGCCTGCTGCAACAACAGCTGTAGACCTCAGAGGCAGGAGAAGAGAAGATTAAGGATCCTAAGAAGAATATTGACATAGCATATAGTCTGCATACGAAGAATTCTTATGAATATATTCATTTATATCAGTTCTTACTAATAAAATTTTAATGTATTAATAAGATATATGTAGAGGAATTCTTCCCACATAGCATTCTGAATCGATCATCTTGAATATATTTTTCTCATCACCTGCAGTCTTGGTCTCTGGCTCTCTCTCATTCTGAATCTTTCTGTTTCTGCTACTACTGTTCAGAATCTCACTTTCATATGTCAACTAAAACGGATGGAAATAACTGTGTGTGGCCCGTTACTCTGCTTCTCACTCATTTATCCTTGTTCCAGTTAGGTTCAGCTTCATGGGATATTTTCTGATGTTATCTGCGAAGTCTAGTACCCTTGACATCTTTAGCCCCCAGGGCTTGCTATGCTTGTAGGATTCAGGTAGGAGAAGGATGAGAACTTCCTATGGAATATAGATGCCAAGCTCTGTGTGTGCACTTCTGGCATAAACAGGTACAGAAGAGAGTAGTCAAATAACATTTTGTATTTATTTACTTATTTATGTTTTATTACTTTTTGAGATGTGATTTCACTCTGTTGCCCAGGCTGGAGTGCAGTGATGTGATCATGGCTCACTGCAGCCTCCAACTCGTGGGCTCAAGTGATCTTTCTGCCTCAGCCTCCCAAGTAGCTAGGACTACAGGCACACACCAGTGTACCTGACTTATGTTTAAATTTTTTCTAGAGATGGGGTCTTGTTTTATTGCCCAGGCTGGTCTCAACTTCTGGCTTCAGGCAATCCCCCTACCTCGGCCTCCCAATGTATTGATTTTTTTCCGTGTTTGAGGTTTTAAAAGTTGGTATTTAAACTCAAGGGCTGAACATTCAAGTTTACATGCAGAATTGGAGGTTAAACCATGTTATGCATTATTTGTCAGTAACATAGACAAATCACCTAAAAGTTCCATAAGAGTTCCACAGAACTGCTCATTTCATTGATGATGCTGAATTCATAGTGAGTTAACATGAATGAGACTGTTTACACCGGCTTAATTACTACGTTGACTTGAAATATCAGCCAGCTGGGGAAAATGACCATTTAAAACCTGGCACATCCCTTTGCTCCCTATACCCACATTTTTTCCCAGCTTCGACCACGTGCGTGTGTCTGTGTGTCTATGTGCATGTCTGTGTGTGCGTTTACGTGCATGGAGGACTGAAGCATAGTGTATTCAAAGCTTTTGTGTTGTGCAGGACTTCGCAGATGCAAATGAAGACCCAAAGAGAACCAGCATAAGCAATCAAGGGAGTGTATCTAAGGCTCCTGGAGTGACACATAGAGCTCTAGGGCAGGCCTCAGGAACCACTGGACTGGGGATTTATAATGCTGTCTGGATTTTCCCTCCCTACTCTTGTTCTTTGTTTCTTCTTGAGCGCGGTTTTCTGCTTCTCACTGCTGTCTGACTTTCTCCACTTGGTAGGAAATATGACATGCTTCACAAGGCTCTGGAGTTTGGCATTTTAGAGTCTCAGCCACTAGAGAAAGGTGCCTGTTCTAAATCCTGGCACTTTAGGAAGGGAATCCAGGCTTCTCAGCCCTCACCAGGCCAGCAGGATTGTATGAGATCTTGGCAGCTCTGAGGGGTCATGGAGTGAAAGGAGGGGCGAAGGCATCCTTACAAGGAGGAGGTGGTGCTGTTCCCAGAAGAGGCGGGGGCCTCAGGTTCCCAGAAGACTAGGTGTCTGCTGGTGGTGTTCTTGCACATTCCTAAGGATTTACTGTGAATCTGGTGCCTGTTTTAAATTGCTTGGCAGACTTAACTGTAATCTTAGATTTTTTTTCTTACAGCTTCTTGTCAACTACAAGGTTTAATTATAATTACTCTTCAGCAGGCATATACTAGCACTTCTTACTCATCTGTCAAATTGAGCTGAATGAAATTAAAAAGTCCAGAAAGAGACCCCATCTTTAGGACAACAGAAGACTGAACAGTCAACTCCCTATCATTTTTGTAATCCAAATCACTGTTGTCAGGATTATGTTCCCCCCCACCTTTTTTTTTTTTTTTAGACAGAGTCTTGCTCTGTCACCAGGCTGGAGTGCAGTGGCTCAATCTCAGCTCACTGCAACCTCTGCCTCCTGGGTTCAAGCGATTCTCCTGCCTCAGCCTCTCGAGTAGCTGGGATTACAGGCAGGTACCACCACGTGCAGCTCATTTGTGTATTTTTAGTTGAGACTGGGTTTCACTGTGTTGGCCAGGATGGTCTCGATTTCTTGACCTCATGATCTGTCCGCCTTGGCCTCCCAATCCCTCTGTGTAGTCAAAAGCAATAAAACTGCTGCTCTTCAGTGAATGTTGGGAAATTGTGCACAGATGAAAGAATAAGTCTGTTTTTTTTCTCCTGCTAGGTAAGTAATCCCTAATTTTCCCTAATCCCAAGGGGAAAAATACTGGCCATTGGGCATTGACTTCCACATTCACTTCTTGTGTTTCAAGATTTGAGGTAGTGATGATGGCTAATAATATATTCTTGAAAAATGCCGAGTGGATGTAAAGTGTTCTCACCACAAAAATGATAACTATGTGAGGTAATGCACATGCTAACTAGCCAGATTTAGTCATTCCACTATTTATATATACACGCACCTCAAAACATGGACATGTACAATACATACAATTTTTTTTTTTTCTGAGGCAGAGTCTCGCTTTGTCACCCAGGCTGGAGTGCAGTGGTGCGATATCGGCTCACTGCAAGCTCCGCCTCCCGGGTTCACGCCATTCTTCTGCCTCAGCCTCCCGAGTTGCTGGAACTACAGGCGCGTGCTGCCACGCCCGGCTAATTTTTTGCATTTTTAGTAGAGACGGGGGGTTTCACCATGTTAGCCAGGATGGTCTCGATTTCCTGACCTCGTGATCTGCCCGCCTCGGCCTCCCAAAGTGCTGGGATTACAGGCGTGAGCCATCAAGCCGGGCCAATACATACAATTTTATGTCCATTTCAGTTTTTTAAAATTTTAAAATAATTTTAAATAAGTAGATAAAGGATATATTCTTTTCACCCAGGAAAAAAAAGATTTGAGTTAGTTTTCAACTGATAACTACGTGGGTATATTCTGAATCCATTAAAAATAAAGTTCTTGGTAGTCTTTCCTATGCTTTGTGGGAGATTAGTTCCCCCCAGCACGCTGTAGTATCTGTTTGCAGCTCTATCTTTGCCAGAATTTAGGATTAAATAAGTAGAATCTGCAGTCCAGCTCAGCCCCCCAATGATTGTTGTTTCCGTGGAAACAGTTGAAGGCTCTCAATTAAAACTGCCTCTGAAGGCTGGAGAGAGTAAGTATTAAAATGAGTTTGTCTGAGAAGCCAATTTTTATCCTCCAAATTAAACCCAGAGAGTGCAGATGATCTAGGAATCTCCTGACAGTTGGGATCATACTTCTTTGTCTTTGGGGGAGGGATTATTTTGCTATTTCGGGCATAGGTATGTTTGCTAGCTTGTTGCTTGCTTTGCTGAGTTGCTCAGATCATCGTCTTTGTTACCCACTGAGCTCTTTATGTACAACCATGGATCATGGGCAAGGGTTTGGGAGCAATCTGATCTTTGTTCAGACTTGTGAGCCGCAACTAAAAAGCCCATTAAAAATGGATGAAATCATAGAACGGTCTCAAAGTTGAAAGGAATCCTAAAGGTCATTAAGGCCTAATTTCCCATCCACTTTGGGAATCTTTCCTAGAATGCTGTTGACAAAGGTTCACAGCATCAGCAACCCTGTTGGGGAATCCCGTATTTCTCAGGGCAGCCTTCTTTGGTTCATTGAACAGACTTGGTGGTATTGTTACCGGGGGTCCTTGTTCTTAGAGCTCCCAAGATGGTGGCGGGCCGCTTCCAAGGTGGCGGCAAGCCTCTTGTTCTCTGACCTGGGGTTCTTGGCCTCACGGATTCCAAGGAATGGAATCTTGGGCCATGCATGCGGTGAGTGTTATAGCTCTATCCAGCTCGATTAGGATGAACCCTGGGCACTTAGACCGTGCAGGAACAATGGCGAGCCTCTAGCCCGATTAGGAGTGGCAGTGGGCACCTCGCTGGATCAGGAGCACAGCGGATACCCTGCCGGATCCGGAGGGGTGGAAGTCAGTGGTGGCTTCTACAACGACGGCAATCAGCAGTGGTGGACGGCGAGTGAAAGCTCAGTTCGAACCAGAACAAACACAGACCAGAGAGTGTGCAGTTTGCAAGATTTAATAGAGTGAAAACAGAGCTCCCATACAACGGGAGGGGACCCAAAGGGGTTGCCCACTCCCTGCTTGAATGCCTGAGTTTATATCTCGATCATTGTCCCTCCCCCTGTGCTCTCAGGCGATATATGATTTGACAATTTCTTTACCTCCTGCTTTAGCCTAATTTGTATTTTAGTGAGCCTATTTACTACCTGATTGGTTGGGTGTGAGCTGAGTAGTTACAAGCCCCATGTTTAAAAGTGGGTGCGGTCACCTTTCCCAGCTAGGCTTAGGAATTCTTATTCGGCCTGGGAAATCCAGCTAGTCCTGTCTCTCAGTATTAGAAATGCCTCTTTATGATGGAACTGACATTTCTCTCTGTCAATTCTGCTACTGCTACCTCTTCTTTCTGGTGCCAAGTTAGCTGTGTCTTCTTCTCCCATAATTAAGCTTAAAGTCTTTTAAGAATGTCTTCATGTATCCCCAAAGTCTTCTCTCTCTTCCGGTGGCTGAGAAGGTCCATAACCTGAAAGCTTCAGGTACTAACATCTGTGGTTAAAGGCATTGTCAGAGGAGAGGCTGGTTTCCTAACAACCCTGGGCCTTTAGCACTGTTGCTTGGATTTTTTATTTTAAGTTTATTTTTGTAGAGAAAGGGTCTCGCTATACTGCCCAGGCTGGTCTCAAACTCCTGGCCTCAAGCGATCCTCCCACTTCAGCCTCCCAAAGTGTTGGGATTACAGGTGTGAGCCACTCCACCCAGCCTGTTGCTTGGATTTTGTCCGACTTCTCTGGCAAGTTTTTTCTCAGCATCATTTGTATAGGTGGAGAATTTGGTTTGAGTATTTCTGTTTTCCTTCAACCTTTTCCCCCGGAGTAAATATTCATAGTTCACTGCTTGGAAACCCAAGAAACAAAATTGGATCAAACCTTTGGTCTATGCAGACTTGTGAAGGGTGTGGTTGCCTTCTTTGATGTCACCTCAGAAGTTAATGAATACAACCTCAATCCTAACTGCTTTAATAGCCTTTCAACCATTTGTCTGTGACATTAAACCTTAGACTTTTTAAAATTAGGTTTAAGTTTTACATTATAAGAGTTCTTTATTTCCCCATATACATTCTGTTCTTAATATCCTATTATTGTTCGTAAGTTGACACCCCCCTAAAGGAAGAAACAGACAGAAAAATAGAACAAACGAAATACGCTTCTCCAAATGTTCCTACCTACAACCTTTAAATGGATTAAAACTTAAAACTCCTAAGTTCAGATGTTGGTTAGTGCTGACTGGGAAGTACTGGGAAGCAAGTGTGTGGCCCCTGCTTGGTACTGAAATAGACATTGTGTACTGGTTTCAAAGAAGCGATGGCGTCTGTCACCTTCAGCCCATCACCAAACTGCTCTGAGTTCCATTTTCCTCAAGTATAAAATCAGATGATTGCTTCCTGTTCTTACAGGTTATTGGGAGTGCTTTGAAAACAATTTTTTTTTATTATTAAGGCTTTACAGCAAACTATACTGTGATTCTCTGGAGGTATTTTGATTTGAGAGTACCAAACAACTTCAATAAAATTAAAATATTGGTGATATTGGCTGTTTAAGGCCCATGCACATCCACAGTTTCAAAATAATCTTGTAACATAGGTTCTGGGTGGTATTTAATATGGTATCACACATAAGGGAAGAGGGGATTTCAGTAAAGAAATGTCATTTTTTGTGGAAAAGTGAAATTACTCGAGGTCCGTTTGGTGTTCTTGTGGAAGAAGAATAAGAGTTGAAAGTGAGGAAGTAACCTTTGATTTGTAAATCATTTAAATTTCAACTCGAAGGGGGTAAGAAATACCCCAACAGCAAGCCACAGAACAGCCACCAGAGCAAACCACACAAGGCTTTTGGGATCTCAGCCTAATAAAGGTCTCCCATGGAGCTCAAGAGTAGATCCTGAGGTACGATATTTTCTTGGAAAAAAAAAACTTGTAGGTGTTTGTAGCCGGACCGGGTGCTGTGTTAGTTTTCAGCTTCTAGCTCGATCCTATTTCCTGAGAAATGCCAAGGGCTTTGCAATAGGCATTTGTCTAACTTCTGCGTGAATTGGGTCTTACAGAAGATGACCTCCCCCCTCTCTGGGGGTCAGGGGGTGTGTGTGTTTTTTATACATCTGTCTTTTTTTGTTTGTTTGTTTTTACTGAAGACCTCTTATATTTGCAGACACTGAAACCAAAGGTAACACCACGTCTTCTCCTTACAGGGTCTAATGACAGTTTCTTGGGCTCTTCTTTTCTTTTTTTTTTTTTTTTCTCTACATATAGTTTTCCCAAAAATATGAACACGTTTAGATGTTGGAAAGAAAGCAGTTTCCCTCCCTCCTTCCCTCCATCCCCCCCTCCCTCCCTTCCTCGCTTCCTCCCTTCCTCCCTTTTGTTTCTCTCTTTTCTCTTTCTCTCTCTTTCTCTTTCTTTCTCACTCTTTCTTTCTCTTTCTCTTTCTCTCTCTCTTTCTTTCCTCTCTTAAGTATTAATCACATACCTGATAATCAGATGCCCTCTGAAGGTTTTCTTTGGGAGGGGAAAGGACAAATGCAATAATCTTTACATGTTGGAAAACTGACCCCACATCCCCGTGCCTTGTTGTGTGTTCTTTTCTGCTCCCAGGGAGTTCTGTCCAACATCTCTTCCATCACCGATCTCGGCGGCTTTGACCCAGTTTGGCTCTTCCTTGTGGTGGGAGGAGTGATGTTCATTTTGGGATTTGCAGGGTGCATTGGAGCGCTACGGGAAAACACTTTCCTTCTCAAGTTTGTAAGTATTCCACTCTCTACTCTCAGATTGAGAGCCAAAACTTTACCTTCCATCAGGAGGTCACCCTATCTACAGGCAAGACAGTGAGCTGTACCAAAGGCACTGGCCAAAGTAGGGCCCAGGTCATTATTTTCTTTTGAGAGAGCTCTCTAGCCCTGATTCCCAGTTGTGCCTCCTTAATAAGTACAACACCACCCCCACCACCCCACCATGCCATCCATGGAGGTTTTGTGCATATATATCACAGACTTGGATTCCATTCCCTAAGATATCTTTAGGACTAAGGTAGGTATATATATATATTTTCTTCTAAGTGATTCCTTCCCACCGTTTTAATGCACATAGTAAGTGGGGAGCTGTGCAGGCTGTTGGTTTGGAGAAACCAGGCAAAAGCACAGTGACTGTGGCCTGTCCAGATTAAATCTGTTAAGCAGTAGGTTTTGCTAAATATGGAGAAACAGTAAAAGGTAAAGCTTCTTTGTCCTTAGCTGGTACAAAGTTCTCCTTTGTAATTTTTAGATGTGGTGCGGTTGGCGTGATCACTGTCTGAGTGAATGTTTGTAGAGGAGAGGTTTCACCAGGGGGTTCACTGGTATTTAAAGTTAAAATAGAGAATGAAAAGTGAAAGCCTTTGCGTTGGAGACTCGTTTCAAAGGAGAAGAAAATGGCATGTGCCGTTTATGTATCTTATATAGGGTTGTTGAATGTAGCCAAATGTGCCTGTCAGCATGGAGCTTGGCACTCTGATGGGCGTCTGAATCATAGCTCTCTATACGAAGCATCCATTCCCCTTTCTAAGAACAGAGAAAGGATCCAAAGCACCCACCTTCATTTGCTGAGGAAGGATGGGGATGGTGGAGATTTCTAGAGAACAGTTGTAGTGTAATATTTCCTGTTACCACAGTTATTCCCAACTTTTGTTGACACATCATCATCCAGGGACATTCTCATTAAAAAAAAAAAAAAAAAAAAAAAGCATATCCAAGAAGTAGCCCAATAGTCATGTAATGTGTGATTCTCTTCCCCAGCATTTCTGCCACATCATCCTCCAGCGTCTTTTCTTAAACATCCCTGAGAAGAGGGTACACGGTGTGCCCCACCCAGGGCAGCCCATTTCTGAGCAGCTCTGTCTCGGAGAAGTTTTTGGAGGCTATTTAACCTGAAAATTAGCATGACTTATTCTAACAAGGAGAACCGAGGGGTACCTGGTCTTACAGATAAGTTCACAAGCAGCTGGTTCTCTCTTGTGGATACATGGGACCACAGTGGCTGTAGCTAGTTTCCTAAGACTCCATCTGCCTTATCTGCCAGATCCTTCCTTTGCCACACACACACACACAGTGTCTCTCTCTCTCTCCCTCCCTCTCTCATACACACACAACCAAATGCTTCATTCTTCACCTAGTCAGAAACCTGGGGAGCCCCCAGGAGAGCTCTGTCCCTGATTGCCACCTGCCAACCTGCCAGTCTTCTTGGCTTGAGGCATCTCAGTGCTCCAGTGCTCAGCTCACCTTGCCAGCTTTCCTGTAGCCTGATTGGGTCCTGGTCATACTCATCTGTTGCCACTATTTCATCAGTTTCGGCCTCCATGCCCCAAAATGTGGGATCCTTTTTTTTTTTTTTTTAGATGGAGTTTCACTCTTGTTGCCCAGGCTGGAGTGCAATGGTGTGATCTCGGCTCACTGCAACCTCTGCCTCCTGGATTCAAGCGATTCTCCTGCCTCAGCCTCCCGGGTAGCTGGGATTACAGGAGCCTACCACCGTGCCTGGCTAATTTTTTCATTTTTAGTAGAGATGGGGTTTCACCATGTTGGCCAGGCTGGTCTCAAACTCCCGACCTCAGGTGATCCACCCGCCTCAGCCTCCCAAAGTGCTGGGATTACAGGCGTGAGCCACCATACCTGGCTGGGATCCTCTGAATTGTATTTTTTTTTTTTAAGTAAAGATGGGGTTTCACCATGTTGGCCAGGCTGGTCTTGAACTCCGGACCTCAAGTGATCCACCTTGCTCAGCCTCCCAGAATGCTGGGATTACAGGCATGAGCCACTGCACCTGCTCAGTCCCCTTAATTGTGATTTACTTTAATATAGTTTCATTTATAGTGGTGGCCCCTTTAATATAGTTTATCATTTCTTACAGTTGAAGAGTCCAGTGTTAACTGAACAGGCAGAAAACTACACATTTCTCTAAATCAGCACCTTAATTTATAAAGTCTCATGTTGGAAATGAAGAGAATTGTGTTGTTTCTTGGCTTTTAAGACTTGGAAAATATCTTAAATGGCCTCTCTCCATTTAGGACAAACAATAAAAACTTGCCTGGAATAATCTTCGAACAGAAGGTATGAGATAAGTAGTAAGTAAACGTCCACAGGACTCCAAATAGCTCTAAAGATCTGATTCCCCTAGGAGACTTGCTGAGGGAAAATCTAGGAACTAAGATACTGCAAAATGGAAATAGACCTTCTTGGTTGACCGAGGCTCTAGGGTGAAGCCTGTGAGTCAGTGTCTGCACCTTTGGAAATAGAGGAAATTAGCTCAACAGGGCTTGGGGCATGTAGGTATCTGCCAAATATTTTATATGAATTGAATTTGGACTCAATTTTTGGTATGTATAATATGTAACATGAAGAGAAAATTTACCAGGGGAACTGGAAAATGCACTTAACTTTTATGGAGGTGAGAACAAAAACTGAATTAAAATCTTTCCCTGACTTGGTGTTTCCTGTGTATGCTCATGCATGCTAGCTATAATTTTGTCATTTCTGTACTGTGATAATTCATAATTCATATTTACATGCTTAAGGTGGGGCCTAATACAGGGCAGGGCGTTATTTACACTGTAGGGTAGGCATTGAGCAGAAGTGGTGTGATATTTTTTCTGTTCATTTTTCTAGATTGGGGAAAGTTTAAATTGAAATTATTGGCATCACTGATGATAATTAAGAACTGTTTAAATTCCATTTCTGGCGAATTCCTGAAGGATATATAATCAGGAACTCTAGGGAAACCTGAAGGGCTGAGCTGGAGGGTCTAGAATTGGGGCCTTAACCTGGGAGTCCAAAAACTTTGCCAAACACTTATTTCCACCTTCCACTCCTCCTCCCGTGCCCACCCTCACAGAGCAGTACTTGGCACCCTAGACAAATACTGCCAGATCTACAGACATCTAATGTCTGCAGATACCCACTCCCTGCCTAGCCTCCCTAATCACATAAGACTGGGACATCTTCGAAGGCAAGGATACCCCTTGTTCTTACTCATCCTTGTTTCTGCAAAGCCCACCTACCTCAGGGCCTGACTCATTGTGGGTCATTCAGTAGATGTTTGCTGAATGAATAAACATTGTTTGTCTTTTGTTCTTTTAATGAGTAACTGCTGTTTCCTTTGCACCCCTCCCCAATACATTTTTCTCTTGGCTGGCAGCTCCTTGTCTGCTTGCTGAAGATAGAACCGCAGACCACCTGAGCACCCCCTGCCTCCTCAGCTGCTCACTGTTCTTCTGCATGTGGCCTTCAGGACCTCTGCCCAGCAGTTGTGGCCCATGTCACCCTCTCTGCTGTTGTCACCAGAAATTTACCCGCACTGTACCCTCTGGTCCTTCACAGCTCATTTCTCATAATCTATTTTAACAACAAAGTTTGAGAAGGTTAAGAATACAGGATGGTAGGAGGTGGAAAAAACAGTGGGCGTGAGCAGTAAGTCGATATGACTAAGCTGAGACTCTTCTGAGTCTTCTAGATGGAAGGGGAATTTCTCCAGAGTTACGGGCAGTTACCACGTTGCCTCATGGTCTTGAGCCCCTCTTTTAAAACCCCTGTTGTCTACATTAAGCGGAAGTCTCCCCTTGGCTGCATTTTGATGTCACTTAAAATGTTGCTGGGGCCCATGCTTCCTAGAGGAAGGCAAGCACAGCTAGCATTCCCAGGAAAGCCCTCAACTCAGGGGTTTCATTTTGTTTTTATGATGGGAAATAACTTTCATTTCGCGGTCACTGCCCACCCCACTACTTCCTCTTTGACCCCTTCATCTAAGATGAACACATCTGTTATTTTACCCTGTATAGCAGGTGCAAAAGAGAATTAAAATGGTGTCTGAATCCATAAAAGGAATATATTGCATAGAGAATCAAGGCCACAGTAACAAGTGACAGGCGATCTTAAAATATTGGAATAATCTATCTTTCAAGTTACAGAAGCTTACTAGAGATAGGGGCAGGTCATTGTTACAAGCATCTGGCAGTACATTAATCATGAGAAATTAATTAGGCCTTAATGTGGGTCTAATGAGAAATCCTTATTATCCATGTTTGCTTATGGGCTTTGTTGGTTAATTATCAAATGGAACACTAGAGACCCTAAAATGTGATTATAAAATGATTTTTAAAAGTCCTTTCTTGGAGTGTAATATTCTATTAATGAATCAGCAGAAACTGAAGATTATCTGCTTTGGAGATGTGTAACAATCCAATGTAATTACAAACCTGTTTAGAGAGGAACCATTTAGCTATATATGATCAAAATAGCCCTTATAACTGTTCTCTGTGTATGTGTCTTTTATCTTAGTTTTCTGTGTTCCTGGGAATTATTTTCTTCCTGGAGCTCACTGCCGGAGTTCTAGCATTTGTTTTCAAAGACTGGATCAAAGACCAGCTGTATTTCTTTATAAACAACAACATCAGAGCATATCGGGATGACATTGATTTGCAAAACCTCATAGACTTCACCCAGGAATATGTAAGTTTAAAGTGGTTTGTTTTCAAGTTGAAAGTTCTCTGAACGATGACCCCAGTGAATTTCATCCCTCCTGGTTTCTGCATCTGCCAGCTGGAAACTACCTGACTATTCTGCATGGGTGTTTGTTTGTTTGTTTATTATTTTCCGACTTGCTCTGTGACTTACAGGATTTGTATTCTAAATGGAAATTTCCTATTTTCACTTGTTTCAACTTCTGTTAAGTTAGAGGAACAAAGAAGAAAATGCTTGAGCAAAACGTTATAATCATGGCTGTCCTTTCCTATTTGCATTTGAGGAACATTGTTTTGCTCCGGGTTTAAAGTTTTCTTTGGTTATTAAATATGGATTCTTTCTTATCCCTTGCCCCCTTTTTTGGTAATCCTTGATATTTCACAGCTCATAATAATCTACTTATCAACAGAATAATTTGCCACAAAGTTCCTAAAATGTGCCTATCCAAATATTATTATTGCACATGCAGTTAAAAGCAAAAGCTTAGAAACTCCTAAGTCCTAGTGGCTTCTAACAAGTGAAGAATCTGTGCAGTGGAATCCGGGCCACTCTCTCCTATCCCTGAGCATTGGAGTCCAGGCCACTCCCTCCCGTCTCTGAGCATGCCTGTGAAATGGCTCTTTCAGTGCCAGCAAAGCAGCAGATGTCCCGTTTCACTCAGAATGCAAGGGACCAAAAGACACAGGTCTAGTGCCAAAATCTGATAAGGGACCCTGGGCTCACAGGACCTTGACCTATTTCCCCAATAGCAAAATGGAAATAATACTAGCTACTGTCTAACTCACAGGGATATTATGACACTAATGAGACATACATGTTTTTATATTAGGCTAAGGTGTTAGGGTCCTACAAACTTGCAGGTCTTTATATACCTGCACTGAAAAGTCGGGTAGGCTGAGCTTGGACTTGGACAGCGGTGTCTGTGGCATTCATGTATATGGCAGGACCGGAGGGCAAGCAGAAGCCCAGTGAACGGTAGCCTTCTTGGGGTTGGATAGTTGTCTGCCTGTGATGAAGGGAGGCAGCAGCCATGTTGACACTCTTTATGAGGGAGGCCATCCCCTTCCTTAGGCACTCAGGACTGAGCAGGGTTATGTGGTTTTGTTCAGTGGCAGCAACATTTCGTCCTGGAGTAAGCTGCCCCTTAAGTGGGAAATTAAGCCCTGATTCATGTCCTCAGCCGACTTCACTGTTTTATTAGGTCCTAATGGGTGCAGGCTCCCTAATAATCCCTTTCCTGGCATTATTCCTGACTAGTTTGCATGACACATTGATGGAGCTTTGTGGACACACCTCGAAATGCATGACCCAAGCCCTGGAAGGACCATGTTGTCTTGGGATGCTGTGTGCTTTAAACGGAAATACTACAGTTTCATGTGATTTTCTTTTTGCATCATGGAATGTAATGTTTAGAAGTAGCTGTTGGTCCGGAAGGTCTTCAAATGGTTGAGACTTGATATTTATTTAACTCAGAGAAGTAGAGAAAGTGCATCCCAGGGAAGTGAGGAAGGGGCTTGTGTAGTAGCCTTTGACTCCGGCCCCATTTAAGAACCACTGAATTTAACCGCTTGTTTTAATATATTTTAATTGGAAGACTGACTTTTTAAAGTTGAAAATGTAAAACACATGCACTTGTTTTTAAACAAACTCAGAGTAGAAACAAATATGATGAAAAGTTAACCTCTAAAATTTTTGGTGGTAATGGATATATCAACTATATATCCATTGATTGTGGTGACATTTTTGTGATGTATACAGATGTCAAAATTTATCAAATTGTATACTTTAAAATGTGCAATTTATTGTATGTCAGTTATACCTCCATTATTGCGGGATCTGGCCAGCAGCCTGCAATGCAACAGGGATCTCTCTGTTCCCAGGCGGATCGGCAGGTCGAGAAATAATAGACACACACAAGATAGTGAAAGCTGGGTCCAGGGGGGTCACCGCCTTCTGGTCACGCAGTGCCAACAATGCACTGGATATACCAGAATTTATTATTAAGTTTAGTGAGGGTGGGGGTAGGTTAGTGAGGGATTTAGGTCATTTGATTATGAGGTGAGATGGTCACATGGGGATGAAGTAATTCTTTAACATAACATCTGTATGCAAAAGTACAGTATACAGGGATAAGAATTTACAATATAGTGTGTGCTTCAGTAATTTCTAACAGAGCCTTAAAACAGAAACACAGTCTTTCCACAACCTATGATTAGCAAGATATTAGTCAGCAGTAACAGTTGCAGCAAAAGCCAGTTACAAACAATCCATAGAAACAGGACGTGAAGCTACACAACCAGTTAGACCAGAAATTCTCAGAAGGGAGTATGCCTTAACCCTAAAGAGGTCTAGAAGAGCCGTGGCAAGATGAGGGCATTTATAGCCCTGTCTTATACATATGGACAGGTGCCCCTCATGTGTCTGTTTATAGGCTCTCCACAAAGGTCGCATTCTATTCCCAGAGCTATGAACATCTGCTTTTCTGGGATAGGAATCTTGGTGATGTGAAACCTCCCTGACTGCACGTCCATTCATAGGCTCTCTGCAGGGGGAAGCACATCACGCACTGTTGGCTCATTCTGGCAGTCCAACCTGGCATTGTCTTTACACAATCCTGCATGCAATTTTGTATTTCCAGTAATCAGGAGCATTTCATCTTTTATTCCATAGCAATAGTTTCAGGGGGTCTCCCTGCGCTCCATAAAACAAAACAGATCTTTAAAAAAACTATTAGAATGTAGAGATCAAAACTTTGAAAAAGTAAGCTATAGTTAGCCCACCCATAACCCCAGTTGCCTCCTTCAGTCACTACCACTGTCGTTAGTGTCTTATTTACCCTTCTAGAATGTTCTTGTTTCTCCTTCTAGAATGACGTGCCCAAGCCAAACAGATCTTGTTCTAACTGAGCCCTGCTGTACAGCTGCTCTGCCCTTCTTCCACCTAACACCACAGGTCTCATCAGTTGTTTAAATCACGTGCCAACACATCCCTACAAACCTTCAGCCCTAATTAATTTGGAAGATTTTATATGGGCCATTTAGGTTCAGTTTGGCTTAAAAATAAAGTCTAGGACAGAAAAGAAGGTCAGAGCTGGCAGAAGCTGGTGTCGTTCGGCGGGTGTGAGTGTAGGTGACTGCTTGCCTCCAAGTTGGGATGTTCTAATTCTTTCCTGTTTGCTCTAGTGGCAGTGCTGTGGGGCTTTTGGAGCTGATGATTGGAACCTAAATATTTACTTCAATTGCACAGATTCCAATGCAAGTCGAGAGCGATGTGGCGTTCCATTCTCCTGCTGCACTAAAGATCCCGCAGTAAGTGAATGCCAGCGAACTATTGGCCTACTCTGTACATCATGCCGAGAGTGTGCATGGGACGAGCAGAGTGATTTTTTGGTTGAACCCTCTTCTTACCTGGTTACTCGTATTTGTAGCTCCTGTAGGGGGTTATGGTGCTCAAATCTTCCTAGTAGGAGTAATAATTGCTGGCATTAATTTAGCAGTGTGTGCTGGTTCCTATTCTAAGCCTTTATGTGTGTTGGCTCATTTAAGTTGGGCACATTCCTACTGGCAGATACCACCATTACCCTCCCTTTTCAGGGGAAGAAATCAAGGCACATGAGGTGTAAGTGACTTTCCCAAGCTTGCACTGCTAGCAGGCAATGGAGTGGAATATGAGACCCAGGCAACTTGCCTGTATCATCTGTTAGCCTTTCTTCATGAGAAGGGCAGGCTCATATGAGAGCTCTCTGCATTGGTTTGGGGTTAGTAACCCTTTTCTTTTTGGCTTAGTTCTAGGGGAACTATTAGGAGTAGGAGGAGAGTTTGAGACAAGATAGGCCTGGACTGCTGTGTAGGAAGACCACAGCTGCCCAGACTCCTGAATGTCATCATGACTATAGTCATGCAGTTTGCATTTTATTATAAAAAAGAATAAAATATAAAATCTATTTGTAAGTCACTCACTTTTGCCACAGGTTTGATTATATTTTGTGTCAAATCGTGCCTGGTATATAGAATGACTTAAAATGCAATTCTTAAGCCAGGCATAGTAGTTCACACCTGTAATCCCAGCACTTTGGCAGGCTGAGGTGGGAGGATCCCTTGAGCCCAGGAGTTAAAGACCAGCCTGAGCAACATAGTGAGACCCCATCTCTACAAAAAAATTAAAAAATTAGCCATGTGTGGTGGCACACACCCGTGGTCCCATCTACTCTGGAGGCTGAAACAGGATCACTTGAGCCCAGGAGTTTGAGGCTGCAGTGAGCCATGATCATGCCACTGCCCTCCATCCTGGTGACAGAGTGAGACCACAATTCTTAAAAAAAAAAAAAAAAGGTAACTCTCTAGTGTTAGAATGACAAACATGAGAGGTTACTCCACGCATCTCTGTGTGCTCCTAGCTGCAGAACCCTTCTGGGACTCCTCAACTGTTCTCTGGCCCTGCAGTCTCCAGATGTACTCCCCAAGGCTCGCCCTTACCCCTCAGAAGCAGAGCCGAGTGGGTGCTGATGAGCTCAGTGGGGATGCTCCTTCTTATGGTGGAGGCTGTGGGGCTCTTAAAAGGAGCTATGGTCTTGGAGTGGAAAAGCAGAACTTCCCTGTGGGCTTCCTCCAGGGGACCACCTCAGCTGTTTCTCTTGGTCTGAAAGAGGAGACAAAGTCACTAAGGACTGTGCTGCCCCGCCAGCTGCCCTTCCCACCAGCTCAAACCTCCTCTCCCTTCTGAGGAGAGCCACATGGCAGCAGAGTGCCCACTCAGAGCTTGAGGGGCTCATCCTGGTGGCCTTGCACTGGCCAGCGGGTGCCGCACAGTGCGCCTCCTGTCGCCAGTTCCTGTCCCACATTAACACTCCCTTGGGAGAATTCTGTATTCTCAGAGGCATTAATGCTTCCCCTTTCACCTACAGATCCTCTGGGCAGAGCTAGCTCATTCCTTGCGCTCTAAGCTAATAAAATCTGCCCCACACCCCGCAGAGAAGGAAAATAAACAACCCGAAAAAGTGGAACCATGTTTCTGATCAGACCCTGTGAGACGTCAGGTTGTCTGTGTGATTATGTGGTCGGGGCATTGTTTTGTTTTTTAATTATTAAAAGCTCATTGAAAAACAATTTAAGTAACATGGAAGTACATAGATTAAAAAGTAGCAGTCCATCCAAAAGAGCATACATGAAGATTCACTGTGCCCTTTATGTTTTTTATCTGTGTCTCCAGTTCCCTAAATCCCATAAGCTTCTTGAGGTTGGCACCACTTTGAATCTTGAGCCTCCTGTGTGATAGACTTGCTGTCTTTTCTGATATTCCCCAAGCCTTAGTTTTCCTTATTTGTAAAATAGGGCATATTTTAATACCTACTTCTGAAGATTGTCGCAATAATGACATGGGATCATGTATATAAAGTGTTTAACATAGTGCTGCAGTCTTTGTGCCCAGATACACATTTTATTACTAATGCGTAACAGAAGTCTTCTGCTCATTTCTAGGTGGGCTTTCTGTCTAATGAGTAAATTTCACTTTTCTCTTTCCTTTCTTCACCAGGAAGATGTCATCAACACTCAGTGTGGCTATGATGCCAGGCAAAAACCAGTAAGTGGAATCTCATGTTGTTGCTTAGCACGAAGGGTGTTGGAGGAGCTTTGGCCTGTGCCTGGTGCTCTATCTGTGACAATGTGCTCTCCTCTTCTCTTGTGAAGGAAGTTGACCAGCAGATTGTAATCTACACGAAAGGCTGTGTGCCCCAGTTTGAGAAGTGGTTGCAGGACAATTTAACCATCGTTGCTGGTATTTTCATAGGCATTGCATTGCTGCAGGTAAGATAAGGGTCCTTTATGGATATCACAGGGAAATAATGCCCTGGGAGAGCCCTTGCCAGGATCGGAGCTTTGCTTAAAAACCTTGATTGTCATAGTTTTTAAGACACATTGGAGGGCTGAGGAACAGACCTAAACGATTTGGTTTGTGTTTTATTTTATTCATTTATTTATTTATTTTATTTATTAATTTTTTTTTGAGATGGAGTCTTGCTCTGTCGCCCAGGCTAGAGTGCAGTGGCATGATCTTGGCTCACTGAAAGCTCCGCCTCTTGGGTTCATGCCATTCTCCTGCCTCAGCCTCCCGAGTAGCTGGGACTACAGGTGCCCGCCACTACGCCCGGCTAATTTTTTTGTATTTTTAATAGAGACGGGGTTTCACCGTGTTAGCTAGGATGGTCTCGATCTCCTGACCTCGTGATCCGCCCATCTCGGCCTCCCAAAGTGCTGGGATTACAGGAGTGATCCACCGTGCCTGGCCTGATTTGTGTTTTATTAAAGCTCTGAGTTTAGATGCTACTATCATGAAATACTTTAGGAAACCTTGTCTTTTTCTAAGATGGAGACATTAATTAGATAGTGGTTGCCTACTGGCATTCCATCGTTTACATGGGCTCAAAAATACTGCATTGTGGCAACTGAGTCAAACATGCATAGTTAGAAGTAGATCTCAGTGGTGACGTTAAGGTTTTGGGAAGTTTCACAGAGATGTCATACCCCTTTCTCTCCCTAAACTACCTTGCCAAAGTGCTAGTGAAGGAAGGGAGCACCCACTTTTCCTCCTGGCCAGTCTTAAGAGCTGGACTCTTCATGTTGTTGGTGTGATACTTTCCAAAGAGCACATAGTTGAAACAAATTAAAGAAGACCTAAGTAAATATAAAGATATCCTGTGTTCACAATTGCAAAACTTCATATTATTAAGGTAACAACACTCATCAAGTTGATCTACAGATTCAGTGTAATCCCTATCAAAATTGTAACCACCTTTTTAGCAAAAATGGACAAGCTGATCCTAAAATTCATATGGAAAAGCAAGGGACCCATAATAGCCAAAACAAATTTGCAAAAGTAAAACAAAGTTGGAGAATTCACACTACCCAGTTCAAAACTTAGTACAAAGCTATATAGTAATCAACATAGTGTGTACTTGAGTAAGATTAGCCATATAGAGAAGTGGAATAAAATTGAAAAATCAAGAAATAAAACCAGGCCAGGTGTGGTAGCTCATGGATGTAATCCCAGCACTTTGAGAGACCAAGGCAGGAGGATGGCTTGAGCCCAGGAGTTCAAGACCAGCCTGAGCAACATAGCAAGTCCTTGTCTCTACAAAAAGTAAAAATAAAAAAATTAGCCAAATGTAATGGCACATGCCTGTGGTCCTAGCTACTCAGCAGGCTGAAGTGGGAGGATTGCTTGAGCCCAGAAGGTTGAAGCTGCAGTGAGTCGTGATTATGCAACTGCACTCTAACCTGGGTGACAGAGCAAGACCTTGTCTCAAAAAAATAAGAAAAAAATATATATGATTAAAAAGAAGAAATAAGGCCGGGTGCAGTGGCTCATGCCTGTAATTCCAGAACTTTGGGAGGCTGAGTCAGGTGGATCACTTGAGCTCAGGAGTTTCAAAACAGCCTGGGCAACATGACAAAACCCTGTCTCTACAAAATATACAAAAGTTAGCTGGGCATGATGGCGCATGCCTGTGGTCCCAGCTACTTGGGGGGCTGAGGAGGGAGGATCACTTGAGCCTGGGAGGTTGCAGTGAGCTGAGATCATGCCATTGCACTCCAGCCTGGGTGACAGAGCAAGATCCTATCTCAAAAAAGAAGATGAAATAAGCTCGTACGTATATGGTCAGTTGATTTTTGACAAGGGAACCAAAACCATTCAATAGGGAAAGAGCAGTCATTTCAACAAATGGTACTGGGAAAACTAGATATGCAAAATAATGAATTTAGACTAACTCACACCATATGTAAAAATTAACTCAAAATAAAGCAAAGACCTAAATATAAGAGCTAATGCTATAGAACTCCAGAAGAAAACATAGGCATAAATATTTGTGACTTTGGATTAAGCAGTGTCTTCTTAGATATGACATCAAAAGCATAAGCAATGAAACAAATGTAAATAAATTGGACTTCAAAATTTAAAACTGTGCTGAAAATGATACCATCAAGACAGTGAAAAGATAACTCCTAGTATCTAGAAAAATAAAGAACTTTAAAAAGTCAACAATAAAAAGACAAACAACTTAAAAATGGGCAGCCAGGCATGGTGACTTGTCCCTGTAATCCCAGCTGCTTGGGAAGCAGAGGCAGGAGCCTGCACTGAGCTATGATCACGCCACTGTACTCCAGCCTGGGCAACAGAGCAAAACCCAGTCCCTTAAATTATTAAAAAACAAACAAACAAACAAAAATACGGGCAGAGGATCTGAACAGACATTTCTCTAAAGATTAAAATTGCTAATAAAGGCCGAGGCGGGTGGATCATGAGGTCAGGAGATCGAGACCATCCTGGCTAACAAGGTGAAACCCCGTCTCTACTAAAAATACAAAAAATTAGCCGGGCGCGGTGGCGGGCGCCTGTAGTCCCAGCTACTCGGGAGGCTGAGGCAGGAGAATGGCGTGAACCCGGGAAGCGGAGCTTGCAGTGAGCCGAGATTGCGCCACTGCAGTCCGCAGTCCGGCCTGGGCGACAGAGCGAGACTCCGTCTCAAAAAAAAAAAAAAAAAATGGCTAATAAGCACATGAAAAGATGCCAACGTCAGTAGTCATTAAGGAAATGCAATTCAAAGCCACATATTTCATACTCGTTAAAGCGGTTAGAATAAAAAAGACAGACAATAACAAGTATCGGCAAGGATGTGGAGAAAACGAAACCCTCATATGTTGCTAATGGAAATGAAAATGTTGCAACCTCTTTGGGAAACAATTTAGCAGTTTCTCAAAAGTTAAATATAGTGCTACCATATGAGTCAGCAATTCTACTCCTAGAGGAGTACCCAAAAGAATTGAGAAAGTGTTTACCCAAAAACTTGTATGCTCATGTTCATAGCAGAATTATTCATAATTGCCAAAATGTGAGAGCAATGCAAATACACATCAACTGAGGAGTAGATAAACAAAATGGGGCATATCCATGCCATGGAATATCATTCAACCATCAAAAGGAATAAATTAATAGCACATGTATATGAACCTTGAAAATATTTTGCTACATGAAAAAGACAGCCACAAAAGCCCCATATTATATGATTCCCTTGATATGAAATGTCCAGAAGAGGCAAATCCACAGAGGCAGGAAGTAGATTAGTGGTTGCTAGGTCTGTAGGGATGGTGGGATGGGAATGACTGCTCACAGGTACAGGGTTTCTTTTTGGGGTAATGAAATGTTCTGTGATTAGATAGTGGTGATAGTTGCATAGCTTTGTGAATATACTAAAAGCCCCTGAATTATACACATTTCAAGGATGCTTTTTACCACATATGAATTACATCTTAAATTTCAAAAATCAATGATTTAAAAAAATGGGACACAGTGGCCAGGGAAACAAGTTACAAGTGTCACTGTTTCACTCACATTTTCTTCCTTTCTCAGATATTTGGGATATGCCTGGCCCAGAATTTGGTTAGCGATATCGAAGCTGTCAGGGCGAGCTGGTAGACCCCCTGCAACCGCTGCTGCAAGACACTGGACAGACCCAGCTTTCGGGACCCTCCCGCGTGCCGAACTGATCTTCGAGCTGCATGGACCTAATCACAGATGCAGCCTGCAGTCTCGCCTAATGGAGCTGCCATTAGGGGAGTGTAAAACTGGGAAATGCTGCTCACTGACAGAATTAAAAAAAAAAATAACCAGTATGAAAGTCGTTGCGCCGTGAATCTCTACTGTAGCCATGAATTTATGGACAGTTAGATGCTTACCAAAAAAGAAAAAAAGGGAGGGTAGGGGACCCAGATGTACTTGAATGTGCAGAAAATACATTCTTGTCCTCATCTTCCGTAATTGGAGGGCTGGGAGAGGCAGCTTTGCTCTTCACCACACCTTGGACGGACCACCTTCTTTCTGTTCCATGGCCTGAAGGAGTGCATCTCCTCAAAGACTCAGCCCCTCACCTGGGAGGGCAGTGGTTTGTGGGCATCCCTCCATGTACATTTTAGGAAACACTTGCAACTCTCATCTGAAGAAGAAAACAACTCATCTTTGGGTTCAGATTTTGTGATGGTATTCAGCAAGTCACTTGGGCGAGCACACTTGGTCTATCCTGGAAAGTCTCCTTATAAGAGAAGTTGTGTATTTCATGTGCACCGAGCAAGGGCATTGGAAGACGTCATGAGGCTGTATTTTAGCAGGACTGATCGTTTTTCTAAGTAGACCTGAGCTTTGTTTATCAGTGAAATTCAAGGAGAAAATGAGGTTAATGAAGAGGTATCAGTTAAATATCCCCTTCTTCTCACCCTGCCAAAATTAGCAGTTGGATTTTTGGAAACTCTGGAATATTCTGGGTCATTTTGTTTTGTATGTTTGTTGTTTTTCGTCTTCCAAAGGTGAAAGCTATGATACAGTTCCACTTAAATTTTAGTGTTTTCTTACTCAGCTCAAGCATTAATTTTTGATTAAGTCTTAATCTGCATGACCTGTGAATCTGAATCCATCATCTCCCTTTCCTGCCAGCTTTTCTACAAACATTGAAATATGTTATTTGGTCAGCACTTATTTCCTAGGTTCACAGCCTTGGGAGGTTGTGGCATGTCCTCCCAGTCTGGCTGGGAAGAGACCAGCTGTACCATCCAAATGCTTCCCTGGTCTTGATGATCTCTTCCAGAGTCGATCTGAGTGGCCTTTTCTGCACCCTCCCCTTCTTTCTCTTTGAATGGAATTAAACCCAATTTGGAAACAACATTGACCCAGTCAAAAGCTTCTAATGGTTTCTTTTTCTTCCTCCAGTTTTAGTTTGCTTTTATTAAAAAAAGAAAATAGTGCATGGCCATAGCTCCTTCAGTTCTCTTATTGCAGACTAACCATCAGGATGGTATCAAAGCACAAATACTTTGGAGGGGAATGCGTTGAACTGGGGCAAGTACTCTGTAACACAAAGTGGGAAACCACTTCCTGGTGCTGCCGCTCCTGCCCCCACTTTAGGTGGGAGGGACGAGTTTTGCCCTCTAGATTTTAATCCAGCTGGTGTCCACCGGATGTTGCCCTCCTGGGGAGCAGATATCAGTCTGTGGAACTCTGGGAAAACCACAGGCACATTTTTCGGTGCGGACAGATTTGCCAGCACATAACTGGGCAGCCAGCTAGAATACTTTGTGGAAATTAAGCGAGGTTTTCCATTTCAGCCCCATGGTGCATGGTGGTGGCCGATGAATGTGTCAGTCTGCTCAGAGAAAGGACAAAAAGGAAATTATTTTCAAAACTGTGTTCACTGTTTGGGTGTGTGTATGGCTCTGCATGTGTGTGTTTTTGTCTCTGTATAGGTAGAGGTATTCACATCTTACTCCGACTGTAAGGTTGTCTTACTTCATCTCTGCCCCCACCACAGTTGCCATTTTGTAATGTCCTTCCAACATGGAGAAGACACGAGCTCTCTCCAGTTGGCATCATTTGTCTTTTTTGTTGATTGCCTCATTCTCCAGTGAACTCCATCTGGCCAATTGATTCAGAATCAGGCAAGATCCCTGCCCTTTGGCACATCCACTGAAAGGCCAAACAGCAAGTCCGAGTGAGTTTTAAATATTAATTAATCACCCTTTATTTTTTACACTTGAGAGTGATTGTAATAAAGGCTGTCATTAATAAACTTGGTTCTACCTTACATGGTGTGTCTTTCTTCATTACTTCTTTCTTGAAATTGTGAAATTTTCGAATCCAGTGGTTCTCAAACTTTAGCAGGTGTCAGAATCACTGGGAGGACTTGTTAAAACACATGAATGCATTTGCTCCGTGCCCATAATTTCTAACTTAGTAGGTCTGGGGTGGGGCTGGAGAATTTGTATTCTGATAAGATCGTAGGTGATGCTGTTTGCGGCTTGTTTGGGGACTACACTTTGAGAAGCATTGTTCTGATCCAGTTTTCTAGGAGGGGAAACAGAAAGGTAAGATTTTGTAGTTGGGAAGGGAAAGGTTCCTTTGTACTTAAAAATGCTGACTGACAAGACACAGAGGCCAGAGCCTCGTATGTAGGAAATCCCTGCCCATGAGGTCATCTGCTGGTTACAATCACTTGGGGACCATGTGAAATACAGATTCCCCAGACCTTACCCCTAGCAGTTCTGGAGTGGGAGACAGGGTAATCTATGTTTTAAAAGCTCCCTTGAAAATTTAATGCCTGGTGGGATTTATGACTTATGGGCTTAGATAAATGTTGATAATATTCACAACCTTTTATATAAGAAAATAATTTCTCACAGTCCCTTGGAGCTGGAATCTTAAAAACCCATTAGAGAAACGTCAGCTTAAATGTCTTTCATTGTGAATTATCACTGCAGAAGAAGACTTCCGTCGTTAGAACTGATTAAATACTTTTTTCAAAGATCAAATGAAAACAAATTTTAAGGTTCATATAGCACACTTAGATCCTGACAACATAGTGTCAGACTTGTTCAAGAAACGTTTTGCCTCATATCTCAGATATTTGAAACAACGTTATTTTGATTTTAAGGAAATTTATCAGTGATGATTGGAGATGGCCAATCCCTGCTTCTTGAGTTTTCTTATTGTCTACATTGGCCCTCTTTGCTTGTTGCAAACTATAAGCCAACAAAGGAAAAAAAAATGACAGCTCAGAAGTAAAAGGATGCTTTGTCTATAAAACTCAAAAACTTGGAGGAAGTTTCTTCAATGTGTAGAAGGTAGACTTTAGGGGAAGCTTATTAAATTTCTCTTTATTTCTGTTGTTGGGCTGGTTACCACTAACATCATTGCTCCTATAATTTAAAAATATACAGTTTTTAAATGTGAACTCAGGAATTTAAAAATATTTTGCATCATGAAGTACTTAAAGAAGTGCATTTCCTTTGTTCTTCCTCTTCCTTCTCCCAGGGAGTAATAAACCTGGACTTTTCTTTCAGCCTTCTTCCTGCCACAGGTCCCAGTTGTCCTTTCCTCAAGGGGATCCTCAAAGTGTCTCTTGGAGGTTTCTTGTGCAAAGTGATCATTCATTTCCCCGTGTTTGTGTGGGCAGGAATGGAGTGATTTTGCAGTTTCGTCTGTTTCCGGCTGGCTTGGACAGGCGCCCTGGGAAGCCTGTGGGCTGAACAATGAGGAGCTGGAGCCCAGTGACCTGGCAGGCCACCCCAACTCCCTTTGTCATTTATTCCACGAAGCCCTCCTTCTCTAGGGAAATCCTGTTTAGACCTCCAATGAAGAACTGGGAAGCCCTCTATAAACGCTGGCCAGCAGGGTTTCATGGCCAGAGCTCTCTCCAGTGAGGCCATGGGGCTGCTTCTAGGTGCTGCCCAATTCCAGAGTGAGAAGCCTAGTCTTTGAGGAGGAAAATGCAGCATTTGCCTGAAAAATACATTAACATTGGCTTTATCATGATGACACAATAAAATCCATAGAAAATCTACACATGATAACAGACAAGGCAGTCAGATGGGGGTGGGGGGGTGGGTGGGGGCAGGGAGCACGGCGGAGAAGCCAAACTCTGAACTTGGAGCAAAGCCATCCTTACACTCACCCGAGCCTTTTTGTTTGGAGGGGTTTGCCACAAAGAGTTTATAAAATTACAGTTTTAGGCCAGACAAGGTGGCTGGCTCACACCTGTAATCCCAGCACTTTGGGAGGCCAAAACAGGATGATTGCTTGAGGACAGGAATTCAAGATTAGCCTGGGCAACATAGCAAGACCCCGTGTCTTAAAAAAATGAAAAAAAAAATTTTTTTTAATTAGCTGGACCTGGCGTCATGCACCTGTACTCCCAGCGACTCTGGAGGCTGGGGCAGGAGGACAGCTTGAGCCCAGGAGTGAAGTATGATCGCACCACTGCACTCCATCCTGGTTGGCAGAGGAAGACCCTGTCTCTAACTTAATAAAATTACAGTTTTTAGGACTTCTTGAGGGATTAAGTACAGCTTGCTTTGGCGTTTTCATGCTGAGTGGTTCTCTTGTAAACTTGCCGCTGGTGAGAGGAGGCTGATTTAGTCCCTTCCTGTTATCCATTAGCCGGGGCTAAACCTCTGGGGACCCGCACTGGCCATTGTGATTTATTTTTCCACTTCTAGGAATTCCCAAGTAAAGTAAATCTAAGGGAAGAGCAGGCGAGTTCACGGGCTTTCACTGTAAATATGCCCCGAAAGGAAAGCAGTAGCAGGCTTCCCACGCTCTTGCCCCATACCGAACGCACGCTTGCATTCTCCGTGGGGGAAAGCTACTTTTCAGATACGGAGCGGACCTTCAGGTGCTGTGTCAGCTCTTGCATTTGCAGAGCAACTCGTTTGAACGGGAACGTTTTAATGGCCTGCCCTCTAGTGTCGACTGCGTAAAACCACTCCGGACTGGAGTTGGAATAGTTCAGGGATAAAAACACTGTATGTTCAGAGGCGCTTGTGCTTTGGAGAAACTTGAAGGTACACAGCTTATGTTGCCTGCTTAGGGCGGGTAGGTGTTTTATTTCCTTTACACGCTCCTGAAAATGGCAAGGCTTGTTTTGGAAAGATGAGAGAACAGGACGTTTTGCTCCCATCACCATCTATCCTGCTTGGGATCTTGCTGCTGGGAGTTTATCGCGGCAGGATGGAGCTGGGCCTTGTCCTCCCACCAGTTTTCAAATGTGGTTTCTAGACGACGATGGTGACTGCCTAAAGCTGCTCATCTTCCAGGCAGAGGCACTGTCCTAAAGGTGTCCTCAATGGGGCTGGGAGGACAATGCTCTGCACCCTCCCTCCCAGGGAACACCACCCTCCATTGGAACTTCAGAGGTTTTTGTGACAAAAGGCCCCAGGACCCTGGTTTGCACTTCAATTCCTCTTCAAAATGAGCAACTCTCCAGAAACAAGGAATAGAACATCTTTATATTTCTTCTAAAACCACCAGTGTGTTACTTCTACACACTGTACTTAGAAATACACACATATATGCATACATACCACCAGTGTGAATCACCTGGATTTTGCTTTGGTCTTGTCAGAAGCGTTTGAACCAGAACAACTCCATTGTGAATAGGACCTGGGTAAAATGAGGCTGAAACCTACTGGGCTATGTTCCCAGATGGCTAGGCATTCTAAGTCACAGGATAAGATAGAAGGTTGGCACAAGACACAGGTCATAGACACCTTGCTGATAAAACAGGTTGCAGTAAAGAAGCCCACAAAAACCAAGATGGCGATGAGAGTGACCTCTGGTCGTCCTCACTGTTACACTCCCACCAACGCCATGACAGTTTACAAATGCCATGGCAATGTCAGGAAGTTACCCTACATGGTCTAGAAAGGCGAGACATGACTAATCCACCCCTCGTTTAGCACATCATCAAAAAATGACCATAAAAATGGGCAATTGGCAACCCTGAGAACTCCTCTGTCTATGGAGTAGCCATTCTTTTATTCCTTTTTTTTGTTAATAAATTTGCTTTCACTTTATAGACTCACCCTGAGGATGGCTTGAGCCCAGGAGTTTGAGACCAGCCTGGGCAACATAGTGAGACCGTCTCCCTACAAAAAATTTTTCTAATTGGTGGACATGGTGACACAAGCCTATAATTCCAGCTATGTTGGAGGCTGAGGTGGGAGGATTGCTTGAGCCTAGGAGATGGAGGCTGCAGTGAGCCATGATTGCACTGCTGCATTCCAGCCTGAGCAACAGAGCAAGATCCTGACTCAAACAAAAAAAATACGTAAAAAAGAAAACAATCAGCTGGGTGTGGTGGCTCACACCTGTAATCCCAGCACTTTGGGAGGCCTAGGCAGGCAGATCATGAGGTCAGGAGATCAAGACCATCCTGGTAACACAGTGAAACCCCGTCTCTACTAAAAATACAAAAAATTAGCCGGGTGTGGTGGCGGGCACCTGTAGTCCCAGCTACTCTGGAGGCTGAGGCAGGAGAATGGTGTGAACCCAGGAGGGAGAGCTTGCAGTGAGCCAAGATCACGCCACTGCACTCTAGCCTGGGAGACAGACTGAGACTCCAACTCAAAAAAACAAAAAAAGAAAACAATCAACATTTTGTGGGACATTTTAAACATAGAGAATGATTTATTATGATTAAGTCATAGTCTGCATTCTGTATTTATTTGAAGTAAATTATCTTAAATTCAAGTTGTTAGAGTGACTCAAGTTTTATAAAGAAAATAGCCATATTTCCACACTTGTGCTGTCTTTAGTCTTGTTACTTTGCAACTGAATCAGGCCCACTAGTTCTCTGGCTACCTGTTGCAGGCTGGGTACTAGGGGTGAATATATCATCTATCCCTTGAAATAACAGGTCACATTTATTGACTAGAAGTTTACTGTGTTCCAGGCAGGTGTTATAAGCACGCTGCATAAGTTCCTGAGGAAATGTAAACTGATGGAGGGGAAAACCCCACATGTGGAAAATTTCCAATTCATCAAGAGCTAAACTGACATCTCTCAAAATGGTGCCTGGTTGAGATACAGGAAGAACACAGGGGTTAATGGAAGATGGTCTCAAGAAGGAAGAGAGGTTTGGTCTGGGCCCCTGGGGAATGTGGAAGGGGCCATAATAAAGCCTATGCTGCTGGGGAGGTTGGGAAGGGCCCAGAACCTCCAGACGAAAGAGTGGGGAAAAGCTCAGATAAGCAGCAAGGTCCAGTATAGAGAGTCTTGGAATTGTGGCCCAGTACTTGGCATATACCAGGCACTTGAAAGTTTGCTGAATGACAGCAGTGGTAATTGAGGTGATCAGTAACTACCTCATCCACAATGAAGGTGTGTTAGTCTGTTCTCACGCTGCTAATAAAGACATACCCAAGACTGGGTAATTTATAAAGGAAAGAGTTTTAATGGACTCACAGCTTCACATGGCTAAGGAGAACTCACAATCATGGCAGAAGGTGAATGAGGAGCAAAGTCACATCTTACATAGCAGTAGGCAAAAGAACTTGTGCGGGGGATCTCCCATTTATAAAACCATCAGATCTCATGAGACTTATTCATTACCAGGAGAACAGTATGAGAGAGACCACCCCCGTGATTCAATTATCTCTACCTGGCCCTGCCCTTGACATATGGGGATTATTACAATTCATGGTGAGATTTGGACGGGGACACAGCCGAACCATATCAGAAGGTGATGTGAAAAGTAGAATTTTTTTGTAAAATTGGACAACATAGGTACAAGCTCTGTGCTGTTAGGGTTGAAACCTAATCCCTACCGTGGTAGTATTAACAGGTGGGGCCTTTAGGAGGTGATTAGATCATGATTGCAGAGCCCTCATTAACAGAGTTAGTGCCCTTATAAAAGAGGCTTGTGGGCGCTCGTTTGCCTTCTTCCACCATGTGAGGACACAGCGAGAAGGAAGCAGTCTGCAACCCAGAAAAGAGCTGTCACTGGAATCCAGTTATGCTGACACCCTGATCTTAGACTTCCTAGCCTCCAGAACTGTGAGCATATTTCTACTGTTTATAAATTACCCAGTTGACGGCATTTTGTTATAGTAGCCTGAACAAACTATATTACCAGCTGTTTTCTCCATCTGGTTCTGCTGTTCCTGTGAAATTCTAGGACCCGGGAACTGGCAGGGAGGTCACTACATGTTGCAGTGGGAGGATATTTTTTAAAGTAGGTAGAGATTGGGGTAACAATCTTGTTCTTTTTTAGATTCAAGCCAGGCCCCTGCATTAGAGCAGCAGTTTCTCAGCCCTAGATGCACATTAGAATCACCTGAGAGCATTAGAAAAGACAAAAAATAGCCAGGCGTGGTGGCTCACACCTACAGTCCCAGCACTTTAGGAGGCCAAGGTGGGTGGATCACTTGAGGTCAGGAGTTGGAGACCAGCCTGGCCAACATGGTGAAACCCCGTCTCTATTAAAAACACAAACAAAAAATTAGCGGGGCATGGTGGCACAGGCCTCTAGTCCGAGCTACTAGAGAGGCTGAGGCAGGAGAATCGCTTGAACCTGGGAGACAGTGTTTGCAGTGAGCTGAGATTGTGCCACTGCACTCCAGCCTGGGTGACAGAGCGAGACCCCGTTTCCAAAAAAAAAAAAGACAAAAAACATGTGCTCTCTTCCACACTGTTTCTAAAATTCCCAGGTCATTCTAACGTACCCCCATGGTTTCTCAAATTCTGTTGTGCACACAAATCATCTGGGTCTTAATGCAGGTCCTGATTCTGTAGGTCTTGATTGAGGCTGAAGAATCCATGGTTCTAGCGTGCTCCCAGGTGATACTGATGCTGTGGTCTGCAGACCGCACTTTAAGAGGCAAGGACAATCTACAAGTAGGCCTCATTTAGAGCTGTGCAAAACTAATACCTTGTATTAATATTTTTTAGTGATACATTTCCTAAAGCTACTAAGCTGAAATTTTCAGGTCTGGGAAGGAAAATACAGGTGACTGTAAATAGGCATTAAGTATATGTTTGGTAAATGCGTTTTATTCTAATTACAAAAGAAAAATCTCAGCCAGGCACAGTGGCTCACACCTGTAATCCCAGTACTTTGGGAGGCTGAGGTGACAGGATCACTTGAGCCCAGGAGTTGGATACCAGCTGTATTAGTTAGGGTTCCCTAGAGGGACAGAACTAATAGGATATAGATATATATGGGGAGTCTATTAAGTATTAACTCATATGATCACAAGGTCCCACAATAGGCCATCTGTAGGCTGAGGAGCAAGGAGAGCCAGTCAGAGTTCCAAAACTGAAGAACTTGGAGTCTGATGTTAAAGGGCAGGAAGCATCCAGCATGGGAGAAAGATGTAGGTTGGAAGGTTAGGGCAATCTCTCTTTTCACATTTTTCTGCCTGCTTATATTGTAGCCATGCTGGCAGCTGATCAGATGCTGCCTACCCAGATTGAGGGTGGGTCTGCCTTCCCAGTCCACTCACTCAAATGTTAATCTACTTTGGCAACACCCTCACAGACATACCCAGGATCAATACTTTGTATCCTTCAATCCAATCAAGTTGACACACAGTATTAACCATCACACTAGCCTAATCGACAAAGCAAGACTCTGTCTCAAAAAAATAAAAATAAAGAAAAATCTCAATGCAGAAAAAAAACTAGTATTTTCACCATCTAGAGATATATACTTGTAAAATATTAGTGTGTCTTTCCATTGCTTTTTAAATTTGTTTTAAATCGTATAATCCTGTTCATACTGTTCTGTGGTCTGCTTTTTTAAAAATTGGGATTTTTCAGTGTCAGTGAATGCTTTATACAACATTTTTTTGGTGGAATCTTATTCTATTTTATAGATCAAGGGTTTCCCTAAGATGCCAAGGGTTCACAAGGTCAAAACTATTTCTTAATACTAAGACATTATTTCCCATTTTGTTCTTAATTTTGGGTTTGCTGATGTGGTGATGTCATCACTCTGACAGCTACATGATGTGATGTCATCACTCTGACAACTAATGGAATGTGTGCTTGTGTATTTCTGTGTCTTAAACTTTTCTCCCTTTTCATTTCTAATATGATAAATATTCACATAGATAACCCACATAAACCAAAGCTCTTCAGGGGGCTCAAACATTCTTAAAAGTGTAATGGAGTCTTGAGACCACAAAGTTTGAGAGCTGCTGGTATAGATAAACCACTATTTTACTAGCCAATTCATCACTGAAATGGTTTGGCTCTGTGTCCCTACCCAAATCTCATCTCGAATTGTAATCCCCACATGTTAGGGGAGGGATCTAACCTAACCCCTAATCACCTAACACCATGATTGGATCATGGGGGTGGTTTCCCCATGCTGTTCTCGTGATAGTGAGTGAGTTCTCACAAGATCTGATGGCTTAAAACTGTGGCACTTCTCCCCTCACTTGCTCTCTCTCCTGCTGCCTTGTGAAGAAGTTGTTGCTTCTCGTTTGTCTTCTGCCACCATTGTAAGTTTCCTGAGGCTTCCCCAGCCATGTGGAACTGTGAGTCAATTAAACCTCTTTTCTTTATAGATTACCCAGTCTCAGGTAGTTCTTTATAGCAGTGTGAGAATGGACTAATACAATTACTATTAGAAATTTGGGCTGTCTTGAATTAAATACAGTTGCAATGACCTTTTTTTAAAAAATTTAAGTTCTGGAGTACATGTGCGGAACGTGCAGGTTTGTTACATAGGTATACACATGCCATGGTGGTTTGCTGCACCCATCAACCTGTCATTTACATTAGGTATTACTCCTAATGCTACCCCTCCCTAACCCCCGACAGGTCCTGGTGTGTGATGTTCCCCTTACTGTGACCCTGTGTTCTCATTGTTCAACTCACACTTATGAGTGAGAACATGCAGTGTTTGGTTTTCTGTTCTTGTGTTAGTTTGCTGAGAATGATGGTTTCCAGCTTCATCCATGTCCCTGCAAAGGACATGAACTCATCCTTTTTTATGGCTGCATAGTATTCCATGGTATATATGTGCCACATTTGCTTAATCCATTCTATCATTGATGGGCATTTGGGTTGGTTCCAAGACTTTGCTGTTGTGTACAGTGCCTCAAACATACATGTGCATGTATCTTTATAGTAGAATGATTTATAATCCTCTGGGTATATACCTGATAATGGGATTGCTGGGTCAAATGGTATTTCTAGTTCTAGATACTTGAGGAATTGCCACACTGTCTTCCCCAGTGGTTGAACTAATTTACAATCCCACCAACAGTGTAAAAGCATTCCTATTTCTCCACATCCTCTCTAGCATCTGTTGTTTCCTGACTTTTAATGATAGTCATTCTAACTAGCGTGAGATGGTATCTCATTGTGGTTTTGATTTGCATTTCTCTAATGACTAGTGAGGATGAGCTTTTTTTCCTATGTTTCTTGGCCACATAAATGTCTTCATTTGAGAAGTGTCTGTTCATATCCTTTGCCCACTTTTTGATTGGGTTGTTTTTTTCTTGTAAATTTAAATTCTTTGTAGATTCTGGATATTAGCCCTTTGTCAGATGGATAGAATGCAAAAATTTTATCCCATTCTGTAGGTTGCCTGTTCACTCTGATGCTAGTTTCTTTTGCTGTGCAGAAGCTCTTTAGTTTAATTAGATCCCATTTGTCAATTTTGGCTTTCATTGCCATTGCTTTTGATGTTTTAGTCATGAAGTCTTTGCCCATGGCTATGTCCTGAATGGTATTGCCTAGGTTTTCTTCTAGGGTTTTTATGGTTTTAGGTCTTACGTTTAAGTCTTTAGTCCATCTTGAGTTAATTTTTGTATAAGGTGTAAGGAAGGGATCCAGTCTCAGCTTTCTGCATATGGCTAGCCAGTTTTCCCAACACCATTTATTAAATAGGAAATCCTTGCAATGACCTTTCTTATGCATTTCCTATACTTTGCACATAACTCTAGTTATTTCCTTAAGATAGATTGTTAATAATGGAATAACTGGATCAAAGGATTAAAAACATTTAATTTGTGATACCTAGAGTTAAGCCTTATTTAAAGCTGTGCAAAATTAATACTTTATCATTGATACTTAGGTTTTAAATTGAAAATTGTTAATTTTGAGTCAAGATTTGCGCCTAGATTAAAAGAGGAAAAAATGTCATTAATGTCTTTTATCTGTTCCAGATTACCATTTCTGTTAACTTAATACGATATTAAAATGCCAGTTAAAGAAGCCAAAAGTATAGTGATGGAGGTATTTAATCGCCACTGAGACATTTAGAGCAAGGAAGTACCTGTACCCCAAACCTCCCCCAAAATAACTTGATTAGAGGGAATGAAATAAGAAAATGACTCTCAGCTGGGCGCGGTGGCTCAGGCCTGCAATCCCAGCACTTTGGGAGGCCAAGGCAGGTGGATCATGAGGTCAGGAGTTCAAGACCAGCCTGGCCAACATGGTGAATCCCTGTCTGTACTAAAGATACAAAAAATTAGCCAGGCATGGTGGCGTGTACCTGTAGTCCCAGCTACTCAGGAGGCTGAGGCAGGAGAATCGCTTGAACCTGGGAGGCAGAGGCTGCAGTGAGCTGAGATCACGCCATTGCACTCCAGCCTGGGCAACAGAGCAAGACTCCATCTCAAAAAAAAGAAAATGACTCTAAAGGGTATGTCATGGCTTTTTAGAAAAGATCATCTCAAGACTCTGGCTGCAGGTTCTAATTTAATTTCTACTGATATTTTATTCTGCTTTTTTGAACAATTGCTAGCACTGACTCTCAACACAGGGGTCTCTTGAGCCTCATGTATAGCAAACATTCTACTAAGTTCTAGGGTGGGAAAGGGAGGTATTAAATAAGAAGAGACAGAGACCACTCATTTATCTGCAGTGCAGAGGATGCTTTGACAGGTGTTGATTCCATTATTGACTCTGTCATGAAAGGAATTAAAGTCAACGGACTGTACATTTGAATGTATGCCTTATTTGGTATCTATGAAGGCTCTAGGAGGTTGTTCACTCACTAAGCCTGAAGAATATTGCACAGACTTTACACAGGGAAAAAGCTCCTTTGGTAGCTTTAAGAAAAAAGGAAACCCATTTGTGGTATATGAGGTGAGTATCCCTAATCCAAAACTCCAAATGCTCCAAAATCCAAACCTTTTTGAGTGCTGATAATGATGCTCAAAGGAAATGCTCATTAGAGATGTCAGATTTTGGATTTTCAGATTATGAATGCTCAACGAAATGGCAAGAATAATGCAAATGTTTTTGATCCTTCAATAATGCAGAAGGTAAAGATGCCAACCTCCTTTTTAGTCAAAATGCCTGTATAACTTTAGACTTCCCCAAAACTTAATTACTGTTGACCAGAAGCCTTACCTATAACAGTCAATTAACACACATTTCATGTGATATATATATTTATATATTTATAACATACTACATCTTACAAGGGAGGGCACCAAGGATGGGAAAGATAAAGTAACTTGTCTAAGGCCATGAAGTAAGCAGCAGCCAAGCTCTAAGTGTCACTCAGGTCTAACTGGCACACAGATTAGTCTGAGACTTTCTTAGGACCAGAACTGTTTTGGATTGTTTTGAATTTTGGATTACAGCTGACCCTTGAACAACATGGGTTTGAAGTGAATGAGTCCACGTGTACATGGATTTTCTTTCTTCTCTGCCATCCCTGAAACAGCAAGATCAATTCTTCCTCTTTCTTCCCTTCCTCAGCTTCCTCTACATGAATATGAGGAGGATGAAGACTGAGGAGGGGCAGAAAGAGGAAGAATTGATCTTGCTGTTTCAGGGATGGCAGAGAAGAAAGAAAATCCATGTACCCATGGACTCATTCACTTCAAACCCATGTTGTTCAAGGGTCAGCTGTATTCCAAAATTCAAAACAATCCAAAACAGTTCGGGTCGTAAGAAAGTCTCAGACTAGTCTGTGTGCCAGTTAGACCTGAGTGACACTTAGAGCTTATCCATTGCTTACTTCATGGCCTTAGACAACTTATCTTTCCCATCCTTGATGCCTTCCCTTATAAGATGTAGTGTGTTATAAGCTAGAGATAGTAATATCTATATCATAGGGGTGTTGCTAAGATTAAAAGGGTTGAAATGCTTTTCTCTAAATCTCATTTATTCCTCAGATCTCACCTGAAATGACTTTGAGGGAGGTCCTCTCAGAACTTGGCCCCTCTCCACCCCACTAAGATGTGTTCCTGCAACTTTCTCTTTAGAAGAACTCATCACACCTAAACTAACTCGAATGGCATCTTTTCTGTTAAAATGCAAGCTCCATGGAATTGGCCTGTATTGTTAACCTCTATGTCTCTAGCACCCAGATGTTTGGTAGCGCTATGGACTGAATGTTTGTGTCCTCCCTAAAATCATATGTTGAAGCCCCAGTCCCTAATGTGATGGTATTTGGAGGTGGAACCTTTGGGATGTAATTAGGATTAGAGGAAGTAATGAGGGTAGAGCCCTCATGATGGGATCTCTCTCTCTCTCTCCTCTCTCTCTCTCCTCTCTCTCTTCTCTCTCTCCTCTTGATGTACCCACCAAGGAGGCCATTGAGGTCATAACCAGGAAGAGGGGCCTCATGAAAAACCCAACAATGCTGGCTCCCTAATCTTGGACTTCCCAGCCTCCAGAACCATGAGAAATGTTTCTTTAACCCACCCAGTCTATGGTAATTTGTTATAGCAGCCTGAACTAAGACAGCTAGGCTGTTTCTTTGAGCATGTTACAAGATATTGAGCATAACTTTGTTTTAGATAGCGAGCATATGCTCACCTAAAAGACAGACTTCTATTTTGTAAAATATAACTATTTCTGGCCAAACATGGTGGCTCACGCCTGCAATCCCAGCAGTTTGGGAGGCCGAGGCAGGCGGATCACGAGGTAGGAGATCGAGACCATCCTGGCCAACATGGTGAAACCCTATCTCTGTAAAACATACAAAAATTAGCTGGGCGTGGTGGCACATGCCTGTAGTCCCAGCTACTCGGGGGGCTGAGGCAGGAGAATTGCTTGAGCCCGGGAGGCGGAGGTTGTAGTGAGCCAAGATTGCGCCACTGCACTCCAGCCTGTTGACAGAGTGAGACTCTGGCTCAAAAAAAAAAAAAAAAAAAAGTAACTATTTCTACCTGCCTGTAAGATGTTTTAGATGTGTGTGCATGTGTGTGTGTGTGTTTTTTTTTCTTTTTTTTTTGTTGTTGTTGTTTTGTTTGTTTGTTTTTTTGAGATGGAATCTTGCCCTGTCACCCAGGCTGGAGTGCAGTGGCATGATTTCAGCTCACTGCAACCTCTGCCTCCCAGGTTCAAGCAATTCTCATGCCTCAGCCTCCTGAGTAGCTGGGATTACAAGCGTGTGCCACCACACCCAGCTAACTTTTGTATTTTTAGTAGAGAAGGGGTTTCACCATGTTGGCCAGGCTGGTCTCAAACTCCTGATCACCTCGGCCTCCCAAAGTGCTGGGATTACAGGGGTGAGCCACTGTGCCTGGCCGCCAAGATGTATTTTTTAAAGCTGAACTGAGCCTGGCATCTGTCAGTCAACACTGCATGAGCTCAGGCCTACATCCTGAGTACAGCAAATGTATTAACCCTCTGATCTGGTTTGGATTTGTGTCCCCACCCAAACCTCATGTCGAATTGGAGGAGGGACGTGGCAGGGGCTGATTGGATCATGGGGGCAGATTTCCCCCTTGCTGTTCCCGTGATAGTTCTCATGATGGTTTAAAAGTGTGTGGCACTTGCCCCTTACCTCTCTTTCTCTCTCCTGCCACCATGTGAAGAAGGTGCTCACATCCCCTTCACCTTCTGTCATGATTGTAAGTTTCCGGAGGCCTCCCAGTCATTCTTCCTGTGCAGCCTGTAGAACTGCAAGTCAGTTAAACCTCATTTCTTCATAAATTACCCAGTCTCAGGTAGTTATTTAAAGCAGTGTGAAGACAGACTAATACACCCTCCTAGGGCATCTCCACATTCCTCCACTCCCTAATTATGTTTAAGCATCAAACAGAAAAAACAAATGTGTGTAGAGATTCAACCTTTGAATAAACTATTTTGCTAATAAATTCTGAGTTTCTCCCAGGCTTGAAGGATTCCTTAAATGACCATATTTTGGAATAGCTATGTTACTAGAAGGGGGATCAAGGTTAAGCTGAGAAAACTCTTATGATATTGCCAGTAGAGATTCTTATGAATCTCATTAGTTTAGGTTCGAATGGTAGTAAGAATATGTGTGCTGAACTACATGGCTACCCATCAGGGGCCCTGCAAGGGAAAGGGAGAACAAACTTTTCTTTTTAAAACTTTTATTTTAGGTTTTGGGGTACATGTGAAGGTTTCTTATACAGGTAAACTTGTGTCATGGGTGTTTGTTGTATAGATTATTTTGTCACCCAGGTATTAAACATAGTATGCAATAGTTATTTTTCTGCTTCTTTCCCTCCTCCCACCCTCTACTCTCAAGTAGACCCCAATGTCTATTGTTCCATTCTGTATTCATGAGTTCTCATCATTTACCTCCCACTTATAAGTAAGAACATGTGGTATTTGGTACATACACACCACGAAGTGTGTATGTATTTTTCAGAGAACAACCTTTTGTTCATTTTCAAAAATTTCAGTAGGTTTTTAAGGAAGAGGTGGTGTTTGGTTACATGAATAAGTTATTTAGTGGTGATTTCTGAGATTTTGGTGCACCCATCACCCGAGCAGTGTACACTGTACCCAATGTGTAGTCTTATCTCTCACCCTGTCCCACCTTTTCCCTCCGAGTCCCCAAAGTCCATTGTATTATTCTTATGCCTTTGCATCCTCATAGCTCAGCTTCCACTTATGAATGAGAATATACAATGTTTGGTTTTCCATTCCTGAGTTACTTCACTTAGAATAATGGTCTCCAATTTTATCCAGTTTGCTGCAAATGCCACCATTTCATTCCTTTTTATGGCTGAGTAGTACTTCATGGTGTGTATGTATACATACGTGTGTATATGTGTGTGTGTGTATACACCACATTATCTACTAATTGATGCACATTTGAGCTGGTTCCATATTTTTGCAATTGTGAATTGTGCTGCTATAAACATGCATATGCAAGTATCTTTTTCATATAATGACTTCTTTTCTTCTGGGTAGATGGCTAGATCAAAGGGTAGATCTACTTTTAGTTCTTTAAGGAATCTCCATACTGTTTTCCATAGTGGCACTAGTTTACATTCCCACCAACAGTGTAAAAGTGTTCCCTTTTCATCATATCCATGCCGACATCTATTATTTTTTGATTATGGCCATTCTTGCAGGACTAACATGGTATCGCATTGTGGTTTTGATTTGCATTTCCCTGATCATAGGTGATGAGCATTTTTTCATATGCTTGTTGTCTATTTATATATCATCTTTTGAGAATTGTCTATTCATGTCCTTAGCTCACTTTTTTATCGTTTTTTTTTTTCTTGCTGATTTGTTTGAGTTCCCTGTAGATTCTGGATATTAGTCCTTTGTCAGATATATAAATTATAAAGATTTTCTTCCACTCTGTAGGTCATCTGTTTACTAATTATTTCTTTTACTGTGCAGAAGCTTTTTAGTTTAATGAAGTCCCATCTATTTGTCTCTGTTTTTGTTGCATTTGCTTTTGGGTTCTTGAAGTCTTTGATACATAAGGACTCAAATAAACTTAAGGTAAAGTGGCAGAAAAAGATGTCCCATGCAAATAGACACCAAAAATGAGAAGGAATACCTATACTTATATCACACGAAACAAACTTTAAAGCAACAGCAGTTAAAAAAGACAAAGAGGGACATTATATAATGATAAAAGGACTAGTCCCACAGGAAAATATCACAATCCTAGATATATATTCACCTAAAACCGGAGCTCCCAGATTTAGAAAACAATTTCTATTAGACCTAAGAAATGAGATAGACAGCAGCACAATAATATTGGGGAGCTTCAATACCCCACTGACAGCACTGGACAGGTCATCAAGGCAGAAAGTCAACAAAGAAACAATGGACTTAAACTGTACCCTAGAAGAAACGAACTTAACAGATATTTACAGAACATTCTACCCAACAGCTGCAGAATATACATTCTATTCATCAGCACATGGAACATTCTCTAAGATAGACCATATGACAGGCCACTAAACAAGTCTCAACAAATTTAAGAAAATCAGAATTATAACAAGTACTCTCTCAGACCACAGTAGAATAAAATTGGAAATCAACGCCAAAAGGAACCCTCAAAGCCATGCAAATACATGGGACTTAAATAACCTGCTCCTGAATGACCATTGGGTCAACAATGAAATCAAGATAGAAATTAAAAAATTCTTTGAACTCGGCTGGGTGCAGTGGCTCACGCCTGTAATCCCAGCACTTTGGGAGACTGAGGTGGGCGGATCATGAGGTCAGGAGATCAAGACCATCCTGGCTAACATGGTGAAACCCCGTCTGTACCAAAAATACAAAATATTAGCTGGGTGTGGTGGTGGGTGCCTGTAGTCCCAGCTACTGGGGAGGCTGAGGCAGGAGAATGGTGTGAACCTGGGAGGCAGAGCTTGCAGTGAGCCAAGTTCATGCCACTGCACTCCAGCCTGGGTGACAGAGCGAGACTCCGTCTCAAAAAAAAAAAAAAAATTCTTTGAACTCAATGATAACAGTGACACAACCTATCAAAATCTCTGGGATACAGCAAAGGTGGTGGGTGATAAGAGGAAAGTTCATAGCATTAAATGCCTATGTCAAAAAATCTGAAAGAACACAAATAGAAAATCTAAGGTCACATGTCAAGGAGCTACAGAAACAAGAACAAACCAAACCCCAACTCAGCAGAAGAAAGGAAATAACAAAGAGCGGAACTAAATGAAATTGAAACAAACAAACAAAAAAATACAAAAGGTAAATGAAACAAAAAGCTGATTCTTTGAAAAGATGAATAAAGTTGATAGCCCATTAGTGAAATTAACCATGAAGAGAGAAGATCCAAATAAGCTCAATTAGAAATGAAATGGGAGATGTTATAATCCATACCACAGAAATACAAAAGATAATTCAAGACTACTAAGAACACCTTTATGCACATAAACTAGAAAACCTAAAGGAGATGGGTAAATTCCTGGAAATATACAACTCACCTAGATTAAACCAGGAAGAAATAAAAACTCTGAACAGACCAATAGCAAGCAGCGATAAATGGTAATAAAAAGTTACCAAGAAAAAAAAAAAAGTCCAGGACCATACAGGTTCATAGCTGAATTCTATTAGACATTCAAAGATTTGGTACCAATACTATTGACACTATTCCAAAACACAGAGAAAGAGGGAATCCTCCCTAGGTCATTCTGTGAAGCCAGTATCACCCCAATACCAAAACCAGGAAAGGACATAACAAAAAAGGAAACTACAGACCAATATCCCTGATAAACGTAGATGTAAAAATCCTCAAGAAAATACTAGCTAACCAAATTCAACAGCATATCAGAAAGATAATCCAACATGATCAAGTGGTTTTCATACCAGGGATGTATTCTGCATCCCTGCATACTTAACATATGCAAGTCAAAAAGTGTGATACACCACATAAACAGAATTAAAAACAAAAATCACATGATCATCTCAATAGATGCAGAAGAAGCATTTGACAAAATCCAGCATCCTTTATGATTAAAACCCTCAGCAAAATTGGCATAGAAGGGAAATACCTTAAGGTAATAAAAGCCATCCTGACAAACCCACAGTCAACATTATACTGAATGGGAAGAAGTTGAAAGCATTCCCCCTGAGAACTGGGACAAGACAAGGATGCCTACTTCCAGTACTTCTATTCAACATAGTGCTAGAAATCCTAGCCAGAGCAATTAGGCAAGAGAAAGAAATAAAGGGCATCCAAATTGGTAAAGAGGAAGCCACACTGTTGCTGTTTGCTGGTGACATGATCATATGGAGAGAAAAGCCTTTTCAAGATAGGAGGAAGTCATGCCAGCACATGGAAGGGCTATGAGGTACACATGGGCACTTGGAAAGCTAAGGAGAAAGGCTATGAGCTAACCAAGCACACGACCATCCCCTCTGCCTTCTCTAAGAGCTCAAAGTCTCAGACTATCAGCAAAAGACTTTGGATGTCTGAGAGAACATGCTTTTCATAAGGATGATGGGGGTAGGGGATGGTTGTGTCCGGGGCTATGCCCCATATGCTGGGCATGAGGGTATCCTGATGATTAATCCAGAGGATGTGTCAGGCAGGATTCCAGAAAGTTTAGGGGAGCAGAAAAATCTCTGAACCATCCTGGGATATAATGTCTCCTTTACAGCAACATCTGGGAGCTGGGTGGCTCAGGATATCTGATCTCTTTAAGTATGGTGCTTTACTTGGCAAGTGATTATTAGTCTCTGAGTCAGAACTCAGTGGCCTCAAAAAGGATGGACGTTGAACAAAAATCCTGGGGTATCAATTCAGGAAATGGCTACCTACTTGACCAAACAAGGTGAGGACTCTTGTTGGCCAGGCCACACTCTGAGGACTTTAAGCAAAGTATCATTTCATTGCCCTTGGTTCTAGCTGGCGTTTTTCTACTCTGGCTGCAGATCAGAATCACCTTTGGAGCTTTAAAAAAATTCAGATACCCAGGCCCCAGTTCCAGGGATTTGATTCCCTAAGTGTTGGGAAAAGCACACTTTTTTTTTTTTTTAGACAGGGTCTTGCTCTGTCACCCAGTCTGGAGTACAGTGGCATGACCACGGCTCACTGCAACCTCTGCCTTTCAGGCTCAAACAATCCTCCCACCTCAACCTTTCATATAGCTGCGACTACAGGCACACACCACCATGTCTGACTAATTTAAGCAAACTTTTTAAAAAAATGGATCTATTGTTGGTGTTTCCTGGGGACCCTGAGGCAACACAATGATGTGTGAGTTTAGGAAGTGCCAAAGGGAGCACTGAGGCCTGCGGGGCTCAGTTTGTTTATGGAGCAACCCCTGTACTCATGGCTCAGCTGGAATAAGAACGTGTCCACTTGCCTATCTCCTCCTCAAGATCCTCTAGGCATCTCCAACCAAATGTGTCAAAGCCAACTCATTTTACAGGAACCCACTTTCCTTTCTGTGTTCCTCCTTTTAGTTAACATCACCACCATCTTCTGCCCAGTCACCCAACTCAGATACTTCAGAATGATCTTCTTTTCCAATCTCTAGCTCCATAAAAGTATCCCAGACCCTTCCTCTCTAAAAATCCTAGTTTAGGCATCAACAATTGTGAAGTGTTTGAGATTTTACCCTCCTTGCAAGCTAACAAGTTAGCCTGCCACAGGTACATAGATGCTGAGAGAAGGCCTGAGACTCCTGGGTCAGACTGAAAGGACTTTATTATGCATGCACCCCTGGTAAAATGAATCTCATGTTTGCAGTAGTTTCTCTTGCTTCCCAAGTCCGACAGGGAACAGTGGCCCAGATGGATACTTCACACACAGCAGGTTTATGCCCCAGCGAAGGAACTGAGTTTAGGAAACCCCAGTCTCATAAAGGGGCCTGCAAGTGATCCTGACCAAACTTTGCCCCCGAGGGAGACCTTATCTTGATTTCTGTACAGTAAAAATAAATCTGCCTGTCCCAGGGAGACACTGTCTCTATCTTACAAGGCTATTTGGCATATAAAGATCCTTGAAAAGGTAGTTAAAAAGAAAAAGCTGAAGCTGTCTTTCACAGAGGTATGGAAATACAAGATACCCATCGAGAATTGTCTCTCAACATCAGGAATTCATCACAATTACCTATTAATTTCCTTTCTGCTAGCCTGCCCCACCCCCATTAGCAATAATTCTGATTCTAGAACAAAACATAAAGCAAATATACCCATCTTTTATGTAGAAACCTTGGTTTTTCCGTTATATAATACAAAGTTAAAATGGCTAATGTCTACTCCCTGCTCCTGCCATCTCTTCTGCTCTATTTTCCTAGCCTTTTCTTTTGCTCCCACCCTTCCTTCCTATGTACCCTCTGCCCCAAGATGCCCAGAGCACCCAGAGTCACCTCTACAGAACCCCATAACTCTGTTCATGCCTTGGTTAAAGCCCTTACTTGTTTGCTCAATAATCAGGTTCATGTTTATCTTCTTCCAACACAGTGCCTGACATAGTAAGTGTTTAGTAAATCTTTGGGTAGTGAGGAAGGCTGTTGAGTTAGAGAGTCAGGCTTTTTGGTGTATTTTTGAACTTTGAGGGTTAAAACTGGTAGCCCCAGTTGTTTAAATCCTTTGGATTCTGTTGTCATGAGGTCTGTGGCCATGGCCTTTAAGCAGAACAAATTGTCCTAGGGGAGATTTTGATACATTAACGACTAGCTTCATGAATCAAGATTTCATTCCATTTGAAATAATGGAAAACCCTGCCTGAGGGATTTCAACGTCAGGTGTGTGTCTCCTGCCATCAGCATGAGGGTTCTCAGCATAGGGCCGCTACTCCAGCTTATTGATGCTCCTGTGGACCCAGGCTCTTTGTACCTTTCTGTTCCACTGTCCTTAAGGTACAGGCCTTCATCCTCAGGTTTCTACCTAATCGTTGCTGAAGGGCTGCATATTTGAGGCAAGAAGGAGGGGAAAAAAAGGAAAAGGTGAAGGGACAAAACAGCATTTGCCCAGCAGGTCTTTTCCTTTCTATTTACTAAAGGATGCCATATCTGGGGATTTCTATGGAACTGTAGCACTAGCTTGGAAAGCTGGAAAATGGGACTATTTGAAGCTTGACGTACTAGTCTCTGAACAAAATCGGGGTTCTGTTAATAAGGAGAGCTGGATATTGAAGAAATAATTCATATTTGCCACAAAGACATTTTTTGAACACTTATTGATACTATATTCTTTTTTCAAATATGGTAGGGATGTAAGAGTTCTGGCATGTTTTTGGCTATGGGTTGGCCATCCAGAGCAAACGCAAGGTTTGGCAACTATTCCTCTGCCATTGCCATGCTCTAGCTCCCGGTCTATGTAACCCTTGTTAGCTTAAGGCAAGGAGAATTATCTGGTCTTTCTTTGAGCCCACTGGGGCTTACTCACTCTGGGGTATATAGGGAACATGCTGTTCTTCGGTACATGCTGTCGTTGAAACATTTAGGAGCAGAATGTTTCTTTTCACTGGAATCTTGGCTGGAATGGAGCAGAACTTCTAATTATATGAGTCCTTTAAAATGAGGAGGCTCATTTCTGTGGGGTTGGCTATAAAGAGGAAATTGTGGTTGATCAGGTTAGCCTGGGAGGTTGGCAGGTAGAGTCTGTGTTAGGAATTCTCCAAAGGGAGGCCTCCAAAAGCAGAGCGCAATAAGCCTGGGTGAGCAGGCTTCCATATTATATAAGATCCCCTGACTCATGGGATAAAGATGATGATGAAGATGTCTTTGGCCTGAGGAGAAGGGCTATATTCCTGATCCAGCTAAGGGACTTTCTAAATCCCTGCAGTCCCACAAGCTGCTGCCAGCCCTGTGAGAGGAGAGGGAACAGGAGGGCCAGCACCAGCTCCCTCCTATCAGCAGGATGTGGTGAGTGCAGGCTTGGGCATGGCTTGCAGCTGTTTTCATGTTCCTGCCACTTGTCAGACTGCAGCTGTCACTGACTCTCAGGATGGCAAGTCTTCTCTGGGGGACTAAAGGCAGTGCAAGTTTGCACAGGTCATATAAATGACCTTGGGTCAAATATTTGGATCTTCCTTAAACATGGCCTTTCCCATAGTGCTGTTCTCTGTCCCTAAAAATCCATTTCCCTTTCTCCTGCTCTGGAAGCAGACAGCCTCCATCCACAGGGTCACAGATGCATAGGCTTCCAGGGGCTATGCAGTTTAGGTGAATGGCCAGGTGGGGATCTAATCCAGTAGAGAGACATATCCTGTCCAAAGGGGGCCCCACCCACATGCTCTTCTCCTGAAATGTAGAGTCCCTGGTTTCCAGATCTCCTCATTTTAAAAGAAAAGCCAGAGAAATGGATTTTTATGCAAAATCACTTACATTTTAAATGTTTAAAGCTATTCATTTTTTCTCCTTTTCTTCTTCCTTTTTTTTTTTTTTAAAAAATACCAGGCCGGACGCGGTGACTCACGCCTGTAATCCCAGCACTTTGGGAGGCTGAGGCGGGCGGATCACAAGGTCAGGAGATTGAGACCATCCTGGCTAACACGGTGAAACCATGTCTCTACTAAAAATACAAAAAATTAGCTGGGCGTGGTGGCGGGCACCTGTAGTCCCAGCTACTCAGGAGGCTGAGGCAGGAGAATGGCGTGAACCCGGGAAGCAGAGCTTGCAGCAAGCTGAGATGGCACCACTGCACTCCAGCCTGGGTGACAGAACAAGACTCCATCTCAAAACAAAACAAAACAAAAAACAACAACCATGTGGCCCAAACAACATGTGTGAGGGCCCCTAGTTTGTTTGCCATCCCTAGTCTATAGAGGAAGAAACAGATTGGCCAGGTGATAGAATCATGAAGAGCATGAAGAGTGTTTAATGATGACTCTTGTGGAAGAAGAGGCCCTCCACTCCTTCCCTCCCCTCTCCATGTGAGTGGTGCCTGGAGAGTGTTGATCAGCTTGGAAGAAATCAGAGTGGTGGTTCACAGGTTTGTTTAGAGGCGCAAATATGTTGCTAGCAGTTGATGGCAGTGCTAAGAGGTGATTAGACTCCAATCAGCTAAACATCAGTTCCATAGGTACTTGTAGGTATGCTCTATACCTCTTCTGATACACTCTGAACGCACTCTGATACATTTGGTAATGGGGCGGTGGTAGATGTTGCGTGGGTGTAAGTGATGTAACGCTTGGATGCCCAGGAGGAGGTGCTGTTGTGGGTTCCCTCGGGAGAGTGGGGAGGGCTTGGTTGGAGCAGAGTGTTCAAGAGGTGATGAAAAGTAAGGGTGTATCAGGAAGGGTTGCACAGAGGCTGGGCAGGGCAGCTCTGCCTCACTGAGAAATTTGATCAGGATCTCTGAGGAAGAAAGGATTGGGGCTTTGATTTAAGAATTAGGGGCAGAAAATAGAGGGACTGGCAAGTCAGATAGTTTTTAATTGAGGAACTACCCTAGCATCTGAAAACACACACAACCTAGCATTTGGGGTTTGTTTTTTAAAAGTCAGAATATATCTTGAATGTCTAGATGCAGGAAAAGGTTAAGATTCTGGTACAGCCATATAATTAAAGAACATGGGGGTATGGTGGCTCATGCCTATAATTCCAGCACTTTGGGAGGATCGCTTGAGTCTGGAAATTCAAGGCTAGCCTGGGCAACAAAGCAAGACTTCATCTCTGCAACATTTAAAAAAAAAAATAGCCGGGCATAGTAGTGATGCCTGTGGTCCCAGCTACTAGGGAAGCTGAGGTGTATCAGTTGAGCCCAGCAGGTTGCGGCTGTGGTGAGTCAAGATTGCGCCACTGCACTCCAGCCTGTGCAAGACCTCATCTCAAAACCACAAAGAACACAACAAAGAACAAAAAATAGGCAGCCATTAAAAAAGAGGTTTATAAAAACTTGAGTTGTTAGTAACATGAGAAATTCTTAAGTGGGGGGAAAAAAGGATATAGCTACACATGGCACAATGCTTCAACCATGTAAATACACCCTGGGCAACTGCTGTGGGCAAGCATGCCAGAAGGTCATTCTGAAACTTTGCATCAGACATTAGGCACAGGTATAACAAAGCATGCTTTCTATGAACTAACTGTCAGATCATATTATAACACAAATGCGAGGCCGTTCTCTCATTAACAGGAAATGAATTTTTGTCAGATGGTTTTCTCAGGTCAGTGAACATCTTGTTCTCACTTGTTGTGGCTTAGGGGAAGTCACTGTGTTTCACAATCACGATAGGGTAACAAGAGGACAAGAAATAGGCGAGTGGGAAGCAAAGGAATTAATAGTTATTACTTTGGGATATGATGAATCTACATGGACACTCTGCTGTGTTACTTCCTCTAACTTCTGCTGGGTACTAGGGGATGAGGCTGTGTGGGTGAAAAGAGCAGAATATGATTCATTAACACCTCTTCTACTTTTCTTACCTACACAAAAAAGGAAGTCATGGTAGGAGAAGCATGGTAGAGAGTGGGTTGCATTCTGGAAACTTGAGAAAAGGGAGGGTGGGGCAACGGAACTGTCTACCTACCGATAGTTGGCTTTAGCCGAAATTAGGAACTATTTTGGGTTCCTCCAAAGATGGGTCTGAAGTCAAAGCTCCTCTGGTTAATATTTCCTCACATCATCTTAGAATTGGATTCAATCATCCCTTCCTTCCTAAGTTCTAAGTGTTTTAGGTATCTGTCTGACATGCCTATGCTAGACATCAAGGAACTAAGCACCAAGATGCTGAGCAGAACCTCCCTGAAGGGAGGTCAAGGTCAGAGGTGCTGACCTTCTCTGGTCCTCCTGCTAGTGGACCAGAGAAGACCACCAGACCAAGAGAGCAAAGGTCAGAAGAACCGCAGGCAGCAGTACCTACCTGGCTTGTTTTGTTTGATAATTTGGTTCCAATATATAAAAATGAATTGTCATCATATTAAGTTCCTGTCTAGTGTTATAAATAGGAGACAGATGTGTATTGTCCATTTTCAAAGTGTTAGGGAGAATCTCTGTGGCTACAGCTAAAAAGCTCAATTTCATTAAAAATTTTATTTTTATTTTGGGACAGACTCTCACTCTGTCATCCAGGTTGGAGTGCAGTGGCACGATCTCGGCTCACTGCAACCTCTGCTTTCCAGGTTCAAGGGATTCTCCTGTCCCAGCCTCCTAAGTAGCTGGGATTACAGGTGTGCACCCTGATGCCTGGTTAATTTTTGTATTTTTAGTGGAGACAGGGTTTCACCATGTTGACCAGGCTGGTCTTGAACTCCTGACCTCAAGTGACCTACACGCCTCAGCCTCCCAAAGTGTTGGGATTACAGGTGTGAGCCATTTTGTTTCTACATTACAAACTATTAATAGGCATACTGTCTGCTGTTTGGGGGTTGTTTTTTGAATCCTTTTAGTTGGGAATCCTGCAGCAGTGAGAGAGGAGTATATAGGTTAGGCCCTAAGATATCACAATTCCATCTCACCTTGTCTTGAACGTCTAAAAGTTCAATTGTCATGAAAATCCTAAGGGAAGTAGGGATTATTAAACTTGTCATATTGAGAAATCAGGCCCAAAGAGTTTAAGTAACTTGGCTATGGTCACACAGCTAGTATGTAACAGACCCAGGATATGACTATAGATTAGACAGCATCCAAAGACCACACTCTTTGCACTGTATCACCCTTTTAAAGTACATAACTTGAGTCAGACACACCTATAAAACATACGCCTGTAATCCCAACACTTTGGGAGGCCGAGGCGGGTGGATCACTTGAGGTCAGGAGTTCAAGACCAGCCTGGTCAACATGGTAAAACCCTGTCTCCACTAAAAATACAAAAATTAACCAGGCGTCAGAGCACATGCCTGTAATCCCAGCTACTTGGGAGGCTGGGACAGGAGAATCACTTGAACCTGGAAAGCGGAGGTTGCAGTGAGCAAGATCGTGCCACTGCACTCCAGCCTGGACGACAGAGTGAAGTTACATGGCATATTATTTATATGTATATAGGCAAAGTTAGAGATCACACCTGTGAAAAAAGACCTCAGTTTTCCTGGCTACAGCTATAAAGATTCATCCCAAATATTATTACATGCTTTTTAATAGACACTTGTGTAATACAAATGTTATAGCGTCCTAATGTTAAGTGGCTTTTAAGCTTACTGATTCCAGTAACAGCTGGATACAAAGGGTAATGCTCACCTAAATGTCTTAATGTCTAGATATCCTCACCCAGTATGTTCAAGAGAATTAGATAATAAGCCTCCTAATTATAACAAAGAGCATTTCTTTTTGAATTCTTCACATGTAGCATTTTTCAGAACACTTCAGACTAATGCTTGCATATGAGAACTGCATTCTATTCAAGAAATCATTTTAGATGAAAAAGTTTTCTTCTATGTCTCCATTCTTATCAGACAGTATGCTCAAAACATGTTTTTATCATGGAAAACACTGGGTTATGGGCTAGTGTTTGCTTTGAGCACAATGAGGTTATGGTCTAGGTGGGTGGGCTGGCATGACTCCAAGTTGCTAATGGGGTTGGGGGGAAAGGGGTATATTCTAGTGCATTGCACTCAGGCATCTTCTTTGCTTGTATTCCTGCCCTTTTCATCTATGTTCTAGTACTGGCTCAAGATTGACAGTTAAAGCTTTGTTGTGCTGTTCTTCCCTCCTGTTGTCTCCCTTAGAATGTACTCTTAGTGGGTAGCAAACTAACTTAATAAATAGTGGCCTCTAGGACTAAGATTTAGTAGCAGGAGATAAGCGAGAGTACAGTCTGTAGACTCTCCCATCCACTGCAATGGCACATCAGTGTACCATCTAATTTGGTAGCCCCTGTGATAAGGGCACAGCCTTCTGGTCTTTCCGTACAATGATGAGTACTTTGAATTGCACTTTATTTTGCTGGAGATGGGAGTTCCTAGCATATTAGCAAATTGATGGCTGGCAGCTGGCCTAGATGGTAACTTCTCTCACATTTACGATTTTAGGATGCTTTTGTTAAAATTTTTTCCCTAAAGTCAGACAAACTATCAAATCTCAAACTTTCTATCAGTCAGTCAGTCTATCTTTCTGGAATTAGTTCAGGCAGTCTGGAAACTTCATGGATGCAGGATTCATTCATTCAGTCAACAAATATTTGTTGAACATCAATAGCAAGCCTTATTCTAGGAGCTGGAAATAGAGACAAAATATACAAACAAACCAAATGATGCCATTATAGCTTCATATACTATTTATTAAGTTATTAATATGAACAGATATGCAACATTACAGATGTCTTTCAAAGCCTGTAATAAAATATAGTCCACTATCCAGCCCAGGAGAAAGACAACAAACAGTATCATTCTTATAGTAAGTGTAGCATACGTACTCACAATAGTTCCCTTATTTGGACATCAAAGGGAACAATCAGTCAAGATTCTTTACCTCCATTAGAATTTAACTTTCTTGGATTATAGCTGTTTTAGAGTCAAAAGTCCAACTTAGATTATCCACAGAGATGTGTAGCATCACATGTTGGAGAGGAAGGAGCTACTGTCACCTCCGTGGCAGCCCTTTCTACTGTCTTGCAGTCCTTCTATATCGAAGCCCATCTTGCCTTTTAGGCCAGTAGTGGTCAAATTTGGGTATGGGGAGAAGGCAGGTGGGTCACAGGGAGGTTTTGATTAATTTACAAAGATTGTGTTTCAAAGCTCTAAAAACCCATTTGGTGGTGGCAGTGGCAGTGAAGAGTACACTATATTTCGCCAAGGGGGTCTTCTCATCTCTTGAGTCTTGGCTTTCTCATATCCTTTAAAATTGCTGCAGTTCTCAGTGGGAAAGTGGAGGTGGCAAACTCTAACAGCGATTGGTATGGGGCCATCTGCAGAATGAACTGGACTGGCTACTATGGCTTTTATAACCTGCTTTCCTTTCTTTAGTCTAGACAAGCTTATTTCTTCATCTTTCCACCTACGTCCTGCTAGTTCTAACATAAGATTTAAAAGGACTATGGAAGATAAAACTTCTCACTTTCTAGCTGAATGATGAAAAACAGCAAAAAAAAAAAAAAAAAAAAAAATTCCATTCTTCAATGAACTATACTCAATTTCCTCAGTTGAAAACAAACAAGCGCCAAATGAATTTTAAAGACAAGTGCTGGATAATGCTGATTAACTGGTAGAAGTAGTTCCTGAGTGAAACAGCGTATGTATCAGAATCTAAAATACAAGCAAAACCCGAAATGCTCTGTAATAGGGATTGTAATAGTGATTCTTCAACCCCTTAGTTTCACACTGAAAACTACAAATGTTTTTCAATATCAGGCTATTGATAATAGTCAATTAAATATGGAATCAGAAACCTCAGAAAGTCTTGCCAAGTTTGTGGCAGTTTCAATAGTCTAAAAAGGAAAAAGGAGAAACCAGAAGTTAAAGAGTAAGAGCATTGGAATTTTATTTAACTCTAGGTACCATGGATTTGACATCAGTAGGAAAGACTAATGAATAAGCAGCCATACAACTTTTTTGGTCACTGTGCTTCCCAAGCACCAAAAAATGGAGCTATTTTTCCAATTCAGTTTCATCTTTAATAAGCTAGACAGATCCTGCTGCATTCTTTGTTTCTAGTTTACCAGTACATCATTATGTAGTTTACTGCATGTGTGGAGCAAGTCATTATGTAGTACCAAGTTTACATCATCATAGGACTACAACATGCACATTCTACTTAATGTAGCTCAAGCAACAGGAATACAAGAGAACGGTTATGGGTGGAGACTTGCCTTTGACAAAGTCATGATCACACTAACTATAGGTTTAGAAATCTTATTAGGGAGGTACCTACAGCGGTTCTTCAATTGGTATTAGAACATCACATGCATGCACAAGTGGTATGGTAGAGAATGAAGCGGAAGAAGCCGCTGGATGGAGGACAGAGGGGAAATTAGAGATGGGATGATGCCGTGTATCGGGCAGTTCTCAGCTTTCCACAGTAAGTCTCTGCTCTGTGAGAGAGGCCTGCTGGGCAACACTTTTGTTCTCATGACTGCGAAGTTTGGATACGACATCTAGAAAAGCCAAATCCTGTACTTCCTTGTGTAGACATTCTGGAAGACAAAAAAATAACAGATATGATTCTGTTAGGTTGTTCTAAGTCTATCCAAAACATATACCAAAATGTTTATTTTGACAAGACTAAGCTTATAAAACTAGAAACAATTCTGGAAAAAGACATAGCAGTAGCCTAGCAATGTCTTTCTTAGAAATGTATTATAATTTAAAAAAATCATAAAAACTTTACTTTTTTTTAAATTAAAGGAAAAAATTTTAAAGATGGGGACTTGCTCTGCTGCCCAGGTTTGAGTACAGTGGCATGGTCACAGCTTACTGCAGCCTCAAACTCCTAGCCTCAAGGGATTCATCCTGCTCAGTCTCCCAAGTAGCTGGGATGACAGTCATGAGCCACTGCACAGCTACTTGCCCAATTTTTAAAAAGAAAAACGAGACGTCAAGTTCTACAATGTAAGATTAATTACAATAATGAGTTATAATTAAACACAGCTCACTGTATGATCTCAAGGTTTGGTTACATACAACCCTATCACCAGTTCAAATATGAAGTCCAATGACTTACCAAAAAGCTTAGGATATGTTTCAAATTAATTTTGTGGCAAAAGAAAAGTTTATACTTCATATCCTTCAACAAATTTCTGTGACACTGGACTCCCTTTTAGATTTTTTGTCCTCTTCTTTCTGACTTGCTTTCTCTATTTAACTTCAATTACAAGAAAATATAGGATTCCTGTTAGGACTCTGAGAACTGTTATATGGGATGAGTGAAGTCTAATAAGCTTAATGTAATCAGTACTACTGAAACTGATGTGTTTATTTTGATATGACTGACATAAACCAATGAACCAGTGTTTTTAGTAGTAATAGAAAAATCCATCCTAAAATTCATATGGAATCTCAAGGGACCCTAAATCTCCAAAACAATCTTGAAAATGAACAAAGCTGGAGTTCTCATACTAACTGATATCAAAACTTACTACAAAGCTACAATAATCAAGATAGTGGGGTACTGGTACAAAATCCTACAACTTGGGCCAGGCGTGGTGGCTCACGCCTGTTATCCCAGCACTTTGGGAGGCCAAGGTGGGTGGATCACCTGAGGTCGGGAGTTTGAGACCAGCCTGACCAACATGGAGAAACCCCATCTCTACAGGTGGTGCATGCCTATAATCCCAGCTACTCAGGAGGCTGAGGCAGGAGAATCGCTTGAACCTGGGAGGTGGAAGTTACGGTGAGCCGAGATTGCACCATTGCACTGCAGCCTGGGCAACAAGTGCGAAACTCCGTCTCAAAAAAAACAAAACTCTTACAATTCAACAACAACAACAACAACACCCTTCAATTCTAAAAATGGGCAAAGACTTGAATAGACATTTCTCCAAAGAAGATATACAAATGGCCCACAAACACATAAAAAGATTCCCATCAGTAATCATTAGGGAAACGCAAATAAAAACCACAGTAAGATGCCACCTCACACTCATTAGTTTGGCCATTACTAAAACACAGCAAATATTGGTGAGGATGTTGAGAAATGATAATCCATGTGTACTGCTGGAAGAAATGTACAATGGTCCAGCCACTGTGAAAAAGAGTATGACAGTATTTAATTAGTAAAAACAGTATTTAATAAAAAAATTAAACATTGAATGACCATATGATCTAGTAATTCCACTTCTGAGTATATATCAAAAATAATTAAAAGCAGAGGCTCAGAGATATTTGCATACCAATGTTCACAGCAGCATTATTCACAAAAGCCAAAAGGTGGAAATGGCCCAAATGTCCATGGATTGATGAATGGATAAACAAAATGTGATATATACATATGATGGAAAATTATTCAGCTTTAAAAGGAAATGAAATTCTGACACGCCTACAATGCAGATAAGCCTTAAAGACCTAAGTAAAATAAGCTAGACAAAAAAGGACAGGAGTTTCTTATTCCACATATATGTGGTGACTAGAGTTGTCAGATGATGGAGACACAAAATAAATGGTGATTGCCAGAGGCTGTGGGGAGGGGTAAATGGGGAGTTATTGGTTAATGAGTACAGAGTTTCAGTTTGGGAAAATGAAGGTGGTTCTGGAGATGGATGCTGGTGATGATTGCACAGCAATGTGAATGTCCTTAATGCCATTAAACTGTATACTTAAAAATGGTTAAAACAGTAAATTTTATGTTTTGTATGTTTTACCACAATTCTAAAAATGCTTAAACAAATGGAAGAGACTCAAAGTCTCTGCAAGGAAATAAAAGATATAAAGAAGAAGCAAATGGAAATTTTTAACTAAAATATATAACTGAAATAAAAACAGGTTCAACATCAGAATAGAGGGGACAAGGGAAATAATCAGAGAACTTCCAAGATAAAACAATAGAAATTACTCAGTCTGTACAACAGAAAGAAAATAATCTGTGGGTAAAAAAGAACAAAACCTCAGGGACCTACAAGACTATAATTAAAGATCTCACATTAGTGTCAACAAAGGTCTGGAAAGAGTGGATAGAATGGGGCTGAAAAGTACCTGAAGAAGTAACAGTCAAAACTTCTCAAATTTAGCAAAAGACATAAACCTATCAATTCAAGAAGCTGAGCAAACTCAAACAGGATAAACCCAAAGAAATCCATGCCAAGACACATCATAGTTAAACTTCTGAATACTAAACGCAAAGAAAGTCTTGAGAGACAAAAATGAAACCTTACCTACAGGGGAATAAAACACATAAGAACACAATGGATTTCTCATCAGAAACCAGGGAGGCTAGAAAAAAGTGGCACAATAGTTTTCAAGTAAAGAAAGAAAAGAACTGTGAACCCAGAATCCTATACCCATTTTCTGTCATTTGACAATGTCATTTCCCTTTCATTATGAATGAAAAAAATTTTTTTTGGCTAAAAATCTGTTGCTAGCAGTATGGCTAAAGGAAGTTCTCTAAACAGAAAGGGAATGATTATAACAAAAATAAGAAATCTAAAAATGTGCGTAAATACGATAGACTTCCCTTCTCTTTCAAAGAGTTTTCTGAAATATGTTTGGTGGTTGAAAGAAAAGTTGTAACACTGTCTAACGTGATTCTAAATATATGTAGAAGAAATATTTAAGAATGATATACGTGAGAGGCTGGGCGTGGTGGCTCACACCTGTAATCCCAGCACTTTGGGAGGCCAAGGCAGGTGGATCACCCTGACGGGTGGTCAGGAGTTCAGTATCAGCCTGGGCAACATAGTGAAACCCCGCCTGTACTAAAAATACAAAAATTAGCCAGGTGTGATGTGGCAGGCATCTGTAATCCCAGCTACTCGGGAGGCTGAGGCATGAGAATCACTTGAACCCTGGAGGAAGAAGTTGCAGTGTGCCAAAATCACGCCACTGCACTCCAGCCTGGGTGACAGAGTAAGACTCTGTCTCAAAAAAAAAAAAAAAAAAAAGATATATATATATATATATATATGGAAGAATAAATGTAAATGATTAAAAAATGTTTAACCCATAGGAAGTCAGAAATAAAGAAGAAATGTGACAAACAGAAAACAAAAATAAGATTGCACACTTAAGCCATATCAGTCATCCATTAAATGTAAATGGTCTAAATACACAAAAGGGACTGGTAGAGTAGATTAGAAAATGACAACTTTGTGCTGTATACAGGAAACTCACTTCAAATACAGCAGATTGAAACTAAAAGAGTGAGAAAAGATCATGTGAATGTTATTCAAAAGAAAGTAGGATGGCTTCTTGTAGTGGCACATGAAAGAAAATAAAATAGTAATAATAAAAAAACAAGCAGAAGTAGCTATGTTAAAGTCAGATAAAGTTGACGAGAGCAAAGAAAAATACCAGAGAGAGGTACACTATATAATGATAAAAGGGTCAATCCCTTAAGAAAGCACAGCAATCCTAAAGGTGTAGGTACCTAACAACAGAGCTGAAAATTATGTTAAGCAAAAATTGACAGAACTGAAAGGAGAAATAGGTAAATCTACAGTGGGAGACTTCAACACCCTTCCTCTCGACAATTGACAGAACAATTAACTGCAAAACCAGCAAGAATAAAGGAAACTTGACACTAGTACCAACAGAATCAAATTCACATTTATACAACAGTACCCAATAACTGCATAATACACACTCTTTTCAGGTGTCCATAGAACATATACCAAGATATGCCAATGTCCATAGAAGATATACCAATGATTTGTTGAAAAAAAAAATTTTTTTTTTTTTTTTGAGACAGAGTCTTGTTCTGTTGCCTAGTCTGGAAGTACAGTGGCACAATCTCTCAGCTACAACCTCTGCCTTCCAGGTTCAAGCGATTGTCTTGCCTCAGCCTTCTGAGTAGCTGGGACTACAGGCGTGTGCCACCACTCCCGGCTAATTTTTGTGTTTTTAGTAGAGACAGGGTTTCACCATGTTCGCCAGGCTGGTCTCGAACTCCTGGCCTCAAGTGATCCACCACCTCAGCCTCCCAAAGTGCTGGGAGTACAGGCATGAGCCACCGTGCCTGGCCTCCTAAACAAATTCCTTAGTTAATATTATGGCATACAAAATCAGAACCTGTGCCTGCTATAAAATAACATTTTAGGGTTCATGAGACTTACTGATTTTGCAATACTGAATGTTGTCTAGATTTGCTATATGATACTTTCTATTGTAGTGAGAATCTTTTGGGAATGTCTTCAGTGAAAAGTAATTCTATCTATTATACAGTTGGATGGCTAGAAAATACCAATGTAGTGTATATTTCAAGACAGCTAGAAGAGAAGATTTTCAATGTCATCACCATGAAGAAATGAGTGTTTACAGTAATAGGGGAAAAAAGTTATCTTATAACCTCCATAAACTAATTTCTAACGGCTTTAAAACCCAAAACCATCATTTACTATTACTCTATATTTAATATTTAATGTGAACCATATGTTTATGGACATCAAATGATAGAAGAATACTTACCAGATCCCATAAGAGCACATATCAGGACCATGGAATTATATTTGATTTCAGGAGCACTTCTCTCATCTGCTAGCAGTCTATGTAAAATCTGTACAAGTTTAGCACTTTCTAGATCTTTCTCAGCAGTGCCTACAAATAAAACAAAGTATATCTACTGCGTACGAACCCAGTATCCTCAGGATAAACACTGCTTCATTTTGAAGAAATTGACCATACGAAACCTTCTAAATGGAACTGATAAATAATAATGACCTAGAAAAATAATATTAAATTCAGACCATGTGAAAAGAGTAAATAGAATTAGATTTTAGTAGACACTTCAGGTGTTTAAGCTTACTATTTAATACTAACACATTTCTTTTAATATGAGACAATTAAACTTTTTATTATGGAAAATGTTAAACATATGCAAAATCAGAAAAGATGGTATAATAATATACCTTATGCACTTATCACCTTAAAGAATTATGGCCGATCTCTCTCATTCACCTGCTGTCATCCATCTCAAATTATTTTGGAGCAAATCCTATAAATCACATAATTCCCTCCACAAATAAAAGATAAGGACTCAGTGGAATTTCAATCAAAATCCTAGCAAGATTTTCTGTAGAAAATATACAAGCTTATACTAAAACTTACATGGAAAGCCACAGGCCCTAAAATAGCTAAAACCATCTTGATAAAGAAGAATAAAGTGTGAGGAATTCCTCCATCCAGTATTAAGGCTTACTCTATAGCTACAGTAATCAAGATAGCATATTACTGGTGGCAACATAGGCACTTATGTCAAAGGCACTGAATGGAAGACCCAGAAATAGACTCACACATATATGCTCAACTGACTTTTGACAATGGTACAAAATCAGTGCAGTGGAGGAAAGACAGCTTTTCAACGAAAGGTGCTAGTACAATTAGACATCCATGGGACAAAGAAAATGAACCCTAACCTAAACCTCGTACCTTATACCGATATATATATATATATATATTTTTTTTTTGAGACAGCGTCTGGCTCTGTCGCCCAGGCTGGAGTGCAGTGGCGCGATCTCGGCTCACTGCAAGCTCCGCCTCCTGGGTTCACGCCATTCTCCTGCCTCAGCCTCTCAAGTAGCTGGGACTACAGGAGCCCGCCACCGCTCCCGGCTAATTTTTTGTATTTTTAGTAGAGACGGGGTTTCACTGTGTTAGCCAGGATGGTCTCGATCTCCTGACCTCATGATCCACCCGCCTCGGCCTCCCAAAGTGCTGGGATTACAGGCGTGACTTATACCGATATTAACTCAAAATGGATTACAGACTTAAATGTAAAATATAGAACTACAAAATTTTTAGAATATATAAAGAACTCTCAAAACTCAACAGTCAAAAAAAAAATGGTTAAAAGACAAAAATCAGCATTTCACCAAAGAATATACAGTTGACCCTTGAACAACGTAAGTTTGAACTGTGTGGGTCCAATTATACCTGGATTTTCTTCTCTTCTGCCATCCCTGAGAGAGCAAGCCTAAGCCCCTTCTGTTCTTCCCCTTCCTCAGCCTACTCAGTGTGAAGACAAGGATTCAAGACCTTCTTGATAATCCACTTCTACTTAATAAATAGTAAATATATTTTCTCTTCCCTACAATTTTCTTAACATTTTCTTTTCTCTGGCTTTATTATAAGAATATAGTATATAATTCATATACAAAATATATGTTCACTGACTGTTATTGGTAAGGCTTCCAGTCACCAACAGACCATTCAAGGAGACAGATATCCTATACACCTTGACTTGATCATTACACACTATGCACATAAAAAAATACTCACATGAGTGTTTCCTCTTCCTGGAACTGGGGTTGGAGGGTCCATTCGCCCCAGTGTGAGAATTATGGATCTAAGTTGTCAGTGGGAATTAAGAGGCTATCAGTTAACAGTATTTACCCAAATGGCTTTGAATTGGATAGGACATCCCTACTAAGTGTAAAGTCCTCCTTTGTGTTAAGCAGCCTTAGGCCTTAACCACAGGCCACGTGACTCTATTACACCATCCCTGGCTGACTGTCTTGGGTTGGCTCCAAAGCCATCCAGCTTATGCTATTCATAAACTAGATGTCTACGGATTAGCTTCTCGTGATGAATTCTGCCCAACAGAAATGCTATATTAGGGCCGGGCATGGTGGATCACGCCTGTAATCCCAGCGCTTTGGGAGGGCTGAGGTGGGTGGATCACTTGAGGTCAGGAGTTCAAGACCAGCCTGACCAACATGGTGAAACCCTGTCTCTACAAAACATACAAAAATTAGTCAGGCACAGTGGCATGCACCTGTAATCCCAGCTACTCAGGAGGCTGAGGCACGAGAATTGCTTGAACCCAGGACGCGGACGTTGCAGTGAGCTGAGATTGCGCCACTGCACTCTAGCCTCCTGGGTGACAAAGCAAGACTGTTTCAAAAAAAAAAAAAAAAAAGCTATGTTAAACTGAAACTAATGAAATTATTTAGCCTATTTAGCCTCTGCTTTGGGGGAGTTCTGAATGCAAAACACACAGAAGGGTAACACAGAAGACAAGACATTAGAGTAAGGCAATAGAAGTCACGGTGATGGAGAAGGAGAACAGCAAGAAAGAATCGGTAGTAGAGAGAACCAGCAGAGATGGAAGAGAAAGTATGGGTCACTGGGAGAGTAGCAGACTCTTCATATGCTGTCATATTCTAAATATTGTTTGGTTTCTCTGTGAAGCCTGCTGAAAACGTTTTCTCTATTCTCTAAGTGGCTGTAACTTGAGACATTATTTAAAAGTTAAACTTACCTTAATGCATTGCCCTAAAAATGTTACCAAAAACACAGCCAAAGGGGACAGCTGTAACAATCTATATAGAATGATTTTCCATAGATTCAGAGAACGGTACAGACACTAGCAAAATGCTTCCAGTCAAGGTTCTGTCTGACTTCAACTCCACTTCTATACTTCCTTTCATCCAAGATAAAAATAGAAGAAAATAAGTTTGTCACTGGGGTACTTACCCAATTCTAAAGCTGCTATTAATGCCAAAGCAACAAGAGCTTCATTCTGCATTATTACATGTTCACTAGTTGCCATGGTAACTAGATGCTTGATGCCACCACTCTGCACAATGGTTTTAATTACATCCTACAATAAATAATATCAGAGAATTATAGACTTTAATTTTAAACATAAGGAACATGCATTAAAATCAGTCAACTCATTGTTGAGTGGTTTTGCGACAGTGTCCTGTATGAATCATTTGATTTAATCATAGTTTTTTTCTCCACAGAAGAAAAGGAAAAAGCTTTTAGCTTTAAATACATTCATCAAAAGATGACAACTTAAATTGCCTAAGTAGAAAAGACCACTGCAGTTCATATTAAAAAACAGAAGGCTTAGAAGCTACCAAAGCCAAAGAAGTAAAAATGTCACTGCCTTAAATGTTGACCTACCTTAGGATTGACAAACAAGAATAAAACTTGGAATTTAAAAAAGTTCTCAGCTGGGCACGGTGGCTCAGGACGTTAATCCCAGTGCTCTGACAGGCCAAAACAGGAGGATCGCTTGAGACCAGCCTGGCAACATAGCGAGACCCCATCTCTACAAAAAATAAAAAAATTAGCCAGTCATGGTGGCACACATCTGCAGTCCCAGCTACTCAGGGTGCTGAGGTGGGAGACTGCTTGAGCCAGGGAGCTCAAGGCTGCAGTGAACTATGATCACACCACTGCACTCCAGCCTGGGTGACAGAGTGAGAACCTGCCTCTTAAAAAAAAAAAAGTTGCTTTTAAATTTTCATGATAGTGCCAGGTAGTTGTTCTGCAGATGTTCCAGGTAAAGCTTTTATGAAAAAATTTTAAGTACTTTTTACCCCTTGATTTAATCTTACAAATATGAAAACTGAATTACATGCAAAAAGACTGAGCAGAACTTAAAATTCTCCATCTGCCCTCATTTCTCATGGTGCTTAGAGCTCTGTCTTCTCTCCATGACAGAGGAGACATCAAGCTCTGGATTCAATAAATCCCACTGACTGAGCAAATTACTGAACCTCTCTTACCTCAGTACTATCTCCATGTCACTGGAATGATGTAAGTATATATCTCATAGGTTTTTGTTATTACAAAGTTATTACACAGAAAACATATAAGACCATCTGGCAAAAGTTAGATGAAAAAAAAAATGTTCACCTTTATTTCTAGTACCCTTTTTGGTCTTCATTCCACCAAGGGTTCCGTTGTCTTAGAACTCTTGAACTAAATCTGATTTAGTAGGAGGTCTCAATAATATTTTAAAAATAATTTTCTCTATTTTCAATATTTTTAATAATTTGAAGGTCTGGACATTTTAAAAAGCCTGAGTCAGCTTCAAAATTAATTGTAGTTGGAAATATTTTCCAAATTTGCTAAAATATTTTTAAAGGGTTTGCTTTATGCTTCCATTTCATAAAAATTTTTTGAGAAAACTATTTTTAGAAAGTATCTTTGCTTTGAGCCCAAACTTGTTTAGTGATCAAACTTGCTAAATAGAGTCCAAGAACTAAGTTTTTATGGTAGCTGTGTTCTGGCATCTAATACATTTTTCCCCATCAATCTGTTTTAGAAAGCTTTTTCTAACCTCCCCAATTTACTGTTTACTCAGCAACAGTTTATTTGAAACAGACACAGAATTCTTAGTAAAAAATTTTATAAAAATCACAAAAGAGCTTGAGTAAAGAAGACCATAAGAGATGAACAGATACATATGCAATCATTTAGGGAAGATGTTTGAACTGTCATTTTGTCCTCTATGTTTCTAATCACACTTAAAAGACCAGTGTAGTAGAAGGAAGAGTAGGGAATGAACTAAGGAAATGTGTACATCAGAAATGAACAGTGTCCTCTCTTTGGCCAGGTATACTTTCATCTCACTTTTCCGGAACAGATACCTGAGTCCTTTTTAAAATTTCTGCCCTCTGGGGAACATCACACACTGGGGCCTGTCGTGGGATGGGGGGAGCGGGGAGGGATAGCATTAGGAGAAATACCTAATGTAAATGATGAGTTAATGGGTGCAGCACACCAACACGGCACATGTATACCTATGTAACAAATCTGCACGTTGTGCACATGTACCCTAGAACTTAAAGTATAATTAAAAAAAAAAATTCCTGCCCTCTCACCAACTACTTCAACAAATGTTTATTGAATAGCTATTCTATGAAATCATTTTGCCTTATAGAATATGGGATTAAAAAATAGATAAAACATCGTATTCGTCACATGTGACAGAATAATATTGATGGCAACCCTTTATGGAGCAATAACTATAAGCTGGACATTGTACTGAGTAGCTTATAGATATTAGCAAATTTTTATCCTGCAGAAAATCTCATTAGCTAGATATCATCTCCTGTTCATATAGATGAAGGAACTGAAGCTCAGATGAAGTCATTTGCCCAAGTTCAGACAATAAATAAGTGGTAAAGCCAAGGCTAAAACCTAGGCAGTTTGGCTGATTAGTGGGTCTTTGTTCTTAAAAATTCTGGAGATGCTTTATGCAGTCTGAAACATGTTTTATTTCATAGTTCTATTCTTATAGAAAGCTAAATTTTGGTATATATAAAACCAAGGCAAATTATCCATGCTAACAATTTCATCTATTTAGCATTTAGTCAATTTGCCCTTGATTAGTGAAATCAACCCAGGTTAAGACTGTTGAAAACTGTATCATGTTGATCACAACGGAATATTTTCAGATAGGCTTTGATTTGAGGTAATTTTATAAGATTGCCGGTTGGTATAGCCATTGAGTTGGTGAGCCACTTAACAAAAATTTTCTTTTTCAAGATTGTATCATCAAAGCCTTTTCAGTACGGGATTTAAATAAATGTTTGTTGGATGAATGAGCAAATGACTAAATACATTTGTTTAAACAAGTTTTTAGCCTGGTAACTGATAAAGAATTCTCTACTCTTAAAGGTTAAAGAAAAGTGCTGGCTTTGATAGCAGGGAGTTTTTATATTCCTGGTATAAAGGCAACCTATATTTCTCTTTACATTTTTGATGTCTATAATTGGAAGATTCAGCTAGTTGGTCAGCAGTCCTAGACTAGGGCACTCTTTCAAAGAAAGGTGTGACTTTACCTAAGAGCATCAGCACAGGAATACACTGCAAAGTGCTGAGATGACTAAGCAGCATGAAACCTTGTGAGTCAGTGCAAACTTTTGAAGGGTTGAACTCCAAGACGGAATTCAGGGTGAGGTATGATCTTCAAAGTTTAAGAACAACACAAGGAGAGAGCTGTGATTCACACAGCTGGCTAAGGATCTACAGGAATGTAATACATTTGAACCTGGTGTTTAATTATTTTAAAAACTTATTCTAGAACAGCATTTTTCCAAAGTACGTCCAGTGTAATAACAGATGCCACCTGCAGAAAGGATCCATGGTCAAACAGTTTGGCAATCAGTGGATTCAAATAAAATTAAAGAGGTTTCTTTAGTATTAATGTGTGCTGTGAATCTCAAAGGCAAAGAAAAAAATAATTACTATTTGCATAACTAATCTACCTATGCAACTCTTTCTTTGTAGAAGATTTCTTGGGATTATAATTTGATGAAACAAACTTGAACTGCTGCTCAAAAGCAGTCATGTCTACTGTAACACTGGTTAAGTTAGAAAATAACAGCTCTGACATAGAACTCATGCAATTAACACACTTTATAGTTCTGCTCATTAAAGTGTGAGAATCAAGGCTCCTTGGCTGCTTAGCAGCAGTATACTCTCAATTGTAGGAAAGATATGTAAAGGTATTGAATTGTAATCCTAAAGTTGTAATATGTAACTATAAAGTTACAATCCTATATAATTTCAAGTTGTTTTCTGCTACACACACCCCCATCCACCTTTTCCTAAAAGGGTACCATGCCACAGTTCTCATCATTCAAAGAACCTGCGTGGTGATGGGTATTTGAACTCTTCTTTTCGGGGATGGGCGAGAAGTGGGAGGTTAGATGAGGGAAAGGGGGATCTATGAACAAAATTCACAGAAAAGCCTCAAAATCTTTAAATTTATTAAATATTATAGCATTTAAGTAGTTCTGGCTCCTAAATTCAGATGTTTCTAAGAAGCTGGGATGTATCTTCCTGTGGACATATTTTTGTGTCCATGAATGGTTTGGTTATGTAATTCTGTTAGTTGATACTGAAGATACTAGATTAATCAAGGTTTCCACGAGCCTTACTACTACATGTAACAGGAATTTATCTGAGAGTTCCAAATTCAGATGCCAGGATCATGTCTGTAAATTAGTTAATACAATTATGGTTTGCCAAAACTCTAAACCAAGCGTGTCCAACCTGCAGCCCAGGATGATTTTGAACGTGGCCCAACACAAATTCGTAGCTTTCTTAAAACATTATGAAATTCTTTTGTGATTAAAAAAAATTATTTCCATAGGTTACTGGGGAACAGGTGGTGTTTGGTTACATAAGTAAGTTCTTTAGTGGTGATTTGTGAGATTTTGGTGGACCCATCACCCGAGCAGTATACACTGCACCATATTTGTAGTCTTTTATCCCTCACCCCCTTCCCACCCTTTACCCCTAAGTCCCCAAAGTCTGTTGTGTCATTCTTATGTCTTTGCATCCTGATAGCTTAGCTCCTACTTATAAGTAAGAACATATGATGTTTGGGTTTCCACCCCTGAGTCAGAATAATAGTCTCCAATCTCATCCAGGTTGCTGCGAATGCCATTAATTCATTCCTTTTTATGGCTGAGTAGCATTCCATCATATATATATATACACATCATAGTTTCTTTTCTTTTTTTTTTTTTTTTTGAGACACGTCTTGCACTGTTACCCAGGCTGGAGTGCAGTGGTGCCATCTCGGCTCACTGCAAGCTCCACCTCCCGGGTTCACGCCATCCTCCTGCCTAAGCCTCCAGCGTAGCTGGGACTACAGGCGCCCGCCACCATGCCTGGCTAATTTTTTGTATTTTTAGTAGAGACGAGGTTTCACCATGTTAGCCAGGATGGTCTTGATCTCCTGACTTGGTGATCTGCCTGCCTCGTCCTCCCATAGTGTTGGGATTACAGGCGTGAGCCACCATGCCTGGCCCCATAGTTTCTTTATTCACTCGTTAACTGATGGGCATTGGGTTGGTTCCACATTTTTCCAATTGTGAATTGTGCTGCTATAAACATGTGTGCAAGTATATTTTTTGTATAATGACTTCTTTTCTACTGGGCAGATACCCAGTAGTGGGATTGCTGGATCAAATGGTAAATCTACTTTTAGTTCTTCAAGGAATCTCCACACTGTTTTCCATAGTGGTTGTATTAGTTTACATTCCCACCAGCAGTGTAGAAGTATTCCCTATTCACTGCATCCATGCCAACATCTATTATTTTTTTATTTGATTATGGACATTCTTGCATGGGTAAGGTGTTATGGCATTGTGGTTTTGATGTGCATTTCCCTGATCATTAGTGATGCTGAGCATTTTTTCATAAGTTGGCCATTTGTATATCTTCATTACTGTCTATTCATGTGCTTAGCCTATTTTCTGATGGGATTATTAGTTTTTTTCTTGCTAGTTTGTTTGAGTTTATTGTAGATTCTGGATATTAGTCCTCTGTCAGATGTATAGATTGTGAAGATTTTCTTCCACTCTGTGGGTTGTCTGTTTACTCTGCCGACTGTTCCTTTTGCCATGCAAAAGCTCTTTAGTTTAATTAAGTCCCAGCTATTTACCTTTGTTTTTATTGCATTTGCTTTGGGTTCTTGATCATGAAATCCTTGCCTAAGCCAACATCTAGAAGGGGCTTTTTCTGATATTATCTTCTAGAATTTTTAGTTTCAGGTCTTAGATTTAAGTCCTTGATCCATCTCAAGTTGATTTTTTTTTTGTATTAAGTTGGAAATGAGGCAACAGTTTTATTCTTCCATGCCAATAATCACAGCACCATTTGTTGAATATGGTGCCCTTTCCCCATTTTGTTTTTGTTTGCTTTGTCAAAGATCAGTTGGCTGTAAGTATTTGGGGTTATTACTCGGTTCTCTATTCTGTTCAATTGGTCTGTGTGCCTATTTTTGTACCACTACCATGTTGTTTTGATGACTGTGGCCTTATAGTATACTTTGAAATCAGGTAATGTGATGCCTCCAGATTTGTTTTGTTTAGTCTTGCCTTGGCTATGCAGGCTCTTTCTTGGTTCCATATGAATTTTAGAATTGTTTTTTCTAGTTCTGTGAAGAATGATGGTGGTATTTTAATGGGACCTACATCGAATTTGTAGATTGCTTTTGGCAGTATGGTCATTTTCACAATATTGATTCTACCCATCGGTGAGCATTGGATGTGTTTTCATTTGTGTCATCTATGATTTTCTTTAGCAGTGTTTTGTAGTTTTCCTTGTAAAACTACATCTCCATGGTTAGGAATATTCCTAAGTATTTTATTTTATTTTATTTTTTGCAGCTATTGTAAAAGGGTTGAGTTCTTGATTGGATTCTCAGCTTAGTTGCTCTTGGTGATAGGAGAGCTAATTTGTGTACATTAATTTTGTATCTGGAAACTTTGCTGAATTCTTTTATCAGTTCTAGGAGCTTTTTGGAGGAGTCTTTAGGGTTTTCTAGGTATACAGTCATATCATCAGCAAATAGCAACAGTTTAACTTCCTCTTTACCGATGTGGATGACCTTTATTTCTTTCTCTTGTCTGATTGCTCTGGCTAGGACTTCCAGTCCTGTTGAACAGAAGTGGTGAGAGTGGGCATCCTTATCTTGTTCCAGTTCTCAGAGGGAATGCTTTCAACTTTTTCCCATTCAGTATTATGTTGGATATGAGTTTCTCATAGACGGCTTTTATTATATTGAGGTATGTCACTGGTATGTTAATTTTGCTGAGTTTTAATTATAAAGAGATGCTGGACTTTGTGGAATGCTTTTTCTGCATCTATTGAGATGATCATGTGATTTTTGTTTTAATTCTGTTTATGTGGTGTGTCACATTTATTGACTTGGGTATGTTAAACCATCCCTGCATCCCTGGTATGAAACCCATTTGATCATGGTGAGTTATCTTCTTGATATGTTGTTGGATTTGGTTAGCTAGTATTTTGTTAAGGATTTTTGTATCTATGTTCATCAGGGATTTTGGTCTGTAGTTTTCTTTTTTTGTTATGTCCTTTCCTGGTTTTGGTATTAGGGTGATATTGGCTTCACAGAATGATTTGGGGAGGATTCCCTCTTTCTCTATCTTTTGGAATAGTGTCAATAGGATTGGTACCAATTATTCTTTGAATGTCTGGTGGAATTCAGCTGTGAATCTGTCTGGTCCTGGACTTTTTTTTGTTGGTAATTTTTAAATTACCATTTCAATCTGGTTGCTTGTTATTGGTCTGTTCAGGGTATCTAAATAATTCTTCCTGATTTAAGCTAGCAAGGTTGTATTTTTCCAGGAATTTATCCATCTCCTCTAGGTTTTCTAGTTTTTGCATGTAAAGGTGTTCATAGTAGCTGTGAATGACCTTTTGTATTTCTGTGGTGTCAGTTGTAGTATTTCCCATTTCTTTTCTAAGTGAGCTTATTTGAATTTTCTCTCTTCTTTTCTTGGTTATGGTCTATCAATCTTATTCATCTTCTCAAATAATCAGCTTTTTGTTTCATTTATCTTTTGTATTGTCTTTTTTGTTTCAATTTCATTTAGTTCTGCTCTGATCTTGGTTATTTCCTTTCTTCTGCTGGGTATGGGTTTGGTTTGTTCTTGTTTCTCTAGTTCCTTGAAATGTGACCTTAGATTGTCTCTTTGTGCTCTTTCAGACTTTTTGAAATGCCTATTTCAGGCTATAAACTTTCCTCTTAGCAACGCCTTTGTTGTATCCCAGAGGTATTGATAGGTTGTATCATTTATTGTTCAGTTCAAAGAATTTTTAAATTCCCATCTTGATTTTGTTATTGACCCAGTGATCATTCAGGAGCAGGTTATTTAATTTCCATGTATTTGCATGGCTTTGAAGGTTCCTTTTGGAGTTGATTTCCAGTTTTATTCCACTGTGGTTTGAGAGAGTACTTGCCATAATTTCAATTTTCTTAAAATTTATTGAGGCTTGTTTTGTGGTCTATTATATGGTCTATCTTGGAGAAAAGTTCCATTTGCTAATGAATAGAATGTATATTTTGCAGTTTTGGGTAGAATGTTCTGTAAATATCTGTTAAGTCCATTTGTTCTAGGGTATAGTTTAAATCCATTGTTTCTTTGTTGACTTTCTGTCTTGATAACCTCTTTAATGCTGTCAGTGGAGTATTGAAGTCTCCCACTATTGTGTTACTGTCTATCTTGTTTCTTAGGTCTATTGGCAATTGTTTTATAAATTTGGAAGCTCCAGTGTTTGGTGCATATATATTCAGGATTGTGATATTTTCCTGTTGGACAAGGCCTTTTATCATTATATAATGTCCCTCTGTCTTTTTGAACTGCTGTTTCTTTAAAGTTTGTTTTGCCTGATACAAGATAGCTATTCCTGCTGACTTTTGGTATCCATTTACATAGAATGTCTTTTTCCACCCCTCTACCTTAAGTGAGTCCTTATGTGTTGGGTAAGTCTCTTAAAGGCAGCAGATAGTTAATGAATTCTTATCTATTCTGCAATTCTGTATCTTTTAGTGGAACATTTAGGCCATTTACATTCAATCTTAGTATTGAGATGTGAGGTACTATTCCATTCATCATGCTATCTGTTGCCTGTATACCCCCCACTTTTTTTTTAATTGTATTTTTGTTTTGTAGGTCCTGTGAGATTTATTCTTTAAAGAGGTTCTGTTTTGATGTGTTTCCAGGATTTAAGATTTAGGGCTCCTTTTGGCAGCTCTTGTAGTGCTGGCTTGGTAGTGGTGAATTCTCTCAGTATTTGTTTGTCTGAAACACACTGTATCTTTCCTTCATTTATGAAGCTTAGTTTCACTGGATACAGAATTCTTGGCTGATAATTGCTTTCTTTAAGGAGACTGAAGATAGGGCCCCAATCCTTTCTAGCTTGTAGGGGTTCTGCTGAGAAATCCACTGTTAAGTTGATAGGTTTTCCTTTATAGGTTACCTCGTGCTTTTGCTTCACAGCTCTGAAGATTCTTTCCTTTGTCTTAACTTTAGATAACCTGATGACAATATGCCTAGGCAATGATCTTTTTGCAATGAATTTCCCAGGTATTCTTTGAGCTTCTTGTATTTGGACGTCTAGGTCTCTAGCAAGACTGGAGAAGTCTTCCTTGATTATTCTCCCAAATATGTTTTCCAAAAGTTTTCTTTGTTTTTTTTTTTTTTTTGGAGACAGAGTCTTGGGAGTCTTGCTCTGTCACCCAGGATGGAGTGCAGTGGCACGATCTTGGCTCACTGCAACCTCCGCTTCCCAGGTTCAAGCAATTCTCCTGCCTCAGCCTCCCCAGTAGCTGGGATTACAGGCGCACGCCACCATGCCTGGCTAATTTTTGCATTTTTAGTAGAGATGGGGTTTCACCATGTTGGCCAGGCTGGTCTGGAACTCCTGACCACAATGATCCACCTACCTTGGCCTCCCAAAGTACTGGGATTACAGGCGTGAGCCACCGCACTCAGCTGGTTTTCTAAACTTTTAGATTTCTCTTCTTCTTCAAATGCCACAGGTGTTTGAGTTTTTTTTGTGATTTTTGTTTTTTTAAGCTCATCAGCTATTGTTAGTGTTAGTGCATTTTATGTGTGGCCCAAGACAATTCGTTTTCCAATATGGCCCAGGGAAATCCAAATGATTGTATACCCCTGCAAACCAATGGTGGAGATTCTCTTGGAGTAGAGCAAAAAGATTAAGGGTAATGACTCCAAAGAGCATGGGCGAGTGGGCAAGTTTAGGGAGTGTTAGCTGCACCTCTTCCTATAGTGTTTTATTTTGTTGAATGGCATGATAACCCAATCTGGTGGTAAACCCCAAACTTGGAATTAGCTCTAAAACTACCTCCTCCTTTAATTCTACTGTTGAATCTGTCAATTCTACCACCCATATTTTTCTCAGGTCTGTCTCTTCTTTTCCATCCTCGCTGCTTCTAGTTGAATAACCCATATGAAATTTGTTTCAAAAATGGCTGAATATCAGCAATTTCAAATTGCTCAACTCAAAACCTTAATTCAGTCCTTTATCAACTCTCATATATATTTTTGCAATAACTGTCCTTTCTACCCCCATTAAACCCTAGAGACATCTTTCTAAATGAAAACTAAATGGCTGGGTGTGGTGGCTCACGCTTGTAATCCCAACACTTTGGGAGGCCGAGGTAGGCGGATCACCTGAGGTCGGCAGTTTGAGACCAGCCTGACCAAAATGGAGAAACCCCGTCTCTACTAAAAATACAAAATTAGCCGGGCATGGTGGTGCACGCCTGTGATCCTAGCTACTCAGGAGGCTGAGGCAGGAGAATCACTTGATCCCGGGAGGCGGAGGTTACAGTGAGTGGAGATCGCACCATTGCATTCCAGCCCGGGCAACAAGAGCGAAACTCTGTCTCAAAAAAACCCCGAAAAAACAAAAAAACAAAAAATAAAGAAAACAAAAAAACCCTCAAATAATGGCAACTTGCTGCTTAAAACCCTTTAAGTGCTCCCGAATTCTCTACAGAATCAAGTCCATATATCTTAACTTGGTATATAATTCACTTAATTCCCAGTTTTCAACCTCTCTGGCTACTGTCTCTTTCTACACTCTGTGTTCTAGCAATACTGCTTTATTTGCAGTTTCTTTAAAAAATTATGCTGTTTTACATCTCTGTGCTTTTGTACATCCTGCTGTCTTTGCCTGAAAAGGCCCTTTCCTTCATTCTCTTTCCCTTTCCTCCTGAGATTCCTAGTTAACGCCTAAAATAGCACTCCTTCTATGGCACCATCCCAGATTACCCAGACAGTGTGTTAGTCTTTCTTTCCTCTGTTACACCCGAATAGCATACGTAGCTTTAAAGCTGTACTTAAGCTAGCTGTTTTTATTTCTGTCCCCTCAACGGATAGTTAATTCCTTTATAGAAACACTATTTTTTAGTATTTACACTGCAAGAACTCAAATATTAACTGTTAAATGAACAAATGGGCGTGAGAGAGCAGTTATGATGGAGAAGGGGTCAAAGGGGTACCAAGGAAGCCATTTTGCTATTCTCTCCTGACAACTTCCACCTTGCCAACATACTGCTTGGTCCTGTGTCAGGAAAAATGTATGAGCTTTTAGGGTGGTCTGGGTGAGACAGGTAATAGGAAGGTCCTAGTTAACAGCTGCTTTTCCCCAGGGAAAGTTCTCAAGATTTAGCATCTGATGGAGAAGAACACTCCTGAGGCTTACCAGCTGGGACAGCTATTATGGTGAAGCCAATTATTTATATGAAAGAGATTTATACAAGAACAGCTTTAGTTTTACGTTTTTTCTCTTGGCATCTTCTTCTTATCTGTTCTAAAAATAAATGAAAACAGCTGGTGGATTTGAGTTCTAAACTTTCTCCTCATATATAATCACTACTGAAGTTGTACAAGAGAAATGACTGAAAGGGTCACCTTAGAAAACAGTATTAAAGGCTGGGCATGGTGGCTCATGCCTGTAATCCCAGCACTTTGGGAGGCCAAGGTGGGAGGATCATGAGGTCAGGAGTTTGAGGCCAGCCTGGCCAACATGGTGAAACCCCATCTCTACTAAAAATACAAAAATTAGCCGAGTGTGGTGGCGCCTGCCTGTAATCCCAGCTACTCTGGAGGCTGAGGCAGGAGAATTGCTTGAACCCAGGAGGTGGAGGTTGCAATGAGCTGAGATTGTGCCACTGTACTCCAGCCTGAGCGAGAGAGCAAGACTCAGTCTCAAAAAAGAAAAAGAAAACAGTATTTTATTTTATTTTGAGACGGAGTCTTGCTCTGTCACCCAGGCTGGAGTGCAGTGGTGCAATCTCGGCTCTCTGCAAGCTCCGCCTCCCGGGTTCACGCCATTCTCCTGCCTCAGCCTCCCGAGTAGCTGGGACTACAGGTGCCCGCCACCACGCCCAGCTAATTTTTTTTTGTATTTTTAGTAGACCCGGGGTTTCACTATGTTATCCAGGATGGTCTTGATCTCCTGACCTCATGATCTGCCCACCTCAGTCTCCCAAAGTGCTGGGATTACAGGTGTCAGCCACCACGCCCAACAAGAAAACAGTATTTAAAAAATTTAAAAATCATATAATCTAGATACTAAATCAGCTGCTGAACTGCTGGCCTGGGTACTCACTATTGTGATCTTTAAAATAGCTCATTTGTTCATTTATTGGTTATCTACCATGTGCCAGACAGCGGCACAGCCAGCCACAAGAATGGATTTTTTTCTAACTCTGTGAGCTCTGGACATCATATACTATCTAGGTACCATTTAATTTCTAAATATCAGTAGGCTGCATGGTCAATGCCTGGCACAAAGAATGTTTGACACTGATGCTGATAACGGTGGTGGTAAAAGTAATAACAACAATAGCAGCAGCAACAACAGCAACCCCCATTTACCGAGTGTTTCCTATATCCCATGTATCAGCTAAGCACATTATATACATGATCTCACTGAATCTTCACAATACTTTCAGGTAAATATTATCCCAGTTGTTAGGACCTACAATGCTGGGTTTCTGAAAAAGACACTCTGAAGTTTTCTAGTGAACAGTTTCCTCTGGAACTTACTTTTGATTTACTGTGTCGTATAAGGGCAGACAGCAGTCTGTTTGACTCCCCCATCACACCAGCATGATCTTTGGCTTCACACCATTCCACCAAACGCTCCACTAACTTAACATTCTTTCCCAATTGTTCAGCAGCTTCTGCTATAGGAAAGAAGGCAAACCAAGGAATGAATCACTAACAGACAATCAGTTGAAATAATTCGTACAGATTTGAGAGTGTGAAGGACGTCTAAAAAAACACAGCACGACAATTTCATTAAAGCTAGAACTGCAAATATTCCTTATGTGATGGGCTATTTGCCTTCTTCTGTAACACTGTGAAATTTTATAGAAAATACAACAACAAATGACTTCATACTCTTTTGGTTAAGCCTGCTAGTCTGTTAGTGCTCTGGCGGACTATAATGCAGGGTTCTTAGAAAGACTCTATGCAATCAATATAGAAAAGGGTTTAAAATTTAGAAATAAGTAAATAAACATAATTCATTCCTAGGAGTGGTTCTGACTGCTGTTTCTGCAAACAGAAAAATGCTCTCCCTGTCTGGAAGACAAATTTAAAAAATTTTTGACTGTCACAATAATGAAATTTGATTTCAAAGCCAAGGTAAAAATGGGTATAGAATGCCAAAACACAACACCCCCTGCCGAAACTGATGAATAAAGCAACCTAAAACCAGGACTATAAGTACTAATAAGGAGAGATATGGTATAATTTCTATTTAAAGTCAATTATAGGCTGGACATGGTGGCTCACACCTGTAATCCCAGCACTTTGGGAGGCTGAAGTGGGTGGATCGCTTGAGGCCAGGAGTTCAAGAGCAGCCTGAGCAACAAGCCCCATGTCTAGTGAAATTCCAAAACAATTAGCCAGGAGTTGTGGAGCATGCCTGTAATCCTAGCTACTCAGGAGGCTGAGGCAGGAAAATTGCTTGAACCCAGGAGGCGGAAGTTGCGGTGAGCTGAGGTCGCACCACTGCACTCCAGCCTGGGTGACAGAACAAGACTCTGTCTCAAAAATAAATAAATAAACAAATAAATAAATAAATAAATAAATAAATAATATGTATAAATAAATAATTATAACAAGCATAAAAATTAACAAATGGAGTTCCAAAACCAACTTTTAAATCTTTTATTTGCTATTTTTTATGATTACATAATCCTAAAAGCTAAAAACAAGTCCTTTTTCAACTAGAGGCACATTAAGACTATCATATGAAAAATGCAAGTTGGGGAAAACATTTCTTTTACCTTGTGCATCTATTAACATTCTTAATGTTCCCAGAAGTTTGAACTGAACAGGAGGCATTTCAGATTTAAGAAATTTCAAAACTGCCTCTGTGACCCCAGCTGATAACATCTTTGCTTTATTTATAACTGGAGAAAAAGAGAGACTATGGTTAAAATGGTATTAGCATTCCTGTTGATAAACATTCAATTCAATACAGGTTTATTAAGTATCTTTAAGATCCATGTTTTATTTTTCCATTTAGAAACAATCTTGTCACTTTTTTGTCAATTTTAAGAATGGAATTCAGTTGTTTATGTGTGTGTCCGTATCCTATTTGTGTATAAGCGGATAACAGACAATATAATAATTTTTATGACAGTATCATGGCTTTTTAGATCCAATCCAAAACACTTACTTACATAGTTTGTAAAGGAAATCTGAAAATGTTACCCTCTTACAACAAAAAGCACAATTCCGTTTTTGATCCAACTGTGTTAATATAAATGTTATAGACATTAATAAATGTTACTATCCTATGTAAACCAAATGAATTCAAATGGATTGGATCATCATGTAATTGTACTATTTCATCTAATCAGAAATTTATTTTTAGAAAGTAGGATAAAAGAATAGTTTTAACTATCTTTTGTTGTATTTTCCATAATACAGTGATTTCATGACTTCCAAAGGCACATTAAGGCTATTTTAAAAAAATTGTACATCTGCTTATAGAAAAACAACAACTGAAAGTCATTCTTGAGTGGACTCTGTTAATTGATGTCATTATTCTACCTCAACTAAAGATGCCTAAGGCCTGGTGCAGTAGCTCTCACCTGTAATCCCAGCACTTTAGGAGGCAAAGGTGGGTGGACTGCTTGAGCCCAGGAGTTCAAGACCAGCCTAGGCAACATAGTGAGATCCTGTTTCTACAAAAAAAAAAAATCAGCTGGGCATGGTGGCACATGCCTGTAGTCCCTGTTCCTCAGGAGGCTGAGGTGGGAGGATAACTTGAGCTCAGAAGGTAGAGGCTGTGGTGAGCCAGGACTGCGTCACTGCACTCTAGCCTGGCTGACAGAGTGAGACCCCATCTCAAACTTAAAAAAGCTTAACTATAAAACATGATGAAAATCTAACAGTTCGCAAAAGGTAACAGGATATCTGAATGAAGGCAAAGATTATTCTTGTACAGTCTCACAAAACTTATTTAACATATGATCTCCATTTATTAGCATGAAAAAATGTGAACAATGTGAAGACTATTTTTTTTTAAATTTTCTTCATCAGAGCAGGTTCACAAATCACATACAGTTAATAGCTTCCCCAAATGATGGATTTTATTTTGTACACAGCTGCCTTCTATTCTTAAGTCTTACCTGGAATGGCCAGGTTTCTGAGGGCACTTAGTGCTGCATGCTGTACTGTTACATTTCCATCTTCTACATGTCTGTCCAGTAAATCCATAAGTTTTTCTACAATCCCATTGTCTACCATATGAATACAATTTGCATCTGAAAAAAAAAACACACATCTTTTTCTTCCTCTTTAAAATATCTATAAATACTTTATAATACTGATGTCTGGCTATTATCTACATTAGGGAAAATGGAGCTATACAATAAAATGAATTCCAAATCTTTCTCCCATCAGATTTATAGGTTTTTCTGTTTACTGAGTGAGAAGTGTTAAAAAAAATTCTTAAACTAGATAAAAGTTTTAAAATCAGAAAATTACCAGAAAAATCTTTAGTTTAGAGCCAGATAATATATCAGAAGTAGAAACACATGGTTAGAATGTCCAATATTTTTCATTTATTGTGATGTATGCTTGTGTTCTCCCAATGTTACAGTGATAGTACTCTACCTTTTGCTATCATGGCTGATACCTAAATTATTTTTCAAACACTTACAAAGCGGAGAGAATATTATAATGAACCACTATTTACCCCATATCTAGTTTCAATAATTATCCATATTATGCCACTCTTACCTCCATAATTAGGAAGTCACTCCCAAAAAGAAGGAGTAAAAATGGAGCAAGTAAGCCATTATGATATAATATATACCAACAGTTTGTACTGGAAGATGATTAAACTAAAAAGAAAAATAAACTGTATTTCCTAGACACGGTATATTTCATGAGGAACGTAAGAATGAGTTTCTAGACTGTATTTGAGTTTTTTGGTAGTGCCAGATTTCATAAACATAGAAGTCTGGCGCCCCCTGAAACATTATTAAACTAAATTAAACATTCTACACGATGCCAGGGGATTATTCATACTTAAGTTTTATGGGCATAAAAGTATATAAGTTGAGGCACAATAATCCTAGAATGAATACTCAGATAATTAGATCCAAAATAAAATCACTAGGCAAAAGAAAGCAGATGTATACTAGAATGGGATTCAAACTTACTAAGCTCTGAAGTGCCAAGTATTCAAAAGAAGCACTTCATGATATTTAAACTATTAGAATTTAGTTGAATTGCATAAAATATGTAATTTGTTAGGAATGTCACTAAGTATTTCAGATTTCTGAAAAATTAAGTTAGCAGCATATACACATATTACACAACTTCTAAACTGTTCCAGTTTTAGTATATGTGGTAGCAAAGCAAAAATAAACAAATATAGAGTATTTGACTAACAAAGGAGGAACTAATATGCTTACCATTTCTGGCAAAATTTGCAATTGCCAATGCTCCAGCAAGCTGTAGCTGGTGGTTATTTGATGGGATCCAAGAGAGTACCCTTTGAAATACACTACCTTTTCCTCCTTCAAATAACTTCTGCATGGATTCATCTGGAGGTAAATGAAACGAATAGTTAAGCAAGAGAAAAATAACTAGGAGTAACAAATTCACATTCTTAGGTGAATATCCAACTGGAAACTCACACCTCACAAACTGTTACATTCATAATGGGAAAAGTAATGATTCTTTTTATAATAAACATTTAATAGATACTAGACAATAGAGTCTAGCATTTTTTCTAGTCCAAGTCCCAGGGAGCCATCTAGCTTTTCTTTAGTCCCTTGGTGCCAAAGCTATCTCTTCTATGTGACAGCTCTTCAAATACTGGAAGATAGTGAAGACACTTCTTTTTCAGGTTCATTATGTCTGGTTGTATCAATGGCATGTTTAAGATGTCAAAATCATCACCTCAATAGCAGGTGAGATAGGAATATGAGAAAATGTCTAGGGTAGTATTTACAGAAGAGACAATAAATTTTAAAAACATCTGACAACCACATTCTTTGGCTGGCATAAATTACAACTCACCTCCAAGAAGTAATAAAACCATGAGATCTGAACCAGTTTTGAGCTCAGTAATATCATCTTCTTTGTCACTATCCACTTTTTGCTGAACAATCTCTAGTAGACACTCTACTAGGCCTGCTTCAACCAGCTGTAGTTTAATAGCATCTAAAGAACAACGTGAACAAAATAATCAAACTTTGAGATAAAATAGGAGCTCTGGTATAAGCAGTCCATTATAAAGAATTATAAGAAACTAAGAGGGCCAGGTGCGGTGGCTCACGCCTGTAATCCCAGCACTTTGGGAGGCCGAGATGGGCGGATCACAAGGTCAGGAGATCGAGACCATCCTGGCTAACACCATGAAACCCCGTCTCTACTAAAAAATACAAAAAAAAATTAGCCAGGTGCAGTGGCAGGCGCCTGTAGTCACAGCTACTCAGGAGGCTGAGGCAGGAGAATGGCGTGAACCTGGGAGGCGGAACTTGCAGTGAGCCAAGATTGCAACACTGCACTCCAGCCTGGGCAATAGAGCGAGACTCTGTCTCAAAAAAAAAAAAAAAAAAAAAAAAAAAAAACTAAGAAAATGCATGATTTAGATAATACATTTTTGAAACTCAAATCTTCAAAGTAAACTATCTTGACAGTTCATTTAAATATACAAAAAAGCTTTATTTCATATTTCCATTTGAAATTGCCAAATTTTTCAGGATGTCTTGCAGCATCTAAACAAATTGATACTCAGCTCTGAAAGCAACTAGTATCACTCCACTATTACTCTAGATATCATGCTCATGTTTAAAGGGCAAGCTATAAAATACTATAAAATAGGGCTGGGCATGGTGGCTTACACTTGTAATCCCAGTGCTTTGGGAGGCCAAGGCAGGAAGATTGCTTGAGGCCAGGAGTTCAAGGTTACAGTAAGCTATGACTGTGCCACTGCACTCCAGTCTGGGCAACAGAGTGAGACCCTGTCTATAAAAATTAAATAAATAAATAAATAAAGTCGTGTTTTTAAAAAGGGCTTCAGGTTTTCATTGATTTAAAGCTTTCTTGAGTGATGGGTACATGGTGGTTTACTAAATGCTATTTCTGAATACATTTCAAAATGTTCATAATAAAAGTTAAAAGAAAAAAATAACCTTGAACCTTTCTGATGGCTAAACATAACATAAGGTATTTTAGAGACAGAATTTACATCCCAATTACATTTTTAAAACTGATCTTCATAGGAAACTCCACCCCCACATCAACACTTTTTATTATACTTCTAATATCTTTAAGTATTCTTTCATTATAACACTTATTTCACTGAAGAGCTTATATTTGCCTCCATATCTGTCTCCATCTATCTCCTGAGCAGATATATGTTGTGGGAAGTCAGGGACCCCAAATGGTGGGACTGGCTGGCACCGTGGCAGAAAAACATAAATTGTGAAGATTTCATGGACATTTATCAGTTCCCAAATAATACTCATAATTTCTTATGCCTGTCTTTACTTTAATCTCTTAATCCTGTTATCTTTGTAAGCTGAGAATGTACATCACCTCAGGATCACTATTGTACAAACTGATTGTAGAACATGTGTGCTTGAAAAATATGAAGTCTGATTGTAAAACATGGGTGTTTGAACAATATGAAATCAGTGCACCTTGAAAACAAACAGAATAACAGTGATTTTACAGAACAAGAGAAGACAACCAAAGGTCTGACTGCCTGCAGGGTCAGGCAGAATAGAGCCATATTCTTCTTCTTGCAGAGAGCCTATAAACGGATGTGCAAGTAGGAGAGATATCACTGAATTCTTTTCTCAGCAAGGAATATTAATAATACCCTGGGGAATACAAAATCAATGTACAAAAATCACAAGCATTCTTATACACCAACAACAGACAAACAGAGAGCCAAATCATGAGTGAATTCCTATTCACAATTGCTTCAAAGAGAATAAAATACCTAGGAATCCAACTTACAAGGGATGTGAAGGACCTCTTCAAGGAGAACTACAAACCACTGCTCAAGGAAATAAAAGAGGATACAAACAAATGGAAGAACATTCCATGCTCATGGGTAGGAAGAATCAATATCGTGAAAATGGCCATACTACCCAAGGTAATTTACAGATTCAATGCCATCCCCATAAAGCTACCAATGACTTTCTTCACAGAATTGGAAAAAACTACTTTAAAGTTCATATGGAACCAAGAAAGAGCCCGCATCGCCAAGTCAATCCTAAGCCAAAAGAACAAAGCTGGAGGCATCACACTACCTGACTTCAAACTATACTACAAGGCTACAGTAACCAAAACAGCATGGTACTGGTACCAAAACAGAGATATAGATCATTGGAACAGAACAGAGCCCTCAGAAATAATGCCGCATATCTACAACTATCTGATCTTTGACAAACCTGAGAAAAACAAGCAATGGGGAAAGGATTCCCTACTTAATAAATGGTGCTGGGAAAACTGGCTAGCCATATGTAGAAAGCTGAAACTGGATCCCTTCCTTACACCTTAGACAAAAATCAATTCAAGATGGATTAAAGATTTAAATGTTAGACCTAAAACCATAAAAACCCTAGAAGAAAACCTAGGCATTACCATTCAGGACATAGGCATGGGCAAGGACTTCATGTCCAAAACACCAAAAGCAATGGCAACAAAAGACAAAATTGACAAATGGGATCTAATTAAACTAAAGAGCTTCTGCACAGCAAAAGAAACTACCATCAGAGTGAACAGGCAACCTACAAAATGGGAGAAAATTTTCGCAACCTACTCATCTGACAAAGGGCTAATATCCAGAATCTACAATGAACTCAAACAAATTTACAAGAAAAAAACAACCCCATCAAAAAGTGGGCGAAGGACATGAACACACACTTCTCAAAAGAAGACATTTATGCAGCCAAAAAACACATGAAAAAATGCTCATCATCACTGGCCATCAGAGAAATGCAAATCAAAACCACATGAGATACCATCTCACACCAGTTAGAATGGCAATCATTAAAAAGTCAGGAAACAACAGGTGCTGGAGAGGATGTGGAGAAATAGGAACACTTTTACACTGTTGGTGGGACTGTAAACTAGTTCCACCATTGTGGAAGTCAGTGTGGCGATTCCTCAGGGATCTAGAACTAGAAATTCCATTTGACCCAGCCATCCCATTACTGGGTATATACCCAAATGACTATAAATCATGCTGCTATAAAGACACATGCACATGTATGTTTATTGCGGCATTATTCACAATAGCAAAGACTTGGAACCAACCCAAATGTCCAACAATGATAGACTGGATTAAGAAAATGTGGCACATATACACCATGGAATACTATGCAGCCATAAAAAATGATGAGTTCATGTCCTTTGTAGTGACATGGATGAAATTGGAAATCATCATTCTCAGTAAACTATCGCAAGAACAAAAACCAAACACTGCATATTCTCACTCATAGGTGGGAATTGAACGATGAGATCACATGGACACTGGAAGGGGAATATCACACTCTGGGGACTGTGGTGGGGTGGGGGGAGCGGGGAGGGATAGCATTGGGAGATATACCTAATGCTAGATGACGAGTTAGTGGGTGCAGCGCACCAGCATGGCACATGTATACATATGTAACTAACCTGCACAATGTGTACATGTACCCTAAAACTTAAAGTATAATAAAAAAAAAAATAGTAATACCCTGGGGAAGGAATTGCATTCCTGGGGGGAGGTCTATAAATGGCCGCTCTGGGAGTATCTGTCTTATGCGGTTGAGATAAGGACTGAAATACGCCCTGGTCTCCTGCAGTACCCTCAGGCTTATTAGGGTGCGGAAAAGATCCCGCCCTGGTAAGTTTGAGGTCAGACCGGTTCTCTGCTCTCGAACGCTGTTTTCTGTTGTTTAAGGTGTTTATCAAGATAATACGTGCACAGCCAAACATAGACCCTCATCAGTAATTCTAATTTTGCCCTTTGCCTTGTGATCTTTGCTTTGCCCTTGCCTTGTGATCTTTATTGCCCTGTAAAGCACGTGATCTTTGTGACCTACTCCCTGTACACTCCCTCCCCTTTTGAAATCCCTAATAAAAACTTCCTGGTTTTGTGGCTCAGGGGACATCACGGACCTACCGATATGTGATGTCACCCCTGGAGGCCCAGCTGTAGAATTCCTCTTTTTGTACTCTTTCTCTATTTCTCAGATGGGCCGACATTTAGGGAAAATAGAACATACATTGAAATATTGGGGGCTGGTTCCCCCAATAGATACACCTTACTCATCTTTGTATCTTAACCTAAACTGGCCTATCTAAATGCTTTGAGTGTAGTTGATACTCCTTAAGATAAATGCTAGTCAACTCACCTGAAAAATACATTTGCAACACAGATTTTTTGTTTAAGAGACAGTGTCTCGCTCCGTTGCCCAGGCTGGAGCGCAGTGGTATGATCATAGCTCACTGCATCCTTGAACTCCTGGGCTCAAGCAATCCTCCTATCTCAGCCTCCTGAGTAGCTGGGACTAAAAGTGCATGCCACCATGCCTGGCTAATTTTTAAACTTTTTTTGTAGAGACAGGGTCTCACTATGTTGCCTAGGCTGGTCTTGAACTCATGGCCTCAAGCAATCTTCCTGCCTTGGCCTCCCAAAGTGCTAGGATTACAGGCATGAGCCACTGTACCTGGCCAGAAATTTTTAAATTTAAACTTTATTTTTTCAGTTGGATTTTATTTTAGTCATTGGTTTCCCTAAGCTGTATATGCATCCATATATGGCAATGGCAGCTTCAGCTTATCATTTAGGAAAAATAAAGACTTTTAAAAATAAATACTTAAGACTTTCAGGCAATTTTAATGTGTTAAAATTTGGCTTTTTTGAATCACTAGGATCACTGATCTTCTTTTGAATATTATCTCAGAATACACAGAGTATTCAACCTGGAATATTTCTTTAAAAGGTACACTTGTACTGTGCCATGCTAAAAGTAGGGCGTTTCCTTGGTTACAGAATGCTAGGGCTAGAGATGTGTGGTGACTAGAATTAAAAACTATGATGAAAAAGCCTTAAAAATACTAAAATCCTTGAACTATACAAATCCCAACTTCTAATGCTGAAATCACTCTCCTTCGTGTACTGGGAAAATGAAGGATGATACATGCAAAGAATTAGTCCAAAAACAAGCCTTCAATGGTATCATCCTATCCATTGTGCAATTATAAAACAGATGTGAAGGCAGAGGGGAAAACAGTAATAAATATCAACACATTGTTATTTTGAAATACTGCAAGGAAAGTTATAGGTTATTTTATGGCCTAAAATTGACTGAAGGTCACAGTAAAATTTTTACTTTGCCAAAACACCAATGAGATAAAAAACAAATTTCTCCCTAAGAAATAGGACCTAAGACATTTAAGAAATTTTAAATGTGTCAATATTGTAGTTTTAAAATTTTAATTAATTTTTTTTTTTGAGACAGGGTCTTGCTGTGTTGCCCAGGTTGGTCTTGAACTCCTGGCTCAAGCAATCCTTCTGCCTTGGCCTCTGAAAGTGCTGGAATTACAGGCGTAAGCCATCACTCCCAGCCTAAATGTCTCAATGTTAAAGTTTACAGATAATCTCTTCTCACAATTTGACTGAAATCAAATACCTGAAAACAAATATATAGGAGGCTTAAACTACCTTAATTAGGATTAGCAAGACATTCTGCCAAAGCAGACAGCCCAGCACATTTACCAAAACCATTCTGTCCAAGGACAAGTATCTTTATCACCACTGTTTACACACATATGTATGAATGTACACTTGTATGTATCATGTATGCATCATATATAGGTATTTTAAAACTTTTTTTAAAGAGTGAAAGAAAACCACAAATGCAGAGAAGTGCATAAAATATCCAAGTTAAGTTTAATATATTATTAGAAAGCAAATAACCATGTATCTATCACCTAGATCAAGAAATTCATTGCCAACAACTCAGGAAGCCTATCTCTGCATTTCTGTTTCTGATAACAAACCCCTTCCTTCATTTGTCTCAAATCATCCTGGTTATTATGGTAATCACTTCTATACTTTCATCATTTTACCAAGTAAATAATCATTCCTAAAAACTACAGTTTAGTTTTACTTTTTGTTTTTAACTTTATATAAATTGAATCATACAATATGTATTTTTCAGTGTTGGCTTTTTCCTTTCAACATTATGAGATTCATCCACAGTAATGGTTACAGCTGTCTTCATTCCTTTTCATAACTCTATATTTTTCCATTATATTAATATCCTATGATTTATTCATTCTACTGTTAATGGATTTTGGTTGTTTCCAATTTTTCATTATAAATAATGCTGCTTTGAACATTCCTGTAACAGTTCCTGGTATACATGTGCACAAGCTTCTGGGTATATTTCTAAGAGCAGAATTGTTGGATCTATTGCTTCAACTTCAATAGATACTACTTCCCAATTGTACCAATTTACACTCCCACTGTTCCACACCCTCATCAACAGTTGGTTTATGAGACTTTCCAGTGGGTGTATAGTGGTATTTTATTGTGGTTTTATTTTGTGTTACCTAAGAGTGAACATTTTCATATCTATATTAAGTCTGTTGGACTTAATATAAATCTTTTGTCAAGTGCTTATTAAAATGTTTTTCACATTTTTCTTAATGATTTTTAAGAGTTTTTATACACTGTATACACAAGCCCTCTGTCAGTTATATGTTATAATTATATTCTCTCATCCAGTCTTGCTTTTCACTCTTAACGGTGTCTTTAAAAAAAGAGTTTTAACTTTTATTTATTTGTTTTTGGTAGAGATGAGGCCTCACTATGTTGCTCAGGCTGGTCTCGAACTCCTGGTCTCAAGTGATCCTCGTCTTGCCCTCCCAAAGCCATTAGGATTGCAGTCATGAGCCACCAGGCTAGCCAGAAGTTTTACTTTTAAAGTAACCAATGTCTCAATTTTTTCCTTTATGATTAGAGCTTTTTGTGATCTAAGAAAAGTATTTCAAGGCCATGATGATATTCTCCTAGCTTACATTTTAAGATAAACCCTCTGAAGTTTTAACTTTCACATTTAGGTCAATCTATCTGGAATTAATTTTTTATATACTTTTTAATAGTCTAGAAGCCTTTTATCTTGAAAACACCTATTATGCCATGAATTCATAGGGAAGAGGTTCCAGCAGCTCAGGCCCCTTCCGTTTGTTCTCACAAAGTGCGCTTCTCTAGGTGGAACAGACTGTTGCTTCAGTTGAACTCAGGTACATTTCTCTTTGGCTCCCTTCTTTTTCTTTTCCTATCTTTCCTTCATGTGTTTCGGGGAGGTATCTTGGCTCTTGAGTGCTTAATATGCTCATTATACACATTAATTATTTTGGCAACAATCTTGCCCTTGTTTGTTTACAACAACACTAGTACCATGCCGGGTAACACCATAGACTCTTGGTTTTCCATGGTAAAATTTGTGGGGCATTCCCTTTTTGAACAGGATGCATTCCTCTGATGTCTACAATATCACCTTTCCTGTAGATTTGAATGTATGTGGCTAAAGGAACAACTCCGTATTTTCTAAAAGGCCTACAGAATACATATCAGATGCTTCTCTTTCCCTTTGTGTTCATTATTTTGTTAAATTACTGGAAGGTGGCAGTTCCAGCTAAAAGGGCTATCCAACGTATTTTTCACATTTTATTTTCTGTTTTTTCTTTTTTGGTATATAGAAATTCTTGTTTGTTTTTTGGCAGTAACCTAACAAAATTCTGATTTAAAAAAAGATCTATAAAACTGATCTATAGATTCTTTTGAATTAAATATGCATAATCACATCATAAATGAATGAGAGTTTTATTGCTTTATCTTAATTTTTTTTCTTTTATTCTCTTTAATGCACTGGATACTTCTTACAATACAATGTTAAATGGAAGCGGGGATGATCCTTCTTGTCCCAATCTCAAAGCAAATGCTTTTTTATTTCACCATTGATTGTGATGTTTTCTTCAGCCTTCTCATAGATATCTTTTTCAGATTGAAGACCTTCCTAGTCCTGTTTTCCTAAGTTTTTAAAAATAATGAATGAACACTTAATTTTATGAAAAGCTTTTTTTAAAATCTGAGAAGATCATGGTTTCTCCCCTTAAATATTTTAAGGTGATGAATTATACTAGTTGCATTTCAAATATTAAATTGTGTTACACTTTCAGAATAAATGCAATTTGGTGTGATTAATTTTTTTAATATATTACTAGAGTAAATTTGCTAAAATTTTAGGAGGAATTTTGGATCTATGTTCATGGTGAGACTAGCCTTTAATTTTCATTCATGTATTGTCTTTGTTGGGATTTGGTATAAAGGTTTCATTAGCCTCATTAAAATAAATTGGTAAGTATATTTCCTTTTCCTATTCTCTGGAAGAATTCTTAAGGTAAGATTACTCAGCTTTTCTATTCTTGTATCAGTCATACTTTAAAATATATTGGCATCAGGCCAGGCACGGTGGCTCATGCCTGTAATCCCAGTATTTTGGGAGGCCAAGGCAGGTGGATCACCTGAGGTCAGGAGTTTGAGATCAGCCTGGGCAACATGGTGAAACCCCGTGTCTACTAAAAATAAAAATAAAAAAATTAGCCAGGCGTGGTAGGAGGCGCCTGTAATCCCACCTACTTGAGAAGCCGAGGCAGGAGAATTGCTTGAACCTCGGAGATGGAGGCTGCATCCCAGGTGGAGGCTGCAGTGAGCCGAGATGGTGCCACTGCACTCCAGCCTGGGTGACAGAGTGAGACTCCATCTTGCGGGGGAGGGAAAAAAAAAAATATATATATATATAAAATATATGGGCATCAAATTGTTCATAATATCCTCTTAATAGCTGTAAGACCTGCGGTAAGGTCTCCTCCTCTTGCATTCTTAATTTTGGTTAATTATGCTTTCTCTCTCTTTTCATCATTAATCTCACTACGGGTTTACCAATTCCACTGTCTTTTCAGACTCAACTGTAGTAATTATATGTTTGTGTTGCACTGTATGTTTTCCATTTTATTTCAGCTCTTTACATTTCCTTCCTTCTGCTTATTATTATTTTTTTTAAAATTTCAATAGCTTTAGTGGTACAAGTGGTTTTTGGTTACATGGATGAATTGTATAGTGGCAAAGTCTAGGATTTTAGGTCATCTGTCATCTGAATAGTGTACACTGTACCTAATAAGTAGTTTTTTACCCCTCACCCCCTCATCTCACTACCTCCCTCTGTCTCCAAAGTCCATTCTATCCACTCTCTATGCCTTTGTGTACACATAGCGTAGCTGCCACTTGTGAGAATAGGTGGCATTTGGTTACTTCACTTAGAATTAATGCCCTCTAGTTCCATTTAAGTTGCTGCAAAAGACATTATTTCATTCTTTTTTATAGCTGAGTAGTATTCCATGTTGTGTGTGTGTGTGTGTGTGTGTATACACACCCCATTTTCTTTATCCACTCATCCACTGATGGACACTTAGGTTGATACCCTATCTTTTCTTCTGCTTTTTAAAAGAATATATATTACTCTTGGATTTTGTTAACATTGTTGTATTTTATTCCAGTTAACTACTTAAAAAATTTTTTTTTGTAGATTTAGGGAGTACAAGTGCAGATTAACAAAATTAATAGACCACTAGCTAGATTAACAAAAAAAAAGAGAGAAGATTCAAATAAGTACAATCAGAAACAATAAAGGTGACATTATAGCTGCTACCACAGAAATACAAAAGATTATCAGAGACTACTATGAGCATATTCACACAAATTGGAAGGTGAGGGTTGAAAAATTACCTTGTGGTTTTTTGGGTTTATATTTTCTTTCCCCTAAATTCCTGAGATGAATACTGGGCTCATTGATTTTAGTTCTTTTCCTTTTCTAATATAAGCATTTAGAGCAAAAAATTTCCCTCTGAATAGGTCTTTACTTGTAACACGTAAGATCTGAGATATAGCATTTTCATTTTCACTACTAGAAAAATTTCTAATTTCCATTACAATTCTTTTTTGACCTCTGAGGTACTGGAAGTATATTTCTTACCATGTAAACATACAGCGATTTCCTGGTTTTCTTTTTATAATTGGTTACTAGACAACTCACTTAGGTCAAAGAAATACTTTGTATGATAGCAATCTTTTGAAATTTCTTTCTTTCATGACAAGTATACATGTTCTTAAATGTTTCATATGTACTTGAAAGAGCTCTGTAGTTGAAGTGTTCTAAAATAGGTCCATTAAATCAATTGTCTTAATCATTTTCAAATTTTCTATAACCTTATTCTTCTATCTTATTCTATAAATTATTGAAAGAGGTATTAAAATTTCTCACAATATTTGTGGATTTGTCTGTTTCTCTTCATAGTTCTGAATGTTTTTGCTCCGTATGTTTTGGGATAATGTATAACGGTTATTTTTTTTCTAGGTAAATTGGACCTTTTATTACTAAAGTCACCCTCTTTATCTCTAGCAAGTCTTTTCATCTTAAAATCTATTTTACTTGATATTAATATAACTACCCCAGCCTTCCTTAGGTTTCACTGGTATATTTTTTCTACCCTATTATTCTCAATCTTTTAAATCTCATATTTAATAAGTATTGCTTAAGTAGTATAGTTATTTATTTTAAAACACAAGTGACAAATGGTCTTTTAATTAGAGCATTTAGGCCACATTTAACGTAATTACTGAAATACTGTGTCTTAAAACTGTATTTTTATGCTTCATTTGTCCTCTATGATTCGTGTTCCTTTTTCTTTCCTCTTTTTTCTTGTTTTGCATTACTAGGGTATTAAAAAACCTTTCCATAAGTCGCTTCCATTTGTTCTGCAGCTATATATCATTTTAAAAAATTACTTTAGTAGTCACCTTAAAAGTTAAAAGTGACTAAATAACCAGAGTCTTCCAGATAACACAAGTGTCTTAGGACTCTAACTCCTTTTACCTTTCTTCTTATTTATAAGCTCAGTTTGTGGTATATTTTAAATCACATAAATGTACATTGTAAACTTCACAATAAGTTATTTTTTTGATATATTCAATGTTTATAAGATTTACCTATATATCTACCGTTTTTTTTGGTCTTTATTCTCCCCTGCATCTATATCATTTTCCTTCTGACAAACCACATTTATAACATCTGGCTTTCATTGTTGCTGTTGAGAAGGTAGCTGTCAGCCAAACTGTTGTTACTTTGAAGATAATAATTTTGGTCATTGGTTTTCTACATTTTCAGTATGAGGCATCTAGATGTGGATTTTTGTTTATCATATTTTGGGTTCAAAGGGCTTCTTGGATCTTTGCATTTTTCATAATTTCTGATAAATTCTCTGCCAAAATTTCTTCAAATATTGCCTCTGCACACTCCCCTCCCCACCTTCTCTACTCTCCTTTTGGGACTCCAAAAAATGCATATGAGAATGTCTCATTTTTTCCTCTGACCTCTTATTCTCTTTTATGTAAATGTGTTCTTCTTTCCTTTTAGTTCATATTGGATTTCTTTCCAACCCGTTTTCCAGTTCACTGGTTCTTTAATTCAACAGTATCTATTAAATCTGCTATTAAACCACCCACTGAATTCTTAATTTTGGTTGTATTTTTCAATTCAGAAATTTCCATTTATTTCATTCTTAAATCTGCTATGCCACTTTTTAAAAATAGTTTTTAGTTTCCTTCTAAATTATTTAAGCTAGCTTTTACCTCTTTGAACACAATAAGCACACCTGTTTTGAATCAGTGTCTAATAATTCCAGTATCTGAAGATTTGCTGCCTACTCTTGCTTACAGTGTGTTTTGTCTTATGTATTAATATCTGATCCTCTTTGAGTACGTGTTAGACATTATATTTGAAAAATTACTAATATGGAATAGTTTGTTTCTTCTGATTCATTCTTATTTCTACGATGCATCTCTTAAGATTTTTCTGCCCAAAGAAGGGAGTGATTAACCAGTATCTTCACTGTTGGCAGGCCTGAGACTCCAACTTTTATCCCCTTTGCCTTACAAGTGTGTAGAAGTAGAGCTCAGCCTCTCAGCTGCCTTTTCCAGAATGGCACAAGAATGTGTTAGCTACAGAAGTATCTTTTCTAAGATTTTAAAATCAAAGGAACCTGGAAAGTTGCTTTGGCCAATGTAGATATAGCTATGGAGTAGATAACATAGCTAAAGTTAGAGATATGCAAAATAAAACATATCACTAATAAAGAATGGTTTTGAGTCAAATGGCTGGCAATTAAATAATATTAGGAAAAAAGTTTAAAGCATACATGATCAAAAATCCAAAGGTGCATTTAAGTTTCTCACCATTTTCTGCCAATGGAGCAAGAACTTCAAAAATCATTTCTCTCTTATCATGTTCTATTTGTTTCTTGAAGAGTTTTACTAGCTCTTCAGCAATGTTTGTACTGGCAAACTGTTCTTTACTTGACTCTGTAAAATAAAAAAGAAAAACTTAAACCAAATAAAGTCCAGAAACTGTTTTCTAATACTTTCAATACTTAGTTATTTTGTACCATTACTGATAAATACAAATACTCTTCAAATATGGGAACAATCAAATCCATTTTTAATGTCCCTGAAAAGGAAAAATATCTAAGGCTTTAGAGAAAATGTTCTGACCCAATTATATTTGAGCTATAAAAAAAGGTTCTCTAGTAACCACAGCAACAACAAAATTACTAAGTCATAAATTCATAGTTTTAAGGATTTTAGTCAAAGAAAAATTTCTCATAACATATTTTATATGGATGAATTAAAGGTGACTTATCTTTAGTATCATTAAAGTGGAATGTTTTCTACACTGGTCCTGACATATCTACTATTGAAGACTAATTCTGCATGAGTAATTGGGGTTTCATTCATTCCTGCCTCTCAGCATCTCCAACCTCTCCTAGAGCCTCACCATTGATCAGCATTTATATATACTTTGGTATTTCTCACATAAAACAATATTAAAAACAAACATCCTCCCCCTAGTCCACCTCTATCAACTACCATTCAAGCTCATTTTTGCTTTTACAAATAAGTTTCTGATAACATTGCTTACATACACTGCCTCTACTCTCTCAACTCACATGCATTACTAAATCTACTAGTTTTGGCCTACCTGCCTCTACACTTAGCAATCTCCTATAATTGTTCCTCCTTTTCCACAAGACCTGTATAAATTCTAGTTCCTTAGGATTCATCCTTTGCTTTACCTTCTCAGTCCTTATTCTCACCTGAGGCTATCCAATGCTCTTCCATAGCACCAAACAGCATCTCTGTGTTGATATTTATACAACATAAATATTCATAACCCTCTTCTGGACATCAGGCTATTTAACTGCCCATTTGACACCTCTACTTGAGTATCTCTCTAGCATTCTAAACTCAATACCAAAAAGGGGCTTTTGACATACTGTGAAATCTTCCTCCTCCAGGGTTCCTCAACTCAGTATATGAACACTCTGTCTATCTGCACAGGCAGAAATCTAGGAGTCACTGCTCATTTATTATCACTCAACTTCCACATCTAATAAATCACCAAGGTCTGTCAATCTACCTCCAAAATCCAACCCAAATCCATTCCATTTCTCTCCAATTCTCCTCTCAATGTCTTTGGTTGCATTAAGTATCCTATTAATTTTTCTACAAGTTTCTTTCAGTGAATTCTGACCTAATCTAATATATACTGGTCTCTCTGGTAGCACAGCTGGCCTCCTGGGTTATCTTTATCATTATCTCTCCTTCCTGTACTAGATACCCTGTTATCTATGCCTTTTCTCTTTCATTTGTTTTGTTTTGATGGCAGCATCCTCCAGCAGTGTCGTGAGAAAGCTACTGTATAATGTGTATGTAGGAGGTAGACATTTTGAAAATACTGATTGTCTGAAAATGCTCTTTCCCACCTAGAGTTGATGCTTCTAATTTAAATTAATCCCTTACCTTACTCTATTACTTTCTCATACTAGCAATTATAATAACTTGTAATTATATGTTAGTTTATTTGCAAACTATTTTAAAATAAATGTCCATCTTACACACTAAACTATAAGCTCCTTGAGGGCAGGGGCAGTACATACTGCTTCAACCACCAGAAACATAGTGCACAGAATAGTCCCTGGTATAAAGCAGGTGTCCAAAATGAAGTTATTTATGAGTAAATGAACATGTAAATGAATTATCAGGGTTACATTCTGCTCGCTAGTCTCTGGTAAATCTCTTGTGTTACTATCAAGTAAGAAATTTGCAAATTTAACAGGAGAGACACACATTAATATGGTTAAATACAGTTTTGATCAACATTTTATTACACTGCTTTGGTGCACATTGTCAACGGATCTATTCCAAAATGACAAAAATCCACTCCAAGACTTTAAGTATGATTCTTTAATGTCACAAAAAACTACGGCTTTAGCTCTTACTTCACATGCCAAGGGGGAAAAAAAGTAAGGGTAGGGTGTCTTTTCCAATAAGATACTGAAACCCTCAGAGACCACATTCAGCAAATGTCAGCACACTCCACCCAAAAAGGAGGTTTCATTTAGAGATGAGGCCGGGCATGGTGGCTCATCCCTGCAATCCCAACACTTCCGGAGTCTGGGGTGGGCAGATCCCTTGAGCCCAGGAGTTTGAGACCAGCCTGGCCAACATGGCAAAACTCTGTCTCTACTAAAAATACAAAAATTAGCTGGGCGTGATGGCATACACCTATAGTCCCAGCTACTCAGGAGGCTGAGGCACAACAATCACTTAAACCTGAGAGGCAGAGGTGCAGTGAGCAGAGATCATGCCACTGCACTCCAGTCTGGGTGACACAGTGAGACTCTGTCCCAAAAAGAAAAAAAATAAATAAAAAGTAAGTAGAGATGATTTATCCCTGGAACTTTGTTGGTTATCCCTCTGCTTCAGAGAATTGTCCAAGTGAGATGGATTTCAAAAACATAAAATCATAGGTAAAGTATATAGACATCATCATTCATCTAGTTACATGTTCTTACTCTTCTTTAAAATAATAGTATTGGTACTCTATTCCTTCCAATCCACATTCTTTTCCTCCAAACACTTAATAAAAGGAAACCAAATCACTGTTGCTATGTAACTCAGGCTCTGTTTGCCAGTATAAGGAAATTATGCACCATTATTAATATAGGAATTATAGAACAAAATCTGTACTTAACCTGCAGGTGAACAGAGTGAAAAGACAGCATGAAGTATAATTTGGACATTATATCTATCAATTAAGTGCCATGGATCCTCAACAGGCCTTTGGCAAGAAGCCTCATTTACTAAGGTTTTATTTTTATTACAACTCTATGAATTTAAAGAGTTAGCCTAATATTATCAGCAGACTCCAGTTTCCTCTCCTCCATTTCTTCTTCCTCACAAATACATGAAGCTCTTTTAGCTAATTCATACTGTTTACTTACGTATTATCTAAACTACATATTTGTACTGCTAGTTTATTTGGCATTTCTGATCAAATTTCTACTATGAAAGATGAAACACTAGTTTTCTTTCTTTCCTGTGTTCACCATACTCTCCATCATCTTTCTAATTATATGTAATTTTGTTTATATCACTAGTTGTGTTTCAGTAATACACTAATTCATTTTTCCTGGAATAATGTTTTCCTCATTTGCTTAGCTATGTGCTTGTTATTAATGCAACTCCAAACACTCCAGCAGTTTTCTAATCTTAATGCATTCACTTTAGATATTAATCAATTTCATTTCCTGTAAGAACTCTCCTAAGCACCATCCCACCAGTTTTTTGACCTAACCCAACCTGGATTGGTTGCTTCTTGAAAGCATGCCACATGGGACGATAACATCACTGTAATACTTGGGATTCTTGTTGGATTTCGTTTTCAGCTCCTATGTAGTTTTTCTTCATTTAAATCCCTTGTTTTGGTGGAACCCAACTTCCAGTGGCTTCCAGAGATAAAGTATTTAAGAAATTTTCTGAGATGTTCATGTGTGACAATATCCTTATTATAATCTCACACTTAACTGATAGTATGACAGAGTATAGGATTCTATGTTGGAAGTCATTTTCCCTCAAAAAATAAAAAAGTGTAATTATTTGACAAATAATAATTGTATATGGGGTACACTGTGGTGTTACATATAATGAATAGTAAGCAGATCAGGGTAATTAGCTTATTCATCATCTCAAGTACTTTGTGTTGGAAACATTCAATATCCTCCCCCTAGCTATCTGAAACTATGTAATAATTATTGTCAACGATAGTTATCCTACAATGGTACAGAACACTAAAGCTTACTCCTCCTATCTAGCTGTAATTTTGTATCTTCTGTATCTAATCTTTCCCTATTATCCCTCTTCCTGCTACCTTTCCCAACCTCTAGTATCCGTTTTTTTTTTTTTTTTTTTACTTCTATAAAATCAACTTTAAGCTTCCACATGTGTGAGAACATACAGTGTTTAACTTTCTATTCCTGGTTTATTTCACTTAACATAATGTCTTCCAGTTCCATCCATGTTGTTGCAAGAAAACAGGATTTCATTCTTTTCGGTGGCTGAATAGTATTCCATTGTGTGTGTGTGTGTATATACATATACATCACATTTTACCTCTTCATGTATTTAGGCATCTAGGTTGATCCCATATCTATTGTGAACAGTGCTGCAGTAAACATGGGTGTGTAATGTTTCTTCAATACTGACTTCCTTTCCTTTTGATAAATACCCAGTAAGGAGACAGCTGGCTCATACAGTAGTTCTATTTGTGTTTTTTTTTAAACTGAGATGGAGTCTTGCTCTGTCACCCAAGCTGGAGTGCAGTGGTGTGATCATGGCTCACTGCAACCTGACTCAACATCCTGTGCTGAAGCGATCCTCCCACCCCAGCTTCCCAGGTAGCTGGGACTATACACCTGTGCCACCATGCCAGGCTAATTTTTAAATTTTTTGCAGAGATGGTTTCCCTATGTCACCCAGGCTGGTCTCAAACTCCTGGCATCAAGTGATCCTCCTGCTTCAGCCTCCCAAAGTGTTGGGATTACAGGTGTGAGCCACCACATCTGGCCTATTTATGGTTTTTGAGGAACCTCCCTAGTGGCTGTGCTAGTTGACACTCCCAGTGTGAGTTCTTTTTTCTCCACATCCTCACCAGGATTTGTTAACTTTTGTCTTTTTAATAATAGCCATCCTAACTGGGGTGAGATAATATGTCATTGTGGTTTCGATTTGCATTTCCCTGAAGATTAGTGATACTGAACATTTTATCATACATTGGTTAGCCATTTTTGTATCTTCTTTTGAGATGTATCTGTTTAGATAATTTGCCCATTTTAAAAATGGGACTGGGGCAGACACAGTGGTTCACGCCTATAGTCCCAGCATTTTGGGAAGCTAAGGCAGGTGGACTGCTTGAGCCCAGGAGTTCAAGACCAGCCTGGGAAGCATGGTAAAACCCTGTCTCTACAAAAAATACAAAAACAAATGGGGCATGATGGTGCACGCCTGTAGTCCCAGCTACTTGGGAGGCTAAGGTGGCCACTGCACTCTAGCCTGTGTGACAGAGTGAGACCCTGCTGTTGAGATGTTTGAGTTCCTTGGATATTCTGGAATAAATCCCCAGTTGGATGAATAATTTGCAAATATTTTCTCCCATTCTGTAGCCTCTCTTTTCACTCTGTTGTTTTCTGTGCTTTGCAAAAGCTTTTTCATTTGATATGATCCTATTTATTTTTGCTTTCGTTGCCTGTGTTCTGACGTCTTATACATAAACATTTCTTAGACCAATGTCCTGAAGCATTTCTCTTTTGTTTTTGCCTACTAGTTTTATAGTTTGGGTTTTACATGTGGTTCCATGAAAACTTTAAGCTACTTTTTTCTATCTCCACAAAAAAAAAGTCATTGGTATTTTGACAGGGATTGCATTGAATCTGCAGATTGCTTTGAATAGTATGACCGTTTTAACAATATTAACTCTTCCAATCCATAAGCATGGGATGTCCTTCTAGTTGCTGGTATTCTCTTCAGTTTCCCTCATCAGTGTTTTGTAGTTTTCCTTGTAGGTCTTTCACCTCCTTGGTTAAGTTTATTCCTATATGTTTTATAGCTATTGTAAATAGGATTGCCTTCTTGATCTCCTTTTCAGCTAGTTTACTGTTAGTGTGTAGAAATGCTACTGATTTTTGCATGTTGATTTTGTATCCTGCAACATTACTGAATTCATTTTTTGGTTCTAAGAGGTTTTTGGTGGAGTCTGTAGGTTTTTCTTGATATAAGATCATGTTTGCAGGCACAATTTGACTTTTTCCTTTCCAACTTTGACACCCTTTATTTCTTCCTTGCCTAATTGATCTGGCTTCCCTAAAAATTTTGAAGGCAACATTGCATTTTCTTCTGGCTGCCAATGTTGTTTTGAGACATATGTCCACGGACTCATGATCTTTTGTATTCAACTTTACTTCCCCCATCCTCTCTAGAAGCTTGTAAGATGTTCTTTGTCCTCAGCATTGTAAAATTTCACATTGATGCGCTATGGTCTGGGTGTATTTTCATTCCTTAGGACATTTATTTGACAGATATTTGCAATGTAGGAAATTTTGTATTTCAGTTCTGTGATACTTATTTGGCAATTTCCTCCTCTCTGTTAACTTTTCTAATACTCTTGGTCTGATCTTCTTATATTTTCTCTTTTATTTTCTATCTCCTTTTTTTTTTCCTTTACTCGTACAACTATTTCTCCAATTTTTGTCTTTCATCTTAGCAATTATTCTTAATGCTCAAGCTCTTTTCTGTTCTCCTTAAGAAAAGTGTACTGTTGCTTTTCTCTATTTATCTTCCATGTTAGAGATTGCCCTCACCTCTTGAGCTGTCTGCCATTGATGAAGTTAGGAACTAAAAATAATAATAATAATAAACTGATTAGGAGCTATGAGTACGAGTAGTCTTGTTGACTGCAAGATTCCCTATAGGGTCATCTGCTGGCCTTTTGTAGAGAACCCTCAATATAAATAACTTTAAGTCTACGTTCTGGGAGACAAATGGGGCAATAAAACTGTGGTTCTCGGCATTCAGATTTCACTTAATCTGTTTATGGATTGGTACTGTGGTACCTTTTACTTCAATTTAGTGTCATATCCTCCATCAAGAAACCCTCTTTTTCGTCCATCCTGACAAGAAGCATAGCATTCTCCTTGGATAGGCAAGGGGTAGTCATCACAAGGTGTGAAAGGGGAAAGAGGGTCTAGAAATCTTGATGCCATCAAATCCCAAGCCTTTTGAAGACTGTGAAATGCAAACTGGTTAGTTCTTGGTTTCTTATCCAGGATTCAGATGTCAAAGGTTTGCTATGTAAGTTATTGCCTTTCTTCCCAGGTCCCAAAATATTCTCGTACAATCCTCTCTCCTGCTTTTCTTTTTTATTCCCTTCCCTTGAGGTTGTTCTTATTTGTTTGCTTTTTGTTTTTAGAGAGTGGGTCGGGGGGAGGTCTCACTATGTTACGCAGGCTGGTCTTGAAATTCCTGCTGCAATCAATCTTCCTGCCTTGGGCTCCCAATCCTTGAGGTCTTAAGCCTTTAAGAAGAAATCTCTTTACTGAAGGGTTTTAGTTAGTTTCCAACTAAAATTTTAAAAGAGGCAAAGTCTCATTCTGTTTATTCCATGTTAAATAAGAATGCATACTTTAAAACCATATTCATGCTATGATTTTAAGTATGAAAAATTATGTAAACACATTCATTGGGACTCGAAGGGAACAAAAAAAAATTCCATGGTTATATTAAAGAGTGTTGGGTTAAAGGCCAATTTCTCTTTAATATTATTGTGCATAAATAACAATCAGGAGGAAAACAATCTTTTTTTCATTATTGGGAAAAAATGAAAACATCTTTAATCCTGTAAAATTTATGAAACTTAATAAAGCAGAGCTGTATTTTCCTTTCTGTCCCAATTCTGAAATAGATTGCACTTGTTAAATTATTTCCATTTCATCTTTAAGCTATTACATCTCATCACTAGTCAGCAAAAATACACAAATTTGTTATTTAACACTTTTATTAAAAACATTTTGACAAAAAGTAACTGTAGCATTTAGTAATATGTCATATTCAGAAGTATGTGACATGAATTTTAAACACTTGATATTTACACGAATCAATAAAAATACATTACTTGTTAACAGGCAAGAAAGCTCACTCTGAAAGGAGAAACATTATTCTGGTGCATACATGTTCCACTCCCGTGTTGATGTATACAACCTAGCTATTACATGGGCATAACTGACTCATTATATAAACTCGAGAAGTCTTAGATACACATATTTTTCTCTTATCCTTTCTTCCTCCAAATGGGGTAGGGCAGTAACCACTGAAATTATAGTATGAACCTGGGCTGAACTAAATTAGCTGCATATTTATCTTTTAACATAGACTGGGGGAGACTAGGCTGAATAGAGGTGGTCTACGCAGCCTCTCAAACAAATCTGCTATCTTAGCACAGCAACTTGTATCAAACTGTTTTCAATGGCTTATTTTCCCTGTATACCAGAGAAATCAGCAAGGTAGACAAGGTTGTCTTTGCAACTCTTTACTTACCTCTTTTCTCTCCTACCAGGCCAGGGCTCCCTCAGTATACTGTGCTCTGCTTTTGTCCTCATATTATTTTTCCTTATTTGTCCAATGAAAACTCCCTGATGTGGTTTGGCTGTTTGTCCCTTCCAAATCTCATGTTGAAACGTAATTTCCAATATTGGAGGTGAGGCCAGGCAGGAGGTAATTAGATAATGGGGGCAGGTCCCTCATGAATGGTTAGTACCATCCCCTTGGTGATAAGTGAGTTAGTTCATATGAGATCTGGTTAAGAGTCTGTGACTTCCCCTTTGTCTCTCTCTCTCGCTCCCTGTCTCACCATGTGACACGCCTGCTCCCTCTTCACCTTCTGCCATGATTGTAAGCTTCCTGAGTCCCTCACCAGAAGCAGATGCAGGCACCACACTTCCTGTACACCCTGCAGAACCATGAGCCAATTAAACCTCTTTTCTTTATAAATTACCCAGTCTTGGGCATTCCTTTATGGTAGTGCAAATGGATTCATACACTCCCATTTCCCAAATGTCATTGATATTACAGTATTGATTGGGTCATTCATATTATTATTCATTTAATAATATGTGGCAAGCACTATCCATTGAGATACTCAAAAGACGCACAGAATGGAAAGTATAAGAGGTGGATGGTTGATAACTTTGGCTATCCTAAAGAGTATCTATGTTTAAAAAGGGTTGGTTAACAGAGCTGACCGACAGAGCTATAGGGCAAATACTTCTGCTTATTTCTGGGGTTTTAGCTTTTGAAAAACCTTTCACTTTTTTCCCAAATGAGAAAATGACTGGATTAAATATTAAACCATTCCCTGCCTTTGACTCTTCCAACAATACTTTTGCAGGTATCTCTGGAGTTCACAGGGCTCAGTAAAAACACTGCTTAGTGAGAAAGCACAGGCTGGCATGGTATACATTATGGAAACTTTAAAACATCAGTTAGCAAGTATATATTTATTATGTAAGAAAAACTTCTTTTATACTCAGCAAAGCAAACATAATCACTGAGAATTTCTGACATATCCATTAAAATTTTTAATTGCCTAATGACTTTTAAAAGTTGAATAAACCAAATGTTTTAATTAAACTTGTGAGACAAGCTATGCCTATTATATATATAGTAAAAATAACTATAGATACTAAAATCAGAAATTAAACTATTTGAACTATCACTTAAAGATGCTTTGTGTCAGAATTCAAGTTCTCTTTTAAAAAGAATGTACATCAAGAATTATTTTTCTCTAATACAAAAGACTGCCTTCCAAATGATTTATGAATAATAGAAATCCTATAATGCTGTATTTTTCAAAAGCCAGAGATCCACTAAGTCATGTGATCAGTTTAGGATCAGAGTACACTGAATATGTTAAGGATAATAAGTATTGTTTAGTTTCAGGTGTGTAATACAATAAGTGGTGATAAGAACATGTATTTCTTATTATGGGCCATAGTCAAAAAGTTTGAAAACTATTGCCCTAACGTGAACAATTTGGAATCTGGGTTTATGCAAGGCACTTTTGGAGAAATGTTAATATATTTATATTATTATAATGTCTTAAACACACAGCAAGAGTTATACCAATATTTACATATTGAAGTATTTGGGTTCAAATATGTAAGTTATTTGTCTTAGAACTCTAAAATACTTCAATATTCATGTGTTCGTAACTTAGATAAATGAATTTTCCTCTCACAGAAGCTCTTGACTGTATGTATGATCCTAAATTAGTATTACTAAATAAATCACAGGGTTGGGTTAACTGTAAGGATTAGGCCCAGTTTACTTCATACGGGTGCTGTAAAGGTGAGTAAGGTTTGATACAGATCCAGGATCTTCTTTTACTGTAAAACATAAGACTCCTTATATGGACATACTACATGGAATAAGTTTCTTAAAGTTTAAAAAAAAAGACTCCTGTAACTCCTGTGACTAAACTCAAAGCCCACCCTCTTCCATTACCACAGTTCTTGTTATGCTCTTTTCATAAGAGGCGGTAATAATGACTAATACTTTTCCTTGACTCTCATTTGAGAAGTGGATGATGACTATTTCTTGGGGTAACAAACAACTCTCCTCTCATGAGGTCAAGCAGGAGTTCTGCACAGTTCCTAATGTTGAAGCATTTACAAGATTTAGACACAAAACCATAAAGGGATGAAATACTCCTCAGCAAACAACTACAATTATATAAGTTCTTATTCAGCACAGCCTATCCAAGGATTATTGTAATTTCCTTACTTTGTACTGACTTTTCCTTAAAGTTAGATGAGATAAATTTCATTAATCTTTGCTTTCTTCTATGTACTCTCCTAAAACTTCAAAAGGGAGGGCCTTAACAGAGTGAAGGATGATTCTGTTGCACTTCATTTTCTAGAGCACCACTGTCCAACAGAAATATAATGAGAGCAAAAATGGAACCATATATATAATTTTAGATTTTCTAGTAAGATGTGCTAAAAAAGTTAAAAAGTAAACATTTTAATATTTTATTTCACCCAATATATTCAAATTATCATGTCAACATGCAATCAACATATGAAATATTGATGAGATTTTATATTTTTCATATATAGTGTTTGAAATCGATTGTGTATTTTATACTGAACACATCTCAATTGAGACTTCATATTTCAATGCCCATTAAGCCACATGGCTGGTAGCTACTGTATTGGACAGTGCTGTTCTAGAAACTGCTCACATTAAAATGTAACAGCAAAGTACCTGCACTCTTTGATTTTCATAAAACTGAAGGCAAGTGAAGAAAGATTTGAACCAATCATGTTTCTGTTACACTTTCAGTATCGGATTATAACACAATTTCTGTTTTATTTCTGCCAACCATACTGAACACAAACTCCTACATTCCATTTTAATCACGGAAAAGAATAACTTTGTCAAATACTAAATGAATGTACTTTTATTCTTGGTCTCACTTGAATGAATGACAGAAAAAATGTGTTAATTAGGCTAGTATAAAAAAGAAAAAGCAGATGAAGAGAGAAGATGAGAAACATTCACAAATACTGGGATATGACCCATTGAGTAAGAATGACTTTTACTAAAAATAACTTTAATAATTTCTATTCCCTTTGCTTGGAAGACAAAATAAAAGTAAAATGTTAAAATCAAGATGAGCTTTCAGTTAGAAAAACCAAGACTAGTGACTTCATGCTTTTATTTATAGAATGTGGTACGTAACAGAATTGATATATTTGTTTGTTGTAACTACGGTATTTAGCTATGACAAAACACCATTTCATTTCACTATGCCCATAATAATTTATTATTAACATGATTGTGGGTTGTGAAGGAAGACAAGAAGGTGGGGGCGTGGGGAAGAAGAAAGGGTAATCCATAACAAAGAGAAAAATGAAGAGGTGGAGGTGCTGAGGCCATCATCCTCCTCTGTGTTATGACTAGGATGTGTTTCCAGCATTGGTCTGGTTTTGTTTGCCTTCTGAATTTCAAGGATTCCACAGATTTTGTTTTCTAATACTATAACACATATATTCATAGAAAAAAGTCCTCTGCCATGTTTTGAGATTTCATGAAAAGAGGATGAAGAACCTTAGTCTAACGTTAGATTCCTCTTTACCTGAGAAAAATGCAATTTATATGAAATGTAATAAATTTCTTTTTTTTTCTTGAGACAGGGTCTGGCTCTGCCACCCAGGCTGGAGTGCAGTGGCATGATGTCGGATCACTGCAACCTCTGCCTCCTGGGCTCAAGTGATCCTCCTGCCTCGGTCTCCTGAGTAGCTAGGACTACTGGCACTAGCCACCACACCCAGCTAATTTTTGTATTTTTTGTAAAGATGGGCCCAGACTGGTCTCGAATTCCTGAGCTCAAGCAATCCACCCACCTCGGCCTTCCGAAGTGCTGGAACCACAGGCACAAGCCACTATGCAATACATTTCAATCTTATTTTTACCCGTGGACATACAATTGCCATCCCTCATGTAAAAAGATTAAAGTCAAGTGGAGACAAGTGTAAATATTCAACTCTGTTACATAATGTACAATGTGAGCTTTAAACATTAATATGTAAAATTAATTATTAGGGAAATAAAACGCTCTCATAAACAATGCAATCATAAGATCTAATTGGATTTACTTTTTAAAATATTGATGGAAATATCTCAAATGCTTCAAAAAATAAACTAATACAATCTAAATGGATTTCTAGCTTCTTAATATCTACAGAAAAATTTATTGTAAGCACATTAATAAGTTAATTACATTTGTGGTTCATGACTAAGACTTACCAAGTTCTGCTAAATTACCAAATGCAACAAGACACATTTCTGTAAGAGCTGCATTTTGGCAGTGGATGCCCAGTAATTTCACTAAGGTAGGAATAACACCCATATTGATAAGCTGAGCTTGAAGCGAATCTGTAAAAACAAAAAAAAAACAACAACAGAAAAGAAAGTGTTGACATGTCAAATGAACATTATAAGAAGAAAACACCTCTTATTTTCCCTATTGGAAACTCAAAGTTATTTAAATTACAGTAATAGAAAATGAAGTCCATTCATATGATTGTGTTGAACATTTTAAACATTAGTTCAGAAGAGTTTAGTTTTGAATCCTTTGAATAACCAAAAGGCATTTAGAAATAAAAATAGTTTGAAGACTATATCAAATCATTAGTTTTCTAAATGGGGTCTTATACCATTAAAAAGCAGGCTTTTAATAAGTATAAACAAACATTACCATTAGTTTTTGAGTGAAAAATTTAGAGTAACATTTGCATTACAGGAAATCACAGAATATGAAAAGCATGAGAAAAGTAGCAAGTTTAATGAAGACCAAGAAAGAAAAAAATCTTAGAATCCTTTAAAAACACTTTTCATAATACAAAATTAAAAATATTTAATAAATACACAAAAATGATTGGTTCTGAATATTTGCAACCAGAGTGTTCTTGATGACTGCTAGGAAGAGATGTACCAGAAAAAAAAGTTACCTAAAATATTTTTCTTTTTAAAGTTTTATTTAATTATAGTGACAGATCATCTCAGTAAGAGAGAGGAAAGTCTGGCTTAGAGAGGTGAAGAGAATGAGGTTAACATGGCCTTGTCATCATTGCTTGCCTTCATTTTCTAAGAAACTAATTGATTTTGAAGTACTAAACATGCCTTGGATTTCCACAAGGGTTCTTCATGGACAATAATAATAGAATACCTGTAGCAAAGTTGAAGATAAATGAACCAAAAATGAACACCAAAAGTACTGCCTCTTAGAATAAGCTAAGAAAGACATACAAAAAATCATATGTTTATGCAAAACACTATAACTGTCCATAACTGGTTCATCCAATGATACAGAAATGCTCTTCAAAAATTTTTTTCTCATTAAAATGATATGCCATTTTCAAGCTAATAATTTTCCCCAAATTCTTTTAAGTTATTTCTCTTTGCAATCTAAAGACTAAACAAATTTTTTTCTCTTTAAAATGATATGCCATTTTCAAGCTAATAATTTTCCCCAAATTCTTTTATTTCTCTTTGCAATCTAAAGACAAAACTTTCTTACAAAAACACGTTCCTCATAGTTCCAATCCCTTGGCAGGGTTGGCCTGCTAATTTTTTTTATTACTCTTTATAGTTCTTAATCTATAGATAAGGAAGCAGGTGGGTGATTTTCAGAAAAGAACATACAGAGTTGAGCTATCTCACATGCCAGTTCATTATTGCCTGGTGGTCTTTGTTGTTAATTCTTCCTGCTTTTAGAGTGAAGTATGAGGAGATAGTCAACAGAGGCTTAGTGTCCCTGAAAACTGATGACTGGCTAATTACAGATAATTATCTGGTTTGGTTGTGGGAGCCCATCTATAATAGAAAGGGGCCTATTACCAAAATAAGAATAAAAAATAAACATGGAAAAATGGAAGTTTATGTTTAGAGTTCAAATACTCTAATAAAACAATTTCAAATTTTGTAATGAAGTTATGAAATCTAAAAGGAGATAAGAATTAAAATATACTCAACTAAGTAATCTGTATTTATACTTTTGATGTTAAATTTTTTTCTGAATATGAAATTTAGCAATAATTCACAACACTTAAAGGTAAAATACTTACACAATAGTGTTATATCTATATTATATTGGCAGAATAGTTGCATTATGGTTATAGTATTTGTAATAATCATGCACCAAGGAGCTTTCCAAGTTAGAAATTATTTAGGTTACTTACCAGTAGATAGGGCTCTTTACTAGAGGGTCACCTCTGAAGATCCTTGTTCTTTAGCAGTATTTTTATTTATATATGTATTCATTTTCACTACTTTGTCAAATACTGCAGAGCTGATGAATCATTAAATTTCAGGTATGTAAGCGTGAGCACTAGCGCATGCATTGAATGTGAGTCAAACTCCACTATATGTCTGCATATATGTAAGCATCACACACCCCCTCAGTTCTGTTGGTACAAACTATGAAAAATCCAACAGTCCAGGGACATCAGAGGAATAACACATTTTATGGAGAAGATAACAGAAGAATACCACTTAGAAGATAATGCTCTTCATGTTCTGCTAACTTGGCATATCTATCACTTTTCTGGACTGCTTTTACAATGTTACAAATTTTGGTTCCAGGTAAAAGAGGGGTGAAAAGTAAAGAAATGTTATAGCGCTTAATACAATCTTTGGCATACAAATTGAAGCAGTAATATTTGAAATTATGGCAGATTGGGAGAAAAAGTTAGCATAGCCAAATGGCACATTGTAGGTATTGCCATAATTCATGAAAATCATGTTGCTTCGTGAAAATGTGTCTAACTACCCAGGAGCCAAATTCATTATATACTCACATACAACACACATACCACACAAAAGAGAAAAATATATAGCCATCCAGTTGGATGAACTCACTGTGGACCAACTGGGTGCTCTCTTTTATATCTATCTACTTCTATGATGCTAACTAAAACAATAATCATACTCAAATAATTCTAAAATTTGTTCACACCGACTGGCAGGCCTGCCATTCTACTTGTATAATGAAGGTCCAGAGGAGGAGAGAGAGAGAAAAAAAAAACACACTTTTACAGAAACAGGTTGATATAAATTTCCACTTCATGGACAAAGAAAGAGGCCTCCTAGAATATGGTTCTCAAAAAGTGTCCCTGGAACCCTTTCAGAGGATCACAAAGTCAAAGCTATTTTCATAAAAATCCCAAGATTTTATTTGCTCTTGCCACTGTGTTGACATTTGTACCAATGGTACGAAAGCAATGGTAGGTAAAACTGCTGGCATTTTAGCATGAACACCAGCAATGGCACCAAATTGTATTAGTAGCCATTGTTTTCTTCACCATCACAAATAGTAAAACAAACTGCTATTCTTTGCAGCAATTTTTTTGGGAAAATATTTTTCATAAAAATGTTATTTCTGTTAACATATAATAGGTTTCTTATTTTAAAATGAAATACTAAATAATTTTAAATATTTTCTTCATTTAAATTTCTAATTCAGTAAATATTGACAGACATAACCCAAATACATAAAAAAAGTCTTCTAGGTCTTCTATAATTTTTAGACATCTAAAATCATAAGACCAAAATTTAAGAACCAGTGTCAAAGGACTACCTAATTTTAAAAAAAAAAATTTTTGAGACGAAGTCTCACTCTGTTGCTCAGGCTGGAGTGCGGTGGTGTGATCTCAGTTCACTGCAACCTCCGCCTCCCAGGGTCAAGCACTTCTCTTGCCTCAGCCTCCCGAGTAGCTGGGATTATAGGCCCCTGCCACCACACCTAGCTAATTTTTGTATTTTTAGTAGAGACAGGGTTTCACCATGTTGGACAGGTTGGTCTCGAACTCCTGACCTCAGGCGATCCATCCGCCTCGGCCTCCCAAAGTGCTGGGATTACAGGTGTGAGCTACAGCGCCCACCAGGGCTATCTCATTTTTATAAGAGATTGGGAGGTGAGTGGGAAACATGGTAAATATTCTGAAGTTCAATGATGTGCTTAGCAGAAGTGATAACAGGAAAAAAATTAGATAAAAGCTTGGTAGGAATCCTAGATTTTGGCACTCTGATATTTTCAGAGAAATAACACTAATAAAGCTCCTAACATCTCATCATGCTTATTTGAGAAGAAACTCTACTTAAGCCTAAGAGATCATTCCAGATTGAGTCTACCTATTTCAGTTACTATGTAGATGTTACAATTCAGTAGGTGGCGGTGCTGTTTTTTGAAAAGATTAAGTAGGGGTCCTGTTTGTGTAGGATAAGTTGATATTCTTATTGACATAAACAAATGATTCATTTGATCATCTTTTTTATTGCCCAAAGAAAACTTGCAAATGTTTTTCAAAGGATAATAGCTGACATCCATGGTATCATGAATGTTATCAGGAGTATGACTTTTAAGCGAAAGACAAACAGGAAGAAATTCTGAGAACTAGAAATAGTTCTTGTTCTCTAGATACATTAGGCAGATTAAGTGAAGCAACTGCAAGACTACTACTTCTGCCTCCCTCAGTGAATATCAGCACCTCCAGGAGAATGTTATCAGAGCTCAACAAACACAGCAATTCACAAAAATGTAACCCAGGCCCATACATAGCAAACACTTATGTGTGAAAGACAGTCTTTAGACAGCACAATGTCATAAATGTCCGAAGACTCTGTTTTAACTGCTCCTGACACACATCACAGACAAACACTGACCAAATACAGATTTACGAAATTACATAATATCAAAATGACACAGGCCCTACATGATCTATGGGGAGGAAGAGGAAGAAAGGCACTGAGGGGGTGCAATACAGATGCATATACAAAGAGATATAAGGCAATCAACGCATGCGCTGGTGTGAACACTTACCTACCTACATTTGAATTTCAATGGTTCCAAGTTCTTCAGGTCACACTCATGGAAACTCCAAAGAATGGAGATCTGGAGAGAAGATCTCAAGTTGAGGAACCTTTTCCCCCCTGAGTTTTAAGTTTAATGTTTAAAACATTGGTATAACTAGATTATAGGTCCAGAAAAGTATGCTGAGAATTCCAGTGATTCAACTGAAGTTACTAAAAATAAGTTTGTTAAGAAGATTATAACAGGTTTACCTTATTCCTAAGGCCTTATAGACAATGTTATAAGATTAAGCTTTTTGGTAAATAGAACTTAAGAATGAACTTGTAAAAACAAGACAAGACACAATTCAAAATACAGTCTGTACATTAGTACGTAGATATATTATTCACAGTATAATGATATGATATTGCCATTTACAGGCTTGCATTAAAAATCCCATCTACAGTCAAATGAGTTGAGCATAGTTGAAACAGTGAAAGAAGCAAATAAAACTCTTGATGAAAAGTTCTAATACAAATTGGCTAAAAATCATTTGGGCATAATAAAGACTGAAGAAAACTACCTTTGATTTAATGACATATCTGTATTTCCAAAAAAGGATATGAAAATTAAAAATTAGAAACGATACAACTGAAGTAGAGCTTCAAGTTCAAGCAAGTTTTAGCTCTATTATAACACTGCAAAGTAAACTGACTTAAATATGGCTACCAAGAGGATGATTAGTGGTTAAAAACTTTATATACTCAAATGTTTATAAAGTGGAGAACTTTATTCTAAGCCTAGTGTTGAGGATATAAAAACTAGATTACTTACATGTGTTTAAAATTCAATTATTTTAAAGCCTTCTTTATATCAAACATGCATGTGTTTTGCACCCAGATTGTCGCTTTAAGCCCCATTATACATTTCAATGATACATAGAAATTTCAAAAAAAAAAAAAGCCAACATTCATTAATATTGACAATATTGGAGGTTTAAAACAATACATTTATACATTTCTTCCTAGTCGCTAACAAATAAAAAACTAGAAAAGATAATTCTAAGGTTCTTTCTGGGTTCTGAAAATAAAAATTGTCTCTACATGGCAAAATTTCCCTTTTGTAAAAGTTTTAAATATAAATGGCAAAATTATATGTGTGAGATTGATGTAAAACAGAAGCAACAACAAAAAAATGCCAAAGCAAAAATCAACAGATAGTAAAAATATTTTATTATTCTTAAGAAACTTATTCATTTACTGTTCTCAATATAATGACAACTAGAGTGATTATGCCTTAATCTAGTAGATAATTTTTCCCCATATTTACTACAGGTTAATTATTTGTTACAGATCAACTTTTGTTACAATGAATACTGCTACAAAAAAATTCTATAGATATGTTTATTCTGATTAAAGAAAACTCTACGCTTTCATCTCAGAAAAAAACTGGTCTTTTAAGTTAAATGTCTTTTTTTTTTTTAAAGAGGACTACTGCCAGCTGTTGCTTAAGCAGCATTTATTAAGAGAAACCAATTCAGTCTCTGCTTTCATACAGCACTGCTGAGATAAAGACCACATCTACAGTAAGTATAAATTTAAGCCTGAATTTTTGTACAGCAAGTTAAGCTAATGCCAAATTAATTTATATTCCAACGTGTATCTTACAAACATATGCTTAAAAACATAGAAATCCCTTCTTTTACAAAAGAATATATTAGCTTAAAAAAAACTTTTCTAGTTACCATGGGGCATTATTGTAATTTAGTTTTTACAGTTTAAAATTGCACAGAAGTTATTTGCAAGGCAAAAATTCTGTTAACAAGATACATCTGCATATTCAAAAGCATTTCACTTTCTAGTTTTTCAAGTAGGACTTAAAAATTTTTTAGTAAATAAAACAATATAGGCAGTACAGTATTAACTGGATTTTACTTATAGTTAAAAAAACAGGATTAATAATCTTCATAAAAGTTAATTTACACATGATGCTTTTCTGGGTTCAGCGCCTCTCTGAATGGACTTTGTAAATGGCCTAAATTAGACACGCAAATACAGATATCTGGCTAAAACCTATTATTTACCTCTGATTTTAGCCTCAGCTTTTGAAAGGCCAAACAGCTCAATGCTTACTTCAACATCATTTCTGGAACCTAAAAATTTGTGCATGATCAATGATTATGTGCCTCATATCATCATATTTCAACTAGTATAGGAACACTTACAGTAAAGACCTGGTCTTTCAGACTTGTTACTATCTGAATATTTATTTTTAAATATAGGTAAGCATTTCATGTAAAGAGAAAATTTGCCTATATGCTTTATATGTTGAAATTCTATCAGTTGAAATGTAAATGCATATTATTATATTAAAATGCACCAATAATTAATGGTGATATACATCTTGTAAGGATGAAATCAAAATCAGAAAACCAATTTTTCCACTTCAAATTTTCACAATGAGAAAAATCTTGAAAATAATATTTGATAACGGCTATGATTAATCTTCAATCCAGACATAAAGCAAATAAAAATGAGAAAACCATACTAAAGAATGAGCAACTCCAAACATATTTTGCCCTTTCACTGCCCTCAACTAAGTGGGCATCTATGTGGTATTATGATATTAAATGCATTATCATAATCGCAGTAGCAATCTAGAAGCTAACAATGCTGAGAAAGTATTATTCCTGTAATAATATAATGCCAAATTTTAAGTATTAGACTGCTAAAATTACTGACAAAAAGACTATAATAATTTTATTTTTCTAAGATAAAATTTCAGCTTCTTACATTCAGAAGTTCATTCTCTAATGGCCAAAGCTGAATATAAATGCCAATACTTGATCATGTGGAATTAGACCAAAATGTGTATCTGATACACCTCTACTGAAAATCAAGCTCTCAGCCTGTTCATTAAGTAACAGCATTATCATAGAAATAGTCTAGGAAGATTATCACTAAAAGCTAACCTGGTCTAATTGGTCAAATTTAATAGGTTGAATTAGCAAGAGGCACCAGACTAACTAACTGCTCTATTCTTTAGTGAAACAATTTGTTTAAAATAACACTTGTGGTAGAACTTTATGAAAGCAACCTTTTTCAGCAAACTGACTAGAAAGCTGTTGGACAAACAGCAAAAATTCAGGAATTTTTAAAAAAGAGAACAACAGTAAATAAAGAACAACAGTTAGTATAATAAAGAAAGAATAAAAAAGCCTAAGTACTTTTCAGCTGCCCAATAAGTCTTCAACACACTTCATTTAACTCACTGGAGTAAAAAGTGACAAACTGGGCTTCAAAAGATGTTAACTTAAATGTACATCTCCCATGTCTTCATAAATAGAGGAAAAATAAAATACATGTAAGGTAGTATGATGGAAAATTAGTTTCATTAAAAAAGACAGTATCAGAACAAGGATCTCTGAGAAAGAAGAAAAACTTTAAAAAAGATAATAAATTGCAAAGATACAATTTTACCTTTTACATATTGTTTTGTTCTTTTTCCTTAGAGTAAGGTAAAAATAATTTACTATTTAGGAAATATATAAATTATTAACTAGCTTGTAACCACAGTAAGTAAAGTTTAAAAATAGTTCTTCACTCATGTGAAGCAAATCATTTTTCTAAACATCTAACACATCTAGGAAATGCTCTTTTTCACCCGTAATAAAGTATTGTAATACTGAAACATAAGGATAAACATGCAGCTCAGGCCAACATGCTTTTTAGTTTTTAATTATGAACTAAGAAATTGTTGCTATTGACTGAAAGTAGCAGCTAAGATTAATTACACATTAAATAATCTTTAATATGGGGAGAAGTAGTATAGGCCTTTTTTAAACAAGTGAATTTAAACAATGAGCTTAATATTTAAACTCAGTTGTCATGCTTCAATAATATGCCACAGGTGTTACACTTCCTAAATTACATACATGGCCTCCCTTCAACCATAGCTTAATTATCATCAGCCCATGCGACAAATAAATATAAGAATTATCATGTAGGTATCTCAGAGAGATTTCAGGAACTACAAAAAAAGAGAAATTAGTTTTTCAATAATGAGGAGTAATTAAAATATTAGAAAAATCGGCTGTATTTGTAGAAATCATATATACACATATCATACATGTATATATAAAATATAGGTCAGATGAAGAAGCCTAGACTGCATATGTTAATAATTTTAGAAGATACTTTTTCCTTTCCTGATGGCATCTTTCAATTGCCTCTACTTTTCTCTCTTATGGCATAGCTTACGTAAAATAGTAACTTTAGTGTTTAATGCTTATCATTTACCACTTTCTTTAAGAGTTATAATAGAATTTTCCCTCTATTTGTGTCTCTAGCACAACAATACTAGGAGAAAAAGTTAAACCCTCAATTACACCTTCCATGAGATATTTATTGATTAATTACATCTACTTACAACAATGGTGACTACCAATAGATTTGTCAACAAGGTGGTGTTCTGGTCTTTAGTGCTTTGCTTTAGATCACTGGTTTGTTTCTATTCAAACGTGCAATTAATTCAAGTGTACAAATGCAGACTCAACACGCTTGTGGATCACCTATGGGAAATTTTTAATTACAGATCTGGTACTTGTTACTACCAGTGTGTTTTCAATGCCCCTTACTGCTGCCACCATGTATCATACGTAGATAAGGAACATCAACTAACATAGTGGGAAAGAGTTTGTAATGGTTCTAACTTATTTAATGAAGCAAATGCATTCCAATAACATGTTTCTCTTCCAAGTATTGAATTTGCTAATGAAAATTTTAGACGATAATAAGTATCCAGAAAAAGTCAATCAATGAAAATTTTCCAAACTCCTATGTGCTAAAACAGTGTTATATTTGAAAACAGCTGGATGACTGAACAAAATTTTCAGTCATCACTGCAATGTTTTGGCATTGGGTAACCAAAGCTAGGAAACAGATAACAAACTAATGAGATTAAAATACCTACAATTAAAGGTTTGAGTTCCTTGGATTATAGAATAACTAAAGTTGTAACAAAATGAAGAAAAAAAAATAGCAAGTTCAACACATTCCCTCAAACTGAATGTCAAAGTGTCAACAAGCTTTTCTACAGCCATAATTGTCAAATATTCAGGCTATTTTCATGAGCCACAGAATCAAAGAGTGCTTTTTCACCATGTGAAAAACATGTATATTTTTTCCAAAATGGATAAATTTAAAACAATTTTTACTAAAGTTTTGTGTTATTTAAATATTATTTTATTTATGCATTATTGATACAACTTCTTTGGCTAAGCAATTATAACTTTTGCTATTCAGATTATTCTACACTTACCTGAGTATTAACTGCTTCACCAATAGGGAAACAAAAGTATATATCCAGCTCATAGCTTAGAGGTATAGAGTCTTGAGCTAGTTTAAAACTTTTGAAACTGATAAATTATGAATTATATACAGCTTTAGCAAATGGTACAAAAATGACTTTACTGAATATTTTCATAACATATATGACTTGCATGTGTTTAGGAAACTTGTTTTATTCCTTATTTAATGGGTTTAAAAAGTGGATATGCTCTGAGTTTTACTGTATGAACAGGAAGCTTCTGAATCAAGACATTCTAAGTTTCAATTTTGAGACTAATAAATAATTTGAAAATATTCTCTTCAGGGAAACTATGTTGGTGGATTTTTGTGACCACTCTCAGTACTTTTTTTTTATAAGCATACTTTAAACATTTTATACATACAGCTAAAGAACAATAACTTCCTAACTACAGATACGGCTTAAGTTATTGGGTCCAAGGCAGTTAACTTTTCTACTACAGCAGGAAAAAGCTATTTGTCACTCAATATTTTACTTATAAATTAGCAGAGTCTTGTATACTGATGTTCTACATAGTAAATACATATAAAAAGAAACTTCACTTATTAGTGCTAATAGAAAGTGCCTCCTGAGTTTCAAAAAGCTGTTATTTTTTGTTTCAGGGACTTATCTAGGTACACATGATCAATACCAAACAATCTGAGTCAGTAAAGATGATGTAATATTTAAGTCTTCAAACATAAATTTTAAGGAAAAGAGAAAGCAAATAATGGACAAAACAATAAAGACGCTTTAATAATTATGCCAAACATACATAAAAGGATATAATTTCAGTGAACATTAGAAGAAAAAGAATCACTTCACAAATTAAGACACTCGTGACAGACAAAATGTAAAAAGGAAGTAGAGGAAAGATGATGATAGTTACAAGTTTCGCATTTGTTTCTTAAAAATACTCAAGATTATGTCTTTTTTATTCGATAAGTTTTAAAAGCTGCAAACTGCAGCTTTTGAAATAAAGGAAGAAAAAGACCATTTGTCTAATAATATTCAGAGAAAAGTTAATATAGCTTTCTAAAGTCTCTAAGTTATTTCTTGGGAATGCCTGAGCTCTAGAAAAAAGCCTACTCTTCAAAAAATATATATATTATACAGTTAGACTGTGCACTCCACATGCTGTTAATTATAATCTTCTTTCTCAGAACACTTCTCTACACACTGGGATACCCTATAATATTATGGGACTCAATCACTGCTTTGGATTGGAAATAGTGATGCTTTTGAAGACCAGCCATCTGATATATTAATACCTCTATACAGATTTTTTTTTAACAGCTTCCTCAAAGAACTAACAGCTAGGTTAGATGCATAACAAGACTAATTCTACTACTTCCAAAACTGGAATAACTTCTTAAAATTTCTTTCATTTATATTTCTAAAACTTTTTCCCATTTAGTGTTCTTCCTACTTCCTCAAATGTCCAAGCCCAAATGCAGTTAAAAGCAAAGAAAACAATATGAAAATCTGACCAATGATTTCTTAATGCAATTCAGACACCTATGTATTGTGGTTAAATTTCAATTATTTAGGAAATATGTATTTATTTTGTGGATTTCTCAGGCTCTGTCCTTTCTGTTTCTCATATTTATATTTAGGGCATTTGTTCTTCAAAATTGATTCCACCAGAAGGAAGGAAAAACAGATGTAACTTATCCTATGAAGACTACCATTTATTATTAGCTCAAGTTTAATATGTAAGCCATTTGATCAATAAAAACTCTATTATCTTAATTCAAAGGCTTAAAACTGGTAGCCCTTGGACAGGATGAGGCCTGAAGATACTTTCTGTTTAGCTTCTATAGTATTAAAAATATGTAATCCAACATTTAAAACTCAGATGTCACATAACAAACTAGACATTTCAGCTTTCTCCCCCACCTCCCATCCCCAAAATATAAAGATTGGGCAGTATTTGGCCAAACCGTCATACAGAAACAACTGGCTAGAGAAGAGTAGTGGTTTTCCCCTTTCAATAGGACAAGGGCTCTTCAACTTACCACAGTCCCCACCATTCACTGTTGTCACTAACAACAAGGGCCAAATATCAGTAGCCATTTATTGCCAAGGTTTATCTTTTTTTTTTTTTTTGAATTATTGAGAATATTTCTTTGGACCCACAACTATAAAATGTGAAAAAAAATAAAAAGTATGCCAAAAGGGCCACGTGTTTCTACAACACACGAAAGTAAAGAATAATACTGCATGTCTAATATGCAAATAAAATGTCTCTGCCAAAATATCACAACTTAAAATGCCATTATGAAACAAACCACAGAAAGACCTTATTTGTGTTACATACCAGGAACATACCAAAATTTGAATGTCTGATCCACACAGTGATTCACATAAGATGATAAAGAAACAAATGGATATTTTGTGACACAAACGTATTGTGAAGCCTTAATATCACAGATTTATATGCATTTAATTAACCATATAGGCTATCTGAAAATTATTGATACATCACTTGTTTCTAGGGTCTAAAAATGTTTTACAGAGAAAAGAAACTGCTGTTTACAATAATTAAATTTCTAAAATGAGATCTCTACAGTTGCTCTGAACTTGTTTCTAAAGCCAGATTTTATTAGAGTTTTAAAAAATTATTCGAAGTAAACCTAGCATCTAGATAAAATAATTTTACTTCTGCAAACAGTGTTCATATTTTAAAGCTACTCCTGGTATATATATAACGAAGATAAAACTATTTTAATATTGTTTATTTTTAAAATGTTCACAGTAAGAATGCTTAAATCATACTATAGGGCTGTGGAGTTTTTGTTTTTGATACTGATCAAAACTGGCAGCCCTTCAAAAATTAGTCCCATTTAGTAAATTAACCATTTTACATTTTTGAAACATTGAAATTTAATGTTGGCTAATTATTAATTTTATATGCCACTTACGAATTCTTTGTTCATCATTTTTCAAATATTTTTGTTTTGCACTATAGTAAAGATAATTTTTAATTTTTCCCCCAGAGATAAAGCAAGTTTTCAGTTTTGTTTACCATTCTCATTGCTATAGTTCATCAGCATGCCACAAAAGACAGTCAAGAGCTTCTCATTGGCGGGATCTGTTATACTGCACAGTGACCTTAAATGGTCAATTACAATCTGTGCACCACCTGCTTGGTCAACTGCACTTCTGCCCTCATCTGTAAAACAAAGAGTTAAATTAAAAATAAAAGAAAAAAGAAATGTACCTTACAATTTCAAATACAAAACATAACAGTGTTATTCTTTATTTTGTGAATAAATAGAAAATAAACCTAGGCAGGACATTAAATATGTCTTTTCAGAAAAAAACAAAAGAAATAAACATGGAAATGGGGGTGGGATGGGGAAAAGAGACAATCACTTTTTAAGCAAACCAAGATTATTCTCATTGGCATCATATAGGAGCTTACAGAACTTCCCTGTGTCCTAGAAGTTTACAATATGAAAACTTTCACTCCCTCTTTCACAAATGACAATGCTGTGTAAGAGAAAAAAACAGAAACTAAGTGATATTCTATTGATATAAGTTTTTGTCCCTCAGGTTGAAAAAATCACTAAATATAACTTTTTGTCATTGGTTTTCAAAATCAGCTATTATCGAAGAAAACCATATGGGAACGTTATTATGTCTTTGATAATAGCTCTTATTAAAGAAAACCATATGGTGTAACTCTAAATCATAATAGGTAATTCCTGAATATTGGTACTATGGTCTTTGTTAATGGCATTTCCTATAGTCCAGAAGCATGTTCCCTTTTTTCATTCTTGATTTGTTTCTTTTTTCCTTATTCCCTCTCTTCTAGGGCACACCAATATAATTCAACATTACAAAAAGTGGTCAAGTGATGGTCAAACATAACTTCCATTATGTGTCCATCTACATTGCATAAAACAGATGTTACTTAACTGTCAGAACATACAAACAGCTTTAGACTACTTTCTAACTTTTGAACATAAGAATGAAAATAAATTAAAAGAAGAATACGTGTCATTCTAAATCTGACACCTTAGATAAAATATAACCACCCTCTAGAAGAGGTCCAAGAGAAATGTGTGAGCCATAAATGTGAACCACATGTGTAATTTAAATTTACTAATAGACACATTAAAAAACAGGTGAAAATTAATTTTAGTAATATTTTATTCAATTCAATATATATCACTCTGATATGCAAATCAATAAATTAACAAAATATTTTGTATTATCATCTTCACAATATATCTTCAAAATCCAAGTGTTTTATACCCTTACAGTTACATCTCAACTCAGACTAGCCACATTTAAATTGCTCAGTAGCTAAATTTGGCTAGTAGCTACCACACTGTACTATTCAGCTACAGAAATATAGCACAAAGATCAGCAAAATAAATGACTCACAAAGGAATTACAGCTACGAAGTTAGTTACAATTTGAAAGATTTTCATTTTCCAAATATAAGAACTGAAACTAAGGTCACATCTTTATTACTGTTGCTGAATCATATTAGATGATACAACTTAAAATATGTAATTTCTTATGGTATACACACACACACACACACACACAATTATATAGTAAGACCTCAGAAATACTATGTTCATAATTTTGAAAATTTTTGAGGAAATCCACACTAAAATGAAACAAAACAGTTTTATCCACTTAGTTTTACTGTATTGTTATAAAGATGGAAAACAGGACTGTATGCTAATCAGCTCATCAGATCACAGAAAATTCTTATACTGCCAGAGTAACTAGCTAGATGAACCAGCCAAGAACAATTGGTCAAATCTCATTTAGAAATCTAATTTCCAAATTTTTGTTTTCCATAACATAGATGTAAATTATCTAAATTACTGGGCAATTTCTATGTGGATGATGTCTCAGAAAACTGAACATTAGGATTACAAATCTAAATGTTCAGACCTTCAATAATATGAAGGTATAGTACATCCCATCCTAAATTGCAAAGCTCGAATAGTATTTGATTCTAATTCCTGAGTAAACTGGGCTTTTGAAATATAAATCATGTATGCTTAGGACTTACTTAGAAGAAGACATCTTAGAGAATAGCTAAACTAAGCCTTGTATTCATATATTAGGAATTTCATATACTAGGAAACTAGGGCTTAGAAACTATGTGGCACCTATTTGCAATGAACTGTGAATGAAAGCTGGCTTCTTATCCACACTAAGCTAGTAAATGTTCAAAAATTCCATAATTCAATAAATTAAAATACAAACTTATTCAACAAATTTGATGCAATAAAAACACAATACAATTAAAAGCAAATTACCTATTTGTGTTTCAGAGCCACAGTGCTTTTCTTCTCCTCCTCTCCTTCCACCCCCCTCCTCTGAATTGTCTATAACACAGCTTTTTGCTCATGTGTTATTGAGAATTGTTTGCAAGGCATAAACACAATCTGTATACTAGAAATTACATTATTACCAAATATGAGAAGAAAAGCAAAGCATGTATTACAATAATAGTGATCTGGGTTCAAAAAATATTAACCACCACTATAGGAATGATTGATTATACAGCTTTTTTCTTTCTTTGGACAAGTCAGCCTGAGAAACACAGTAAAAGCATTTTTTTAAAAATATTTAATAGAATTTAAGGATTCAAAGGAATAAATGATAATAATGTGTTCCTTTAGCAAAACCAGTGACATAAGTCATCTTTAGAAGTATCTTACAACTGACTTATTTTTCCAGTAGTATTTAGAAAACAAATCATTTTAAATACAACAGCTATCATTGCACAAGTCCATATAAATTGGTTTTCCATAGTTAACTCTATACCTTCATGTTACATTATCATAATGAGTATTATTGTTCACTTAAAAATAATTCTCAAAAGGTTCCCTATCCTAAACTTGTGTATCCCTAAGTGTAAGCTCATCTTTCACTCTTCTCATAAGTAACAGCTAACCTATGAAGCATCCTGAGCTGTCACTTCTAAAAATATAATTTACATCTCAATTTTCCTCATTTAATTATGAAGCATCCAACCACTGGAAAAAGTGCAGCCCACTCTTTAAAGTCCTATTAAATCCTTTAATGATGATCTTTCACACAAAGCAGTTTCCAGCACAAGTATGATCATTCTTCACATTAGCTAAGAGCAGGGCTTTAAATCTAAAGAGTTACTGCACTTCCATTACCCTTCTGTAATCAAAAGCAAGCAGCAATAAAATTTGTGTCATGGTTATCATGTCTCACAAATGAGAAAAAAAAAATGTTATCAAGTTAAACACTATTATCAGGTACAAGTTATACACTAAGGGTGAGGAAAAGACCTAAAATACAGCCACTGAATCTAACTATTGTGGCATGTCGTACAGTGCATCCTAACTTTGGATTTTACTACGTTTCCTCCTTGTGTATGGCAAATGCCTAGTATATAGTAGGTACTCAAGAATTTTTTAATGAATGGGGCCTTTTGACAGATATTGATAAATTACTATTCACCTTGAGGATGGATGATTGTGAGAGTGACACACACACATACGTTGGACTTTGTACATTTCATATTAAAATGTGATTTTTAAAAACTGTCACTTGCATCTTTAAATTTATCTGAATTGAAAAGGAAGCAAGTATCAAAAATCTTTCTAATATGTTAGTGTATTCTTAGCCTGGCTTTTAATATTCTGTGGTTTAGTATCTTTTTCTATAGGAGATAATGTTACTGATATGAGTAATGTTTTTGAGACATAAATGTCATTTCTACTTATCATGGGTTAAATTGTGTGCCCTCCTTCAATCTATGTTTAAGTTCTAATCCCTAGCACTTCAGAATGTGACCTTATTTGGACACAGGGTCATTGTAGATATAATTAGTTAAGGTGAGGTCCTACTGGAGTAGGGCAGATTTTTAATCCAATATGACTTGTATCCTTATAAGAGGAGGGGGATGCACAGAGGAGAATGCCATGTGAAGACAGAGGCAGGGATTAGAATTATGCTACCATAAGCCAAAGAACACCTGGGACCACCAGAAGCTACAAAGAGGCAAAAATGTCCTCCTCCCCTACAGGTTTCAGAGAGAGGCATGCCCTGGTGAGCACCTTGATTTCAGACTTAAAAATCTCTGGAACTGTGAAACAATAAACTTCTCTTATTTTAAGCCAACTAGTTTGTGGTACTTTGTTACAGCAGCCCTAGGAAACTAACACACCACTCCATATAATAGAATATAATACAACACTGTGAAATATTTAAGTTTCTTTTTTGTGTGTGTGAGTATTGTTTAGAAATGGGATTTTGCTCTACAGGCTAACTGTAATAGGAATGTTCCTTGTTAACAACAATTTACCACTGGGAGAGGAGCAAGAGCACAGAAAAAGCCCACAGCTGTGCGGGAACGGGTCCAAGCCTGAAGTCAAAGCAAGAACACTAAGGAAAGTCCTCCAGCACCCATACTCTAAGCATAAAGTAAGAACGGCCGACTACTAAAGGAATTTGAAGAACATACTGCACTCAAGTAAGGTGAGCAACAACAAAACATGAACCTAGTTCGACTCCTGACTAGACTGGCTTGACCTCTACCCTATGCGAACACCCTAAATTAAAAGGAAGTGCGCTCAATTCCAGAGATTAAATACTGTTAATCTGTTTTCCTACAATAATATCCAGCTGCAATAAAAAGTTGAGATGCATTTTAAGAAAAAAATTACTCACTGTCAAAAGATGAAACCAACAAAACTCACAGGTGATCCAGATGTTAAAACTATCATACAGGGACTTTAACGATAATGACTACGTTACAGGATCTAGTGGAAAAACTGAATAATATCCATGAATAGATGTGAAATTTTGGAGAAAATGGAGACTGTAAGAAAGAGTTAAATGGAAATGCTAGAAAGGAGCAACACAAAGAATTATTTCAACAGGCTGAATAGCAGACTCAACAAACCAAGAAAAGACTCAGCGAACTCATAGATCAATAGAAATTACACAAACTAAAACATGAACAAACTAAACAAGTGGGAGTGGGATAACCCAGAGCACCCAAGAGCTGAAGGAAAGAAAATAGCAAATGGTCTAACCTAAGTGTACAGTAGTCAGTAGTCCCCCTTCATCCATGGTTTTACTTTCTGCAGTTTGTTACCCATGGTCAATGGTAGCATGAAAATAATAAAAAAAATTCCAGAAATAAAAAAAATAAAGTTTTAAATTGCACGCTGTTCTGAGTAACATAAAATTTTACACCATCCCATTCAAATCATGAACTCCCTCTTTGCCCGGTGTATTCATGCTAGATACACTACCTGCCCATTAGTCACTTAAGTAACTGTCAGATCAGCTGTCACGGTATCGCAGTGCTTGTGTTCAAGTAATGCTTATTTTACTTAATGGCCTCAAAGTGTAAGAGCAGTGATGCTGACATATGGCTATAACTGTTCTATTAGTTATTGTATTAATCTCTTACCATGCCTAATTCATGGTTTAACTTTATTACAGGTGTGAAAATATATTTAAAAAGACATGATATATACAGGTTTGGTACTACCTTTGGTTTCAAGTGTCCACTGAGGGTCTCAGAATGTATCCCTTGTGGATAAGGGGGCACTACTGTACCTGGAATCTCAGAGAATGAAGTGCTAGAGAACAGGGTAGAAAAATATTTTAAGAGTTAATGACTGAAAAATTTTCCAAAAATGAAAGCCATCATGCTACAAATCTATTAAAGCTTAGAGAACCCCAAGCAAAGGAAAACAATTAAACATACCTAGACCTATCATACCCAAGCTGTTGAAAAACAAACAAGAGGGAGGGAGGGAGAGAGAGGGAGAGGGAGGGAGGGAGAGAGAGGGAAAGAGAGAGAATCTCTTAAAGGCAGCCGGAAGGGGGAAAAAAACAGAAAAAATAAGAAATAAAGCAGACTTCTCATCAAAAACTATGCAAGCTAGAAGACAATGAAGTAACATCTTTAAAGTCCAACCTAGAATTCTACACCCAGTGAAAATATCTTCCAGTAAGTAAGGTTAAGTAAAATTGTTTCAAGCAAATAAAAGAGATAATTCATTGCAATAAACCTGTTATGCAAAAAATGTTAGTAAAAGTTTTTCAGTTAGAGGTATACTAGACAAAAATTTGGATCTACCCAAAGAATGTAGTGCACTGAAAATGATAAAAGTATGTTAAGACAGTTTTTCTCCTATTTTTAAAAGATAATTGACTGTCTAAAGTAAAAACAGGCCAGGTACAGTGGCTCACGCCTATAATCTCAGCACTTTGGGAGGCCAAGGCAGGAAGGTCTCTTGTGGCCAGGAGGTTGAGATCAGCCTGGGCAACACAGTGAGAACCTGTCTCTACTCAAAAGGAAAAAAAGAAATTAGCCAGGCATTGTGGCATGCACTTGTAGTCCTAGCTACTCAGGAGGCTGCGGTAAGAGAATCACCTGAGCCTAGGAGTTCAAGGTTACAGTGAGCCATGATTGCACTACTACACACCAGCCTGGGCAACACAGCAAGACCGTGTCTCAAATTTTTAAGTAAAAATAACATCAATATATTTGGGATTTCTAACATATGTAAAAATGAAATAGAAAACAGAAGCATAAAAGATTTAAGGGAGGAAGTGGAACTGTACAGTAAGGTGATTGATTAAATTAATGTGACATAATATTTGAAGATAAACTGTGATAAGCTAAGAATAAATATTGCAAGCCACAGGGCAACCACTAAAAACTTACAAAGTGGCATCAGAAGCCAGTAATGGGCTGGGCACGAGGGCTCATGTCTGTAATCTCAGCACTTTGGCAGGCCAAGGCAGGCAGATCACTTCAGGTCAGGAGTTCGAGGTCAGCCTGGCCAACATGGTGAAACCCCATCTCTATTTAAAAAACATACAAAAATTAGCTGGGCATGGTGGCGTGCACCTATAGTCCCAGCTATTCATGATGCTGAGGCAGAAGAATTGCTTGAACCTAGGAGGCGGAGGTTGCAGTGAGCCGAGATCGCGCCACAGCACGCTAACCTGGGTGGCAGAGCAAGACTCCACCTCAAAAACAAACAATAAAAAAACACAAGAAGCCAGTAATGGAGCTAAATGTGAAGAATCCAAAAAAAGGCGGACAAAGAGGGAAAGAGGAACAAAGAACAGTTCAGACAATCAGAAAACAACTAGGTTCGGAAATAAACCCGCCTTTGTGGGAGAAAAAAAGAAACAACTAGGAAGATGGTAGATTTGAAGCCAACCACAGAAAGATCATATTAAATACATATAATCTAAATGTCACTTAAAAGGGAGAGATGGTCAGATTGGGTAAAAAAGCAAGACCCAACCATGCTGTCTATAATTAACCCACTTTAAGAATATTAAATAATATTAAAAGGTTGGTAAAAGATATACCATGCAAACACTGATCAAAGGAAAACTGGTGTGTCTACATTGTCAGACATAGTAGACATCAGAAAAAGCGGTATTGGCCAGGGGCGGAGGCTCGTACCTGTAATCCCAGCACTTTGGGAAGCCAAGGCGGGAGTTTGAGACCAGCCTGGCCAACACAGTGAAATCTCATCTCTACTAAAAATACAAAAACTAGCCAGGCATGGTGGCGTGTGTCTATAATCCCAGCTACTCGGGAGGCTGAGGCATGAAAATCACTTAAACCTGGGAGGTAGAGGTTGCAGTGAGCCAAGATCGCACCACTGCACTCCAGCCTGGGCAACAGAGCAAGACTCCATCTAAAAAAATAAAACATAAAAAATAAGCAGTATTATCAGGGATAAAGGGGGACATTACATAACAACAAAAGGGTTAATTCAACAAGAAGATACAACAATCCTACACCTGGAATCCCAGGATTTGGGGAGGCTGAGGTGGATCATTTGAAGTCAGGAGTTCAAGACCAGCCTGGCCCGACAAGGTGAAATCCTGCCTCTACTAAAAATACAAAAAAAAATTAGCTGGGGATGGTGGTACACGCCTGTAATCCTAGCTACTCAGGAGGCTGAGGCAGGAGAATCACTTGAACCCGGGAGATGAAGCCTGCAGTAAGCCGAGATCCTGCTCCTGCACTCCAGCCTGTGTGACAGAGAGACTTCGTCTCAAAAAAAAAAAAAAAAAGATATAACAATCCTAAATGATGTATAAATGCCTACAAACAGAGCTTCAGAATATATAAAACAAAAACTGATAAAACTAGGGATAAATCCACACATTCACAATCACAGAACAGATGCTTATTAAGTTTTAACTTAGGCTTTGTGTCAGGTACAGTAGACACAAACAGCAACACAAGACTTTGCTTTCAAAGAGTTTCTATTCCAATGAGGAAGACAGAGTAGTAAACAGAATAAAAGCCTCAATACAGCTGGGCGCGATGGCTCACACCTGTAATCCCAGCACTTTGGGAGGCTGGGGCAGGTGGATTACCTGAGGTCAGGAGTTCGAGACCAGCCTGGCCAACATGGCAAAACCCCATCTCTACTAAAAATACAAAAATTAGCCAGGTGTGTTGGCACGCGCCTGTAGTCCCAGCTACTCGGGAGGCTGAGGCAGGAGAATCGCTTGAACCCAGGAGGTGGAAGTTGCAATGAGCTGGGAGCAGAGATCGCGCCACTGCACTCCAGCCAGGGTGACAGAGCGAGACTCTGTTAAAAAAAAAAAAAAAGCTTTAATGCAATTTTTTTATGGTGTGTTACAGAAGCATAGAGAAGAGAATATACCTCTTTTGGAGGAATGACTGGAGAAAAAAGGAGAAAGGAGGTTTATATAAAACTGCACAGGAATAAAAAGGAATAAAATGTTCATAATAAACATGAATACATTCACCTAATATCTATAAATAATGAATCCACAATAGGTAGATTTACATGGTAACATTAACATGTTTTCTCTAGTTCACTTATAACCTAAGTTAAATCCTACTTAATAGGAGTAAAATTTCCTTATTTTAAATACTGATTAATGAAATGTATTACACAGTCAGTTTCATCAATATATCTCAAAATCTGCAACTAAATTAGCATTCTCTCCCTCCTTTATCACTTTTCTGAATGCTCACTATGTTTCATACATTGAACTAGGTCCTGAGAATACAAAGACAGATAATTCACAGTTTTACTTGGGTGAGGGGAAAAAGAGGGAAGTGTGAGGGAAAACATATAATTTAAGCAGCAAACAAAATTAAGTGTTCAGAGTAAAATGGAAGCACAAATAAGGAAATTACTTTTACCTGGAGGAGTCAGAAAGAGATTCATAGCCATGTTTTCCAGAACGTCTTTCAAGCCCTTACTGCAATTTAACATGTATATAAAAAGAAACAAAAATTGTGTACCTTTTTGTTTAGATTCTAATTGGATTCCCTTCCTTATTAGCTCTATTAAGGAAAAATGTAGGTAAAATAAACTACACAGATTTAAAGTGTGTTTAACTGATGAGTGCTGACAGCTCTACATACCTTAGCAACCATCACCACAATCAACATACTGAGCATTTTCATCACAACCAAAAGAATCCTCAAGTCCTTTCGTAAGCCATCTTTCCCTCCACCTCTGGTCCCAGGTAACCACTGTTTTCTGTCAGTATAGATTACTTTGCATTTTATAGAAATGGCTTCATGCAGTAAGTATTCTTTTATGTGTCTATTTTCACTCTAATGATTTTGAGATTCATCCATGTCATCATGTATAGAAGTATTTTTTCATTGCTAAATAGTATTCCATTGTTTGGATATACCGCTATATCTTTTATCCACTCAAATATACTGATTGACATTGGGTTGTTTCTAGTTTTAGGCTACTGTGAATAATGCTGCATTGAACATTCACGCATAAGTCTTTGGGCAAGTATCTAGGAATAAAACAGCTAGATCATATCATAGGTGTGTATTTGTGAGTATATGGTTATTAAGCATTAAAAGAATGATGAGCCACTGAAACATTATATTTAAGAAGTTTTCATATACTGTATGATATGGTCTGGCTGTGTCCCCACCCAAATCTCATCTTGAATTATAGCTCCCACAATCCCCACGTGTCATGGGAGGGACTCAGTTGGAGGTAACTGAATCATGGCGGATTGTTTTTCCTATGCTGTTCTTGTGACAGTGAATGAGTCTCATGAGATCAGATGGTTTTATAAAGGGCAGTTCCCCTGCACAAGCTCTCTTGCCTGCCACCATGTAAGCCTTTACTCCTCCTTCACCTTTCACCATGATTGTGAGACCTTCCCAGTCATGTGAAACTGTGAGTCCATTAAACTTCTTTTTCTTTATAAATTACCCAGACTTGGGTATGTCTTGACTAGCATGTGAAACAGACTAATAAACTGTAAAAATGAAAAATTCTTAAAAGAATGAATGTATTCCTGAGTGAATAAGAGGACTTCAGTACATGCATATCAAACTGAAGTGGAACTTTAGCTGATTTATATAGGTAAATATAGGGCTTCTCCTTCTCCAAAATCAACAGAGCTACAGAAAAGAATAAGCCCTATTCTATGAAACAAATTTTAAATGTATAACTTTTCTAATTAATTTAATAATAACATAATCATACAAATCATAAAATGATGAAAAAAGTTCAAGGCTAAAGGAAATAAGGATTGTTAAATATAGATCTTCATGTAAAAATAATGCAATTGATCTCACTCATAAAAAATTAAATATTTTACCTGGAGGCTTGGTTGTTAGTCAATCAATTTTAACATAAAGTCACCTTTAAGAAAACTGCTCATCATTCTCATTTATTTATGACTTCCTGAAATATATACCAACTCAAAACAAATAATCTGGCATATCTCCATTCCTTTCTCTTTTTATTAAAAAGCAGTGCATAATATGGATCTCAGTTAACCAAGATGAGGTAATACATACAGTATTAGTTTGTTTTCACGCTGCTGATAAAGACATACACAAGACTAGGCAATTTACAAAAGGAAGAGGTTTAATTGGTCTTATAGTTCCGCATGGCAGGGGAAGCCTCACAATCATGGCAGAAGGCAAGGAGGAGCAAGTCACATCTTACATGGATGGCAGCAGGCAAACAGAGCTTGTGCAGGAAAACTCCCCCTTACAGTAACTATCAGATCTCATGAGACTTACTATCATGAGAACAGCACAGGAAAGATCTGCCCCCATGATTCAATTATCTCCCACTGGGTCCCTCCCACAATACATGGGAATTAAAAATGAGATTTGGGTGGGGACACAGCCAAATCATATCATTCCACCCCCGGCCCCTCCCAAATCTCATGTCCTCACATTTCAAAACCAATCATGCCTTCCCAACATTCCCCCAAATTCTTATTTCAGCATTAACTCAAAAGTCCACAGTCCAAAGTCTCATGTGAGACAAAGCAAATCCCTTCTGCCTATGAACCTGTAAAATCAAAAGCAAGTTAGTTACTTCCTAGATACAATGGGGCTATAGGCATTGGATAAACACAACCATTCCAAATGGGAGGCACTGGCCAAAACAAAGGAGCTACAGGCTGCATGCAAGTCTGAAATCCAGCAGGGCAGTCAAATCTTAAAGCTTCAAAATGATCTCTTTTGACTCCATGTCTCACATCCAAGTCACGCTGATGCAAGAGGTAGGTTCCCATGGTCTTGGGCAGCTCTGCCCTCTTGTTTGCAGGGTATAGCCCCCATCCTGGTTACTTTCATGGGCTGGTGTTGAGTGTCTGCAGCTTTTCCAGGTGCCTGGTGCAAGCTGTTGATGGATCTACCGTCCTGGGGTCTGGAGGATGGTGGCCCTCTTCTCACAGCTCCATTATGTGATGCCCCAGTAGGGACTCTGTGCGGGGGTCCAACCCCACATTTCCCTTCTGCACTGCCTTAGCAGAGGTTCTCCATGAGGGTCCCACCCCTGAAGCAAACTTCTGCCTGGCCAACCAGGTGTTTCCATACATTTCCTGCAATGTAGGTGGAGGTTCCCAAACTCAATTCTTGACTTCTGTGCACTCGCAGGATCAACACCACATAGAAGCTGCCAAGGCTTGGGGCTTCCACCCTCTGAAGCCACAGCCTGAGCTGTACCTTGGCCCCTGCTCACCATAGCTGGAGTGGCTGGAAGGCAGAGTACTAAGTTCCTAGGCTGCACAGAGTAGGCAGGCCCTAGGCCCGGCCCACAAAACCATCTTTTCTTCCTAGGCCTCCAGGCCTGTGATGGGAGGGGCTGCTGTGAAGACCTCTGACATGCTCTGGAGACGTTTTCCCCACTGTCTTGGGGATTAACATTCGGTTCCTCCTTACGCAGATTTCTGCAGATGGCTTGAAATTCTCCTCAGAAAAATAGAATTTTCTTTTCTGTCACATAGTCAGGCTGCATATTTCCAAACTTTTATGCTCTGTTTTCCTTTTAAAACTGAATGCTTTTAACAGCACCCAAGTCACCTCTTGAATGCTTTGCTGCTTAGAAATTTCTTCTGCCAGATACCTTAAATCATCTCTCTCAAGTCCAAAGTTCCACAAATCTCTAGGGCAGGGGCAAAATGCTGCCAGTCTCTTTGCTAAAACATAACAAGAATCACCTTTGCTCCAGTTTCCAACAAGTTTTTCATTTCTATCTGAGACCACCTCAGCCTGCACTTTATTGTCCATATCACTATCAGCATTTTGGGCAAAGCCATTCAAGCCTGTAGGGGTCTAAACTTGCCTACATTTTCCTGTCTTCTTCTGAGCCCTCTAAACTGCTCCAATCTCTTCCTACTACCCAGTTCCAAAGTCGCTTCCACATTTTCGGGTATCTTTTCAGCAGTGCCCCACTCCTGGTACCAATTTACTGTATTAGTTTGTTTTCATGCTGCTGATAAAGACATACCCAAGACTGAGCAATTTACAAAAGAAAGAGGTGTAATTGGACTTACAGTTCCACGTGGTTGGGAAAGCCTCACAATCATGGCTTCAAAGGCAAGGAGAAGCAAGTCATGTCTTCAATGGATGGCAGCAGGCAAAGAGAGCTTGTGCACGAAAACTCCCCCTTATAATAACCATCAGATCTCATGAGACTTACTATCACGAAAATAGCATGGGAAAGACCTGCCCCCATGATTCAATTACCTCCCACTGGGTCCCTCCCACAATACATGGGAATTCAAGATGAGATTTGGGTGAGGATGTAGCCAAACCATATCACATATATATTAAATACTTATTAACTCACCCATATTATGTTGAAAAGAGAGTGAGAGAAAGAGAACCACCACTTGTATTTACTTCAAATGACAAACATTCTGAGTAAAGAATCTGTTTGTTTCTGTCCTATTACTTGCTTCTTACTGTTTACGTTAAGGTTTCTCTGGTCACTAAAGACTTCTTTTTGGCTGCTCATGGACATGATAATATGGTTTTGCCACTTTCATCCCCGTTTTATTTCACTTAAAGCACAGAATTAGAAAATATTTTGTTAGAGAGCTACTAAACTGAAAAGCTTACTTTGCTGTGCCAATAGAGATATTTAAAAGGGTATATTAACAATCAGTAAAAATCGAACAAAAGTGATAAAAAGTAACATTTAAAAAAAGTTAGATGTGTATAAATTCCTTATATCATTATTGCAGGAAAAAGTGAATTTATTCAGAACAATTAGAAGGACAGTATTATTTTATTTTTTTGAGACAGGGTCTTGCTCTGTTGCCCAGGCTGGAATGCAGTGGCACAATCTCCACTCACTGCAGCCTCGATCTCCCAGGCTCAAGCGATCCTCCCACATCAGCCTCCCAAGTAGCAGGGTCTATAGGTGCATGCCACCACAACAGGCCAATTATTGCACTTTTTTGTAGAGAGGGGATAGGGGGTTCCGCCATGTTGCCCAGGCTGGTTTCAAACTCCTGAGCTCAAAGGATCTGCTCACCTCAGCCTCCCAAAGTGCTGGGATTACAGGTGTGAGCCATGATGCCTGGCTCAATTTTAATTTTTCTTTATACACCTTGTGTGTAAAGAAAACAATACAAAGCAATAGATACTTGTCTGCAAACTTGAAGAACATACCTGTATTTGTCTAGCTGGTTTACTGGGAAGAGTCAAACTCTCAAATTTTTAATTGGGTTTCCTTAGGTATTACTAAGAATCCAATCAAATCTGAACATCCTTTATTCCCAATGAGTTTAAAAGGGAAGTCAGTATTTCACACACTTCTCTACAGAGAAAATGTCAAGAATAAATCAAATATAATAAAGAATGTTTATTCACATACATACTTTTTTTTTCTTTTTTTGAGACAGGGTCTTCTTGCTCTGTCACCCAGGCTGGAATGCAGTGGCCTGATCAGAGTTCACTGCAGCCTTGACTTTCTGGGCTCAAGTCTCAGCCTCTGGAGTAGCTGGGATTACAGGTGTGTGCCACCACGCCAGGCTAATTCTTTTACTTTTTTGTAGAGATGGGATCTCCCTATGTTGCTCTGGTGGGTCTTGAACTCCTGGACTCCAGTGATCCTCCAGCCTTAGCCTCCCCAAAATGCTGGGATTACAGGTGTGAGCCACTGCACCCAGCCCTCACATCATACTTTTTTTTTTTTAAATAAAGCTTTTATACTTGGAAAAATGTAAAAAGTTTTTCCTCCATCACTTGGTTCTACTCTATGTTCTTTCAATTAGGTAAATTTTATTTTTGTGTTCTTTAAACAAATTAAACAAAATGTTGGCTTAAGAACAGCTTTTAGTAAAATCCTTAAAACATATTCCAAAACCTGCGTGCTCAGAATTATTCACACTGAAGCATAAATGTATTTAATGACAGTGCATTTATGTATTTGACAGTGATAACTTCCTCAGATATATTTACGGAAACAATGAACCTGAGATCTGGTTTTCAGATCAACACTATCACCAATTTAGCTGTTGATTCTGATAAGTCACTTGAATTTTCAGGTCTCAGTTTTTTTATCTGTAAAATTTGGCAGGGGTGGCTGAGATGACTTTTAAATTCCCTCCTACGTAAAAAACTATGATTTCAAGGTAGTTTTATTCACTTAAGCTTTCTAATTTCTCTTGGTTCCCTGAATCTACATATTCCATCTAAGAAACAGTTAACAACATTTTGCTAAATGCAGGAGATTATTTTAACTTTTTGAATATTTATTCCCCAAAGGTAAAAGAATATAAAGATATAGAAATCGCCTATGTGCCATTTCTTCTTGTGTCTCTATGAAGAATCTCAGACTTAATAATGCCTGCAGCAAAACAAAATAAAAACAAGCAGCAATGACGGAAAAACCCAGAAACAAAAAACAACCTCTGTTCTTTCCTACATCGGCAAATTGCCCCATCTTCTGTCCAGGTACTCAAGTCCTAGAAATCACTCTTGATTTCTCCCTTTCGCACTTTCCCAATCCAATCCATCACTCCAAATACTTTCTAAGTTCCTCCTCCTTCCACACTACCATAACTTAATCCAAGTTACCATTATGTTGTGACTGGACAATCACAAAAGTCTTTCAATTAGTCTCAATGCTTCCCTTCTTAACTCTTAATTTCCATGCTTCTCAACTCCTTTTCCATGCAGCTCCAAGAGTGATGTTTTTAGAATCCAAATCAGATCATGTCACTTCTTGCCTTCAACAACTTCTCACTACTTCAAGATGATTCATGAGGCTTTCTATCATCAACACTTTTGTTTGTTTCTTGAACTTTATCACACAATACTCCCTGTTCACAGTATCTTGCATAACCTGGTTTCCTTTCTGAATTTCTACCAAATCCCTTGCCCTCTCAGGGCTTTACAATTACTACACTTTTTTTTTTTTTTTTTTTTTTTTTTTGAGACAGGGTCTCACTGTTATTTAGGCTGGAGTGCTGTGGTGTGATGGCTCACTGCAGCCTAGAACTCCTGGGCTCAAGTGATCCTCCCACCTCAGCCTCCAGAGTAGCTGGGATTACAGACACGTGCCACCATAATGGCTCATTTTTTATTTTGTAGAGACAGAGTCTTGCTGTGTTGCCCAGGCTGGTCTCAAACTCCTGGCCTCAAGCAGCCCTTGAGCCTTGCCATCCCAAAATTCTGGGATTACAGATGTGAGCCACCACACTTAGCTCAATTACTCTACTTCTATAAGGAATATTCTTCCTCTTCTCTTAGCTGGCTCATTCTCATTTTCCAGACCTCAGCTTAAATAACATCCACAGAGAGAACTTTCTTCACCCTCAAATACACTCCATTATTATACATCACCTTCTTTATTCCCTTGATGTCAGTCATCACAATCTATAAATATCTTTTCTGTAGTATTTACTTGTTTATTATCTACCTCCTCCTGTGAAAGCCTCACAAGGATAGAGACTTCTTGCTCATTCTTTCCCCTATAATCCCCATCACAGGCAGTGTCCCCTAAACATAGTTGGTTCAATCAATATGTGTGGATTTAATTGTAGTATGTATACACCAAAGAATACAAAGACATAGAGTGAGAATTTCCTGGCATTTACTCATTATTTCATATCTTCTCAGTACATACATTTTGTAAGTACAATCATTACTATAAAAATATGTGACCTATATCCTCAAAGGGAGAGAACAATAATTTGTGGTGTTAAAAAGGAAGTTTTCACACTCAAAGAGATTAGAAGTCAGGGATGTAAATCATGAGCAGCAACGTATTTTTCTAAGTCTGAAATACTGGCCATTCTGATCTGCATGATTATGAAGGCTTTTTTTTTCCCATTCCTATTAAATATACTGCTTTTAATTTTGCCAAGTTCTATTTTAATTTCCTGGAGCAGGGAAATGGTAATAGACATACCTACATTGTGTTAGTTGTTGTCTGTTTTCAGACAAGGTCTTGCTCTGTCACCCAGGCTGGAGTGTGGTAGCACAATCATGTCTCCCTGCAGCCTTGAACTCCCAGGCTCGTGTCATCCTACCTCAGCCTCCTGAGTAGCAGGACTACAGAAGTGCTCCATCATGCACAGCTAAATTTATTTTTTGTAGAGATGCGATCTTGCTATGACGCCCAGGCTAATCTTGCACTCCTGGGCTCAAGTGATCCTCTCACCTTAGCCTCTGAAAATGTTAGGATCACAGCTGTGAGCCACCACATGCAGACCCTACATTGTTTTTCAAGATAAAGTTAAAATGTATTTATGAAGTCTACTAGGAAAGAAAATTAAATTCTAATGCTTACATTTCCCCCTATAATTTTGCCAACAGTGAATTTCTATTATGTACCTTAGACATAATCGAATGTTTTCAGCATTCAAATAAAAAAGCTCATGAATATCGTTTCTAAAACTCAAAACGCAATTTATTCACCTTCCAGATTCAGGCAAAATCCCTGAAAGACTAGATATAAAAGCAAAAGCTATAACATATTACATAAGTAAAATCACAAAAATGAGTCATGAAGAAAAAGCCACCATGACTGTTAAGTGCACACATATCAAAAGAGAAGCATGCAATTTGCAATTTTGTGACATTATATTCAGGTTTAAAAATCTGCATTTAGGTGGGAAAATTTCAAGGTGTATATACATTTACACTTGTAATGCCAGATCAGGAAAAGTAAATGAATTAAATCTTTCATTTCCCAAAGCACTAGTACCAAGGGCACAGCATAAAATGAGGTTATGGCCCAGCATTTGATGGACACAGTTTTTGGTGTGCCTGCTGATACTAGTATTAATTTCTGTTGTCCAACAGATTTCTCACATTAGTTAAAATTGTTCAATAATTCTACTTTTTCAAAAACCCTTTATCTAATAAAGGCTCCATAAATGGCAATACATTTCCTAAAGAAATTACTAAAGCTTTCTTTACTCCCTATATTTTTATATTTCTGTATCATTTTATTAGCAAAAGACTGAATATCTTTATACACAAATTATAAAGTCATTTAACTCAATTATTTCCATAAAAGTTACTTTTACATAGCATTTAGATAATAATGTATGTAATTTATTGTTCCAATTTATTACTCCAATTGTTCAAGATCAAAACGTTTTATAAATATTTTAAATATAAAAGGTGTTTTTGTACCAAACTATTTCATACTTAAATTATGCTAGACTATATATATATGTATATATATATGTGTGTGTGTGAGAGCAAATGCATATATAGTTATTTAGAATTTAATCTGAACTGATGACAGCATAGTTTCTCAACGGGTAAAAACATTTTACTCAGCAGGAAAAATGTAAATTATTCACTCTTTTTTTTTTTTTTTTTGAGACAGAGTCTCACTCCGTCACCTAGGCTGGAGTACAGTGCTGTGATCTTAAATCACTGCCTCCTGGGTTCAAGCAATTCTCATGCCCCAGCCTCCCAAAGCTGGAATTACAGGTATATGCCACCATGCCTGGCTAGTTTTGTTTTGTTTTGTTTTCTTTTTAAAAAGTAGAGATGGGGTTTCACCATGTTGACCAGACTGCTCTTGAACTCCTGACCTCAAGTGATCCACCTGCCTCGCCCTCCCAAAATGATGGGATTACAAGCGTGAGCCACTATGCCTGGCCCTGAATTATTCACTTTTACGTAGCATTTATTTTTCATATTTCCTCACCGCCAAGGAAAATGCACCCTACTTGTAGCAAGGAAAAGGCTGATTAAAAGTTGAGAAAGTTCTCAGTACTTCAACTTGGTTACAAATAAGAAAATTTTAAAAATGTAAACAAAACCCTATTAAAAAGAGCAGAGGATAATATGTGTTGACAGGGTTTCAATAAGCAGACTGGAAATCTTATGTTTCACATATCTAAACTTTGACTTTAACAGGTGAAATGAGAGTGGTAAAGGTAAGGGGAAAAAACAGATTTAGACAAAAAATGTTTTTAAACCCCCAAGTAGGCCTCTATAATTAGACTTTTCCCACCCTACCTAAGTCCTCTTAATGAGGAAAGGAAAGTTCTAAAGCCATTCAGACTTCTGACTCAGAGAATGGGGGTGGGGTTGGGGGGGAAGGCAACCATATATGACTTCTTATTGAACCCAAGAAAAATCATCTAATATTTTTGCCACGTGCAATACTCTCTCACAGGTTGCCTCTACTTTCGTATCTATAAAATTAAGAACAATTACTCGAAATTACTATTTCATGTCTTCCCTAAGACATTAGCTTTTTATAACATAGTATTTGGAAAGTAATCAAGCATGGGGAAAAAAGCAGTAATATGTGTTCTTTGTCCTACAATTTTAAGGTAAACTTTATAGAATCTTGGATTTCCAAACACCATTTAATAAAAGAGGGATTTAAATTTAATACCAAGTACAAAAATGGAAAGATCATAGTTTCTCAAAGTGTAAACTATCTGAAGAGATAGAGTACTTTACATTGCTTAAATAAACCTGGTGCAGTGCTACGCAAAAACCAGCCAAACTGATAATAAACTATCTGAGTACTGTCTCTCACTTTACAATATAATTTCGTTCTCTCTGCCGCAGTCACTATTTACCACACCACACCCGGCCTCCTGTAATGGCTTCCTGATATCTCTGCCTCACATCTCTGTCCATTCCAATTAGACTATATGATGCTACAAAACTGAAAATATCAATTTCTTCAAGTTACTTTCAGAGGCTCCTTCCTGTCCACATATCAAAGTCAAAATAATTCCTTAGCCTATAGACATTTTAAGCACACTATACATTAATGGATGCACAATCAAGATCTCTACCATAGCATACCTATATTACTATTTGGCTATTTTAAAAAATCGTATCTTCATGATTTACATGTCCTACAGCCCCAATTTTGAACTTTCCCCCAAAACCACAAACTTCCTACCATCATTTTGGTGTTGACTTTTATTAACAGATGAGCCTGACATCTACCTTACTGGGAAGACAGAACTATACCCAGAAATACACTTTTGAGTGCCCTCTTTACTACTTAAAGGTTTTTTTATACTTTCATTTATCTTCTGTCTTTTATTCTCTATGGCAGAAATGTCCTTTCTCATTTTAATATCAACCTGTTTACTTGAGTTCATAATTTCACTTTTTTTGGTCTATAATATTTCCCTATCAGTTATTCCCTTTCTAGGAAATTTACTCTGCTTTTGTCCCTAGGTCCTAACCCAACAAATACGAATTCCCACTCCGTAAATCTTATTTTAGGGCTGTTAGGTTTTTGTTGATTTTTTTCCATAAAAGTCCAATTTGGAGGGAGAAAAAATTACAGGCATTTTTGTCTTTCACATTAATTGCACAAACTCATTAAAATTACTGCTGTGAGCTATGCTGTAAAATTTTATGTGTATGCCTGCTGCCCCCACCTCCCACCTCAGGTACTGCTGAAACAACAAGGTCATTTCCCATAGGGAAGAGAATATATATGCTTTCTGGATAGGTGAGGTTTTAAAACTTTTTATTTAGAAGTAATTAGAGGCTCACAAGAAGTTATTTAAAAAAAAAAAGCACAGAAAGGTCTCATGTACCCTTTATCCAGCCTCCTCCAATGGTAACATTGCATAACTCTACTACACAATAGCATAACCAGGACACTGACATTGGTACAATGTCAGACCTTATTCATATTTCATCAGTTTTTACATGCATTAGTGTATGTGTATGGGCATGTATGGTTCTAAGCAATTCTAACATATGTACAGATTTGTGTACCACAACTAAAGTGGTATTTTAAAATACTCACTTTCATGCTAGTCAGGTTTCCATCAAACTGATAATGGGCTCAAAAATCAGAGATAAACATGGTTTTTGGTCTCAAGAAATAGAACTTGGATATATCACACAACACAGAGAAAAGGATAAAGTACAATGAATGGAAACCAGAATTGTATTCTGGTTTTAAACTAAACTAGGAAATATATTCAAGTCAAAACTTTTTCAAATTTTTAAACTGAATCCTTTAAGCAAGTTTAACCACCAAAAAACAACACACTCGGGATATACTACCCAAATAAAACTACCTTCTGTAAAGTCCTCAGTATTATTTCCCAGATTCTGTTGAAGATTAGTACAAGAAACAATCACATGGAAAACATCTGGGCAACTTTTGTAGAACCGTCACTAGGTACACTATAATGCCAGTAAATATCCTTACATATTGTAACTAGGTATGTGCACAGAATCATCTAGGGAATTAATGACATCCTGATAAGTCCCTCCTACTATTTTGTCTCAAAAGTTGTTTGATTAAAGAACTAAAATATTCCTTTTTATCATAAAATAAAAATTACAAGGCATATCAAGTTGTTTTTTCACATAGGCTGCCAAGAAGCTCAAGTGAAATCAGTGCTTATACACAGTTAAGCACATTATCCCTGCTTCCCACCAGATTTATCTTTGCCTCTCTTTATATGGCTTCTGGCTTTTATATCTTTATGGAAATACCTTTTGTATGTTATTGTATGTATTACACTGAGTCACACACACTTTTTATATAAACATACTTAATCCACACAAGCTTACTTTACCAAGGAGGAAATTAAAATCAGAAAAATTAAATGACAACTTAGTGAATGGTGGAGCTGGAAATCACATTCATTTGCAATACCAACTTTCTAGGGGTTATATTAAAATTTTATACATTTATAATTATATTAATTTGTAAACAAATTCTTTTCTAAGCAATGCACTATTTGGTTAATTTCTTAAAAAACAGCTACAGTTAATATTCTTATTAATTTTCATTCTGATAAAAAAACATATTTAGTGTGTGCTCTGTAATTGTCCTCAGGTTGTGTTCCTTTGTTCATTTTATTTTCTCTACCATTTAAAAAGCTCTTTAATGGCATATGCTTGTGTTTAGAGCTTATGATAGTGTTACAAAACAACATCTACTTCAATCTATATTTAGAATGTCTTTATAGTGGAATGCTTTCATGTGATAATAGTCATAACTACTATCTCTAAAAGTAGCAGTAACATATTGTTGTTTATTCTTATACACATGATGTACTTTAATAATAAACTCATAAAATACAACAGATTGATGAAAACTGAAGAATCTTATTTTTACGCTACTTACTGACTGATAATTCTATTTTATTCTAAAACTGAATAACACAGAAAATAGGGTAAATACAAAGACTTGCATGAGACTTTAATAACATACCTAATATAACTCATCAAATAACCTAATTGGTATCACTGAAATAAACATTTATTTTAAATGCTGGATATAAATAGTTCCCTTTTGAATATAACTGTTGCAAATATATTTTGATTACTTTGGCAATTTCAAAGTATGTCTGTATCATATTAATATATACTTTTCTGACCAACTTACATGATAAAATATTGTACAATTATTGGTAACTATTTTTCAGTATTTGCAGTAAGAACTATAATTCCTTCTACACTATTTTTATATAAAGAATTTTTACATAAAAATAAAGACTTTATATTAAAATAGTGTAGCACAAGAATCGCCAATATACAAACGGATACATGCATATGTTTCAGCATCCTTCCCATTTATACTTGATGTCAATGAATAAACAATATTTCACTTCATAAACACTGGCTTTGGCAAGACTGATTACTACCTCATTTTAATATTTACTCATCAGCAAGGAAGAATACAACTTTTTATCTTATGTATGATAGCATATCATATAAGCTTAAGTGTACATATCTTTCCAATAATAGTACCAGTTATATAATAAGCATACATTTTATTTCTATAAAGAGGTATATTTGTTTAATTTTAAAACATTTTTATTTGATTTGTACATTATTCTTCCTCGGTGTATAAAAAGGCACAAATATTTAATTTCACGTAATCATTTTCTTCTAGCCTCTACTAATATCTTTTAACCAGTAGATCAAGTAACAATTATTTTCTGACCTCAGGCAGTAATATCCACAAAACAGAACACTAGTCTCAAATCACCAATTTATCCCCAGGAATTATAAATACAGGATGGGAATTTAACATAAAGCTTTTTAAAACTATAAGGCCATTTAAGTATATCAGCAATTTAAAATGTGTACAGTTATATAAACAAATCAATAAAATGAGGAATGCCACAAAGACAGCTATATAAGAACATAATCCTCTTTTTTATAAAACCTTTGAAAAGGAAGTGTAAATAGGCCAAAGGCATGCATTTCTGAAATATAATACTACTGCGCTTTAAAACCACATTCCCTGGTGTATCCCATCAATCGCACATATTTTGATTATTTCTTTCCAAATTGAAATACAACTTTCCTTTCTTCTCTGATCTGAAAGATGTCAAATTTCTCATAAAAAGAGTTATTTTGGCAAAGTTAAAGGGCAGAAGCATTTTAAAATATTGCTTATATCAGAAGTCTGTTCGGATACTTCGAAAGAGAAATACATAAATGAAGTGCCTTGCAGCTCTCTGGAAGAAAAGAGACCAAGCATTTTAAATGAAAAACGTTCCCAGCCAGTGAGTGATTCTTTCATCTCTATATGCAAGAAGGAGACTGGGATTCAAAAAGTTCATCAGCAACAAAGCTTTACTCCGTCCCATTTAGCGGTATGCCAGTCTGTTACCTCATGTCAGGATTATATAAGGCCGTTTTCTTCCATTAGGAAAAGTTCCTAAAATGGGCACTGTCAAGGCTGGTAAAACTGAAATCTGACCTAGTTTTTCTCCAAAGATTTCCACGGATTTTATGGTAATTCTTTCTACAGTTGGAGCTCACCTCCTTTCAAATACACTATGCTAACTGAAATATGCTAGCAAATGCTTTACTTTTCATGTGTCAAAGTAAAAATCTATAGAACATGTATGAATTTCTCAAATTTTTATCTCCAATAGTGAATTCTACACTTGATCTTAGCCAACAGGCCGAGAAGTGATCCAATAGTGAAGTCTTTATACTACTTTCTATTTACATCAACTTTACTATCTACTGTAAGCCTACTATCATCCTGAATAAACCTATGTTAAAAAAATTATTCATTTGGAGTACATTAATAAAATGGAAATCAACTGATTAGCCCCATAGGTAAGTTAGATAAAACACAAATATATGAACTCTTTAGAACATACTTTATTTGAAAGAAGAAGATTCTTTGTATTGATCACAAGGCTATCATGTAGTTTTCTATACTCCTTTTAAAAATGAAGCATTACATTCCCGAGAGTGAAGAAGGTTGATGAATTAAAATAGAAGCCACTAAAAACTTGTTTAAAAAGGAAAAATTTCCAGTTGTCAGAAAATAAAATGAGAAATGCATTTCAAGTAAATTCCCAAATCAACCACACAACATCACATTTACAAGGCTTTTATATTATTCTTGTAATTCAAGTATAAACACTGTAATTGTCCTGCAATCATTCTAGAAAAATCACAAAGAAGTTGACAGAATTTAATTTTGAATAAAAGGGTAAGAAAGCATGCAGTCTATGGAAATTATATGCATATGAAAGCATGGCACAATAAATACATTTTCATCACATGATTTATATTAAGTAATGAATCACTTCTTACATTTATTCACTTTTAAGACTTCAAACTTCATTTTCCTGAACTAAAGTTTAAAAGTATAAAAATATGGGCTGTATTTACTATGCTTAATCATTTAGCTATGACTTCCATTGAACTAAATGAGGATAAGTTGGTTATAAATATTCATAATAAAATGAAAAAAATTAACTTCATAACTTAAAGGATATCCATAGAACTTTATATTGTATATCCCATAAGATAAATAGATATGATAAATACTATAATAATGGACTTCAGTTTCATCAAAAGAATAATCTTGTTAACTAGACATTTATTACCCTAACTTCAAGGTTCTTTAGAATACACAGGAAATAAAATTACTCTATGCCCATAAAAACCAAGGCAATATGAGACAAAATATCACTGTGTGTATTTCTATTTTATTAATAGGAAAAACTCCAGGACAAAAGTTCTCAAAACAGGTAATATTCTCTATGTTCAAACAATGTATAATTCAAGAACAACTAAAATGAACAAGGTTTAAAGAATACTTTTGGGCTGGGCGCGGTGGCTCACGCCTGTAATCCCAGCACTTTGGGAGGCCGAGGCGGGTGGATCATGAGGTCAGGAGATCGAGACCATCCTGGCTAACAAGGTGAAACCCCGTCTCTACTAAAAATACAAAAAATTAGCCGGGCGCGGTGGCGGGCGCCTGTAGTCCCAGCTACTCGGGAGGCTGAGGCAGGAGAATGGCGTGAACCCGGGAAGCGGAGCTTGCAGTGAGCCGAGATTGCGCCACTGCAGTCCGCAGTCCGGCCTGGGCGACAGAGCGAGACTCCGTCTCAAAAAAAAAAAAAAAAAAGAATACTTTTGGTACCCTTAAATTCCAGTAACAAACACAGAAAAGTAAGAATAAAAACAGTAATAATCAGTACTCTCCAAGTACATGCCACTAATCTTTTGACTATTACTCAGCTGAGGTCTAATATATGTTGCTAAAATTAATCATATAAATATATAATAAATGATTCAGTCTTGAAAGTTGATATTATAAACTATGGTGCTTAATAAAAATCCTAAATATGAAAACACAAAATTATAAACATAAAGCAACAGAATTTTGTAAATAAAGCTAATACCCTATGATAAAAAGAACTGGATTGAAGGAGCAGATAAGCAGATTTACAGGCTATACTGGGGACTGAAAACTGAAGTTAAAATTCATATTAAGACATCTATGTCCTCAGATTCATTACTGACATTTCAATACTTATGGCTATTGTAGCTCCTATTTCAGAAAAAGTAAGAAAAGGAGAATAAATGAGGCTAGCTTTACGACTACTGCTATATATGAGTTATAACTATAGTTTCAATCTTTTTTCCTACTTCTTTATCATAAATGAATATATTTATGTCCTTTCTTTCTGGCTTATATGCATAAATCACTTTTTGAAGGACTGCCTATTATAAAAGGGCCATATCTTTTGTGTTATAACAAAATATAACTCATCCGAGTTAAACACTCAATGGGGAAAATAAGCACTAAAAGTTATCCTAGTTATAGAAATAAAACTAAATTCCTAGGAGGCATTACAGGTGAATGATAAAATACGTGTTTTGGCTCAGCAAATAAAACTCTAAGGAAAATCAGAATAAGCCTAGTTAAGCTAAATATACTTAAAATTCTTTTCTGTATTTTGTTTATATGTAGAAAGGGGAAGTAGAAATTGTTAACGCTGTTACAATATACCCATACCCCAGTTCTTGCTTTCTTTTTGCCTAGTAGAACAGTATATTATAGAATGTGGTGAGGATGACAATGATATAATGACAAACAGGAATGGAGTCAATGCAAATGTAATGGGCCAATCTAGCTTTTGAGAAGAGAATGGTTTTTATGATTGGTTTTACCGAACTGCAAATAATTAAAAATGTATTTGGACAGACGCAGAAACTTTAAAAAACTGTGTCCATAAGCATTCCCATTCAGAGATAATATTTCAATGAAACCTAATTGAGAAGATGCACATATGTATTTTTTCTAAACTTACAGCCCCAATTTCTTAGAAACTGACTTAATTTCCTCTGAAAATATCATTTGTGATAACAGAGGAAAACATTTCATTTCCTATGATTTCTTTGATAAGAATACAACGACCTGAATCTCCATAAATTCTGCTAAATAAGCAGTGCTGAATCATGCCGGCCCATGTTAGTGTTTTAGCCTAGAAAAGTCACTGCTAACACAAAAGCAGATTAGTCTGAATATCATAATTCTTAAAAATGTATGTGTATTATTGAGATGTCAACACTTACGGCTATCGTAACATATGTTTCCTAGAGCCCTGCCCGTTTGAAGCAGCACTTCCTGGTCTTTGCTATTTAGCAGCTGCACCAGTGGTGAAATCAATCCAGCATCCACACATGGAATTCGCATAAACTCTGAAAATAAGAGACATGTTTAATTAAAAATCTAACGATTCACAATTTACATAAATCATCTCCCCTAATAAAATAAATACCTACTTTTAATATGTGGTATTTAAAAGCCACCTTGAAAAGGTGGCTGAATATTTGAAGAGTACATTTCTGTACAAAAGTACCCTGTTACAGCCCTACTAAAAGCTTCATAAAATACACAAAACTGAGTGGGGTCATATTTTTGTTTGCTGACAGTCTCTACCATAAACCAAAGGGATTTTAATTAACTTACATCACAACTAATTTATCACTATCTTCTCGTAATAACGATATGCTTTGGAAGCAATATGTGTGATGATGGAAACAATGGCGATGTATTTCTATAAGCCTGATAATTAAAGTACTACAGTTATAAACTAAGCCATCATATTGCCTAATTTTTCACTTTGTTTTCTAAAAAAGCCTATAAATATAAATATATATATAAATATAAGTATATACATATGTATAAAGGTTTCAGTGAACCATTAAAAAATAATATGTCCTTTTTGATTGGTAAGATGTGGTGGAATCATCCTCTTCTTATCTTCACTCCTGTCCTTTATTAAAATCCATTTTATGGCTCACTCATATCTGCTGCTATACCCATACATTTACAGGTCTAAAGAGTCAAATCTTAAGATTTCTTAAATTTCAAACCCATTTTTTCCTTATTTTTATGGTATGCCATTCTTTATGTATTAACTCACCATGATACCACCACAGTCATGATTGGACATAAACTTTTTTTTTTTTTCAGTGTCTCATGATGGACCACTACAAAACATAAGGAAGTATGTAACTGATGAAATTTCTCCAATAACCAATAACTGAATTACCTTTTTGGACATCACAACTCACCATAAGGATGTTCTGGTCAATAAAGTTAGTTAACAAAGAACTAATTTATCCATCTATAACCTGTCCTACTAAAAAAATCACTATCTTTTCACTCTATCAAGATGGTCTACCCCTTGGTTTGTTCCACAGGTACCCTCATGAGCAATCCTCCCTCTCTTTCCCTTCATTTTCAAATTCTTAGAGCATACCATATAGGTTATTCTGTCAGCTGTCACCTCTGAGACAACTTCTTTTCCTCCTAAGATAGCTGTAAATCACAGAGGTATTCCTCTGTCCCGAAATAAATGAATTAATTCCTATCATCTCTTTCTTACTTATTACTCTACCACTAAAAATCCCCTGTAATGTAAACTTCTAAGACTCAGATTATTTCCTATCTCAACAACTAACCTTTGAGCTTATCATTGACGTTATCAAACTCAGTAGTACTAAGTATCCTACTACTCATGTTAAGAAAATGAATTATGCTGTACATGTTCATGAATTCAATGACCATCTATAGGAGATGACACATCAATCTGCTTATCTACCTCTTTAGTTAATGGTTACTTTAGACCCTTCATAGATTTCAAATCTTTTTCTTCTTGAGACAAGGTGTCACCCTATCACCCAGACTGGAATGTAATGGCATGATAATGGCTCACTGTAGCCTCGAACTCCTGAGCTTAAGGGATCCTCCCTGACCTCAGCCTCCTGCATAGCTGGAGCTACAGGTGTGTACCACCAGGCCTAGATAATTTTATTTATGTATTTATTTTTGAGACGGAGCCTTGCTTTGTCACCCAGGCTGGAGTGCAATGGCACAGTCTCGGCTCACTGCAACCTCTGCCCCCTGGGTTCAAATGATTCTTCTGCCTCAGCCTCCCGAGTAGCTGGGACTACAGGCAAGTGCCACCACAGCCAGCTAATTTTTGTATTTTTAGTAGAGATGGGGATTCACTATGTTGGCCACGCTGGTCTTGAACTCCTGACCTCGTGATCCACCTGCCTTGGCCTCCCAAAGTGCTGAGATTACAGCCGTGAGCCACCACGCCCGGCCAATTTTTTATTTTTTTATAGACAGAGTTTCACTATGCTGCCCTGGCTGGTGTCGAACTTCTAGGCTCAAGTGATCCTCCCATTGTGGCCTCCCAAAATGCTAGGATTATAGGTGAGAACCACCAGGCCTGGACTAGATTTCAAATCTTAAATTAACATGCTACTAACTCATATTAAACACAGATGTTCATTATCCTTTTCACTGAACTATGCCTGGTTCCCAACAGTAAGATGATTTCATTGACTACTAAAACAAGAAATTTAGGAACGGTCTGATTTGTACTCATTCATAAATAAAACTTGTTTATCTTATTATTTTGCTTGTTTTGTTATTGCTATTCAGGCAATGGCAACATTGAAGAATTACTGTGTTTCTTTTATGTTTTGCCTATATGATACCAATCTTTCAAAATTTGGACTCTACAATCAATAGCTTCAAGTATTCTTGGAATAATAGAGGGTAAATAATTACAGAAAAATTGTGGAATCAAAACTCTTTGGAACCATTTTTTACTCAAAAACATATAAAGATAAAACAAAGCTAATATATTCCTCAGCTTTCAGTCACTGTCAGTCTCTGGATAAAGTAAAAAAGAATTTCTTCTAAAACTCATTTGCTTTTCAGCTAATTTACTTTTTTAAACAAAGAGTGGTAGTCCTCGCTAGCTAATTTTAAAGACATAAAGTTATCATGCTTCAGGCAGATATATTAAAAAAAAAAACAGGGATGTTTAAGAATCTGTTTAAAATGTGCAAAAATCATAAGCATTCTTATACACCAATAACAGACAAACAGAGAGCCAAATCATGAGTGAACTCCCATTCACAATTGCTTCAAAGAGAATAAAATACCTAGGAATCCAACTTACAAGGGATGTGAATGACCTCTTCAAGGAGAATTACAAACCACTGCTCAACGAAATAAAAGAGGACACAAACAAATGGAAGAACATTCTATGCTCGTGGATAGGACGAATCAGTATCGTGAAAATGGCCATACTGCCCAAAGTAATTTATAGATTCAATGCCATCCCCATCAAGCTACCAATGACTTCCTTCACAGAATTGGAAAAAACTACCTTAAAGTTCATATGGAACCAAAAAAGAGCCCACATTGCCAAGTCAATCCTAAGCCAAAAGAACAAAGCTGGAGGCATCACACTACCTGACTTCAAACTATACTACAAGGCTACAGTAACCAAAACAGCATGGTACTGGTACCAAAACAGAGAGCTAGACCAATGGAACAGAACAGAGGCCTCAGAAATAATACCACACATTTACAACCATCTGATCTTTGACAAACCTGACAAAAACAAGAAATAGGAAAGGATTCCCTATTTAACAAATGGTGCTGGGAAAACTGGTTAGCCATATGTAGAAAGCTGAAACTGGATCCCTTCCTTACACCTTATACAAAAATTCATTCAAGATGGATTAAAGACTTAAATGTTAGACCTAAAACCATAAAAACCCTAGAAGAAAACCTAGGCAATACCATTCAGGACATAGGCATGGGCAAGGACTTCATGTCTAAAACACCAAAAGCAATGGTAACAAAAACCAAAATTGACAAATGGGATCTAATTAAACTAAAGAGCTTCTGCATTGCAAAAGAAACTACCATCAGAGTGAACAGGCAACGTACAGAATGGGAGAAAATTTCTGCAATCTACTCATCTGACAAACGGCTAATATCCAGAATCCACAAAGAACTCAAACAAATTTACAAGAAAAAAACAAACAACCCCATCAAAAACTGAGCGAAGGATATGAACAGACACTTCTCCAAAGAAAACATTTATGCAGCCAACAGACACATGAAAAAATGCTCATCATCACTGGCCATCAGATAAATGCAAATCAAAACCACAATGAGATACAATCTCACACCAGTTAGAACAGTGATCATTAAAAAGTCAGGAAACAACAGGTGCTGGATTGGCTGTGGAGAAATAGGAACACTTTTACACTGTTGGTGGGACTGTAAACTGGTTCAACCATTGTGGAAGACAGTGTGGCGATTCCTCAAGGATCTAGAACTAGAAATACCATTTGACCCAGCAATCCCATTACTGGGTATATACCCAAAGGATTATAAATCATGCTGCTATAAAGACACATGCACACGTATGTTTACTGTGGCACTATTCATAATAGCAAAAACTTGGAACCAACCCAAATGCCCATCAATGATAGACTGGATTAAGAAAATGTGGCACATATACACCATGGAATATTATGCAGCCATAAAAAACGAATGAGTTCATGTCCTTTGTAGGGACATGGATGAAGGTGGAAACCATCATTCTCAGCAAACTATCACAGGGACAAAAAAACAAACACCACATGTTCTCACTCACAGGTGGGAATTGAATAATGAGAACACTAGGACATAGGAAGGGGAACATCACACACCGGGGCCTGTTGTGGGGTGGGGGTACGGGGGAGGGATAGCATTAGGAGATATACCTAATGTAAATGACGAGTTAATGGGTGCAGCACACCAACATGGCACATGTGTACATATGTAACAAACCTGCACGTTGTGCACATGTACCCTAGAACTTAAAGAATAATAATAATAAAAAAGAATATGTTTAAAATGTTATACATATTATGTTGGAGAGGCTTCAGAATGGCTGACAGTCGTCCTTCTTCAAAGGGGTTCCTACTACCTATACCTCTACATTCACACCTGCTATCTTTCACAGCTGGCTGGATTCTGACTCAATAGCCTAAAAGATGGTCTACTTTGAAGGATTTCCTAAAAAGAACAATGGCGATGAACTTAAAAAGAAACAGGCAAAAAATCAGATTCTCTCTCTAGGCAATTTGAACTCGGAGAACTGAAAATTTTGGTTCGGGGAAAGGGGCAGTACTGCAAGGGAAAGAGGCTGAAACCAAGATACATGCAGAATGACAGTGAATAGAAATCAACGTTAGTGGATGCCATTATGCTGTAGAAAGCAGGAGCCATTAAGTGTTTCTGTATATGTGTATTTGCCTACACAACATAGAATTCACTTTTTTTTCTTTGCAAAACATGTATAGGTTAATGTAGAAATTCAATACAGAGGTTTAAGGAATAGGTACTGCTCTATTTCAATATCAATAAAAATAAAAAGTTGATTTCCACCTAAGACTAATGTTTTTCCCTTTGACTGTAGTAATACATTCATTAAATAATTGTCGATTATTTTTTATTCTTTTGTAAATTTAGAGTGTTAACGCTTTACTTTCTTTCTTTTACTTTCTCAAACCTACTTGAATTACATATTCTTTCAGCAGCATCATAAAGTACAGGCTGTGATGAAAATTATTTTCTTTTTATATACACCAAGATTTATATCCCCCTCACATATCCTCAAATATTAAAAAACCTAACATCTACTTTCTCCACTTTTACCTACCTGAAGAAACTATTTTATTAAAACTCTCTTTTAAACCAAAATTTTCAAGCCAAATAAAAACACTGAGTAGTAGAGTCCACCTCAGTGTTTATTAGACTAAATCATAACATATTCATGTTTGAATTTTCTCTAATAACTTCCCTGTATTAACTCTTAGCTTTTTATATTTTTCTTTTGAAAAACAAGGAAAACTATGAGGCATGAATATAAAAGAATGAGTGACTTTTATATGTGGGTTGTCAAACTGACATTTATATTTTTCACTCACTCTTTGTACTGCCCTTGTTTTTAAAGAAAGTACTGGCCGGGCGCAGTGGCTCACGCCTGTAATCCCAGCACTTTGGGAGACCAAGGTGGGCAGATCACGAGGTCAGGAGTTCGAGACCAGCCTGGCTAACATGGTGAAACCCCGTCTCTACTAAAGATACAAAAAATTAGCCGGGTGTGGTGGTACGTGCCTGTAATTCCACCTACTCAGGGGGCTGAGGCAGGAGAATTGCTTGAACCCGGGAGGTGGAGCTTGCAGTGAGCTGAGATCGCACCATTGCACTCCAGCCTGGGCGACTCCCTCTCAAAAAAAAAAAAAATAAATAATCATTCTTACAAAATGACGGAGGTTAAGCTTCCAACACTGAGGTCTCGAGGTATACTTTAAGCTACCTGACAATATAGTGCATTTTTCTGGAGTCTCAACTTTATTCAATGATTTTTCTAGGGCACACATGCATTTTATACTAAAATAAACATGTACTACATGTACCTGTTATGGAATAGAGGGCAAAATTAAAATAAATAAAACAGAACAGGAGACTTCTGTATTTCTGGTTAATGCTCTCACCAGGTCCTCTTGGGTGTACATTTTCACTCTTTTGTTGTTAAGAGCACTCAGGCGGAAGTTTTGATAAACACTTTGCAATATGATAAAGTACACAGAAGAACAAAAAAAGCATAATGTTAATCAAAAGTACTGATTCTGTACTGCTTTATACTGAAACGTGGTTCTCAAGCTTTATACTCATCAGCATTACCTAGAGGACTTGTTAAAACAGATGGTTGGGCCCACTCTTGAGTCCCTGATTCAGTAAGTCTGGGTGAGTGGATCCAAGAATTTGCATGTAACAAGTTCCCGGGTGAGTCTGTTGCTGCTACAGGTCAAAGGCAGGGAACTACTTTAGAGGAACAGACATAAAGCAGTTCAACTTTTGCTGGTTTTTATACATTTTCACATCAGTTACCAGCCCAATCTTTCAGGTTACATGCTGCTACCGCTGTACTCAGACCACCTCTACACATTCCACTGCCATCATAAATTCTCATTTACTGAAAAGAAATGAAAGGAGAGAAACAAACTAGTGCATAAAATCCAACTATCATCACTTAAGTGTGATGACAGGTAAGATATTTAGCCTCTATGTTTTCTTATCTGTATAAAATAACTCTATCTCATATGGGATTGAAATAATGTACACAACACTTAAATTATGTTAGCACAAAATCATAGCTGGCATTAAGAAGTATTACTATTATTATTAAATACTTTGAGAGCCCAATTCTGAAATATTCACAGATATGTCATATCTTATTTGTCCTTTGCCTCATATCAGTCTTAAGTCTATTATATAAGGGAATAATACATTTAAAAGGTCTAAAAAATCTTTTACTATAATTTATGGTCAAAGCTACCCTCCCACATTAAACTCGCCCACGGAACTTCTTACAAATCCTCTAAATTTTGAATGTCAGCACAAAGGTGTGTTAATTTTTAAAGATTCTTTTTGTGCGTACAAAAACCTATTTGGGGTTTATTTGAATGGAAGAAGTATATGCTAATATTTCTCCTCTGTGCACAGCAGAGTAAAGATGAACAAATTAACTTCCAACCTCATATTCTCTGGTTCATACAATCTTTTTCATCGTCAATTTCTAAAAAGAAATATATGCCCAATCAGTGTACTATGTTGTGTCAGGTTGCATTTCTGAAGTTACGTATTTCTTTTGAAAAGAACACTCAAAGGCCAGAATCAGTGGCTCATGCCTGTAATCCCAGCCCTTTGTGAGGCCAAGGCGGGAGGATCCCTTGAATCCAGGAGTTCGAGACAAGCCTGGGCAACATAGGGAGACCTTGTCTTTACAAAAAATAATAATAATTTAAAAATTAGCCAGGCATGGTGGCACATGCCTATGGTCCAGCTACTCAGGAGGCTGAGATAGGAGGATTGCTTGACCCTGGGAGGTCAAGGCTGCAGTGAACCGTGATCCTGCCACTACACTTCAGCCTGGGCGACACAGTAAGACCCTGTCTCAAAAACAAACAAACAAACAAAAACACTCAACAAGACTCTGGTCCACTTTCTCAGCCAATCACTTAAAAAAGTAATGTGGTCATGGAGTAATAAACACCATACCAATGTATCCTATTTATTTTAACCAGTGGAGGTTAGTGATATGCCCTTTATCAGCCTCTGATTAAAAGTATAAACATTAAAAATTCTATTATGTCTTTCGAACATAGCTGTCATCTACTAGAGTATTACTGTAAGAAACTCTTCAAAGCAGAGTTGTCATGAAATTGTGACAGAGCATTATGAGGAATATTATTAAGTAAGAGAATATAGGAATGGCAATCCATTTCACAAAAATCTGTTATCCAAAATTTCAGATTTTATACTATAAGAATGCTTAAGAAAAAAGATTTTAAGATAAAAATTGTGGAGTCTCTACCTTGATTTCTGGAAATCTATACTATGACTCTAACAAAGTTAAAAATAAAAGACTTGTTCTTAAAAACCAAGATGCTGGGTATCTAAGAAAATTCAGATAGGGGTTGGTCCAGGTTAACAAGCAATGTCTGGAAAGAATTCATTTTCAAACTAGATCTGCTTCTTAGATGTGACATATAAGAGTGATAAGTGGCCAATTTTCTAACAACCACCAAAAAATCATATACCAATATAGAATCTAACTGGAACTTGAAATGCATTTTGAGAACCTCTACACAAATGACACAGCTTCAAACAATTTTCTTTTTGGCAACACATCTAAAAATACATTGTTTTACCAGCCCAAACCAACATATACTGGTACTTTACAAAGCCACCTGCCATGATGATTACGCAAATTCCTTCACTTTAAAGAATAATATATGAAACATACTACAATAAAAGGCTAAAAAATAATGTAAAACTGACAAACTGAGGCAAACTAAAGGTATTATATATAGTACGGCCTTCTTATATGCTTAAACATTGCTTTAGGAATTCAGTGTTTTTCTCAAACGGACTGAATTAAAACCACATGCAAATATTTATGCTATGATATAATTCATCCAAAGAATCTCTCAGTGTATAAATAGTACACAATCTAAACTTTGTTGTCATTATTGTTTTTCCAGAGTATTCTTACATGGAAACTTAAGAAATATATGGTGAGTGTAGAAAATAGAACGTATATTCCAACTATACTGTTGAAGTGCCAATGTCGGAACAATAGGCCAAACTAAAAAAGAACAGTGAGTTTATGTGGGTATAACACAAACAAACATAAATATTTAAAAATATATTATCTCTTATGGCAATAAAGATGAATGACTCAGTGGCAAGTTCAAGAATCTTATACCCAAAGTAATAAATAACACAGGTATAGCTGAGGGCAGCAGAGCTTTCCCATAATTCTACTGAGAAGGAATGGGTTATCAGATGGGACAGGTATGAATGACTGTAACTATAGCCATTTAAAACAATTACATGAAGAGTCAAACAAAAGATAAATAGAAATAAAAAATGTCTAATCTACAAAATTAAAACATAAATTAATAAAGCATACTGACAAGTAAGATGTAAAACTGAAGACGTTCCCAGCAGAAAAGTTCTTGAGGTAAACCTCACCATTTTTGGCTACTTCTGCTATGATGTTAGCTACTTTGGCTTTGCAGGAAGACTGTGGAGTCAACAGACTTGCAAACAGCTGAAGTATTCCACTTGCTTGGATTTTTTCACTTGTTTCCGTATCTAAAAGAGATACATACAAAGAGCTTCAGTGAAAATCTTTAATGCTAACACTGACAACCATTATCTACAATAAATTCTTCAAGAATTTTTCCCACCCATAATAGAAATTAGTTTCGGTATACATTCAAATATATGTCTTTATACAAAATTACCTTCTGCTCCACAAGCTGCTTTTATTTTGAGTTTTAATCGGCACAAAACACTTGATAATATAATATTTTGTTTATTTACAGTCAGACTATAAAGAAGTTCTTTCTGAATATATCATTTGCATACCAAACTTACTCTCAATGTTAGTTCTAACCCTGTCTATTCAGAATATAAATGCTTTTTTTCTACATCTCTTCTGAATTCTAAGAGCTATCACTTTATATAAACTCTATGGTTCCCTATAATGCCATAGCAACTTTAAAAAATGGCAATTAGGCAAAAAACTCACCTCCTATCATTTTATACGGAATGAAAAGTGATAGTCAAGGGATTACATGGTTCCTATGACTCCTATGTTTTTCATGCAACTCATTCACATCACCATTAATGAAGAAGAGAAATAGTACACTGCAAAAACCCATAGTATTCTGAACTCTATTTGGTGATACAGAAATTCAAGAGGCCCCCACTTCTTTCCTTTCCTTGTTAAAATACAAATAATGGGCCTATAAAAACAAGCTACTTCATGTATGTTACTGAAAGAATGACCTATTAAAATATGTTAAAAATAAAGAAAAGCTCAAAGAAATAAAATTATTATTTGTGAACAATGAAGAGAAATGGCATGTGTTTAAAGCTAGAGGTTATAAGGCTCATTAAAACATTCAATTGAAATTTGTTTCTATATGTAGCTCCTCTATGTCCTTTAGATTCTTGGATATACATACAAATAATAGAGAACCCTAAAAATTTCTTGTTAACTAAATGGCAGCTGATGTGATCAGTAAAGAGGAGGAAAATCATTTTTTATAATTTGAGAAAGTCCACAAAAAAGTACGTAACATATTTCTTTATAATAAGTGCTGATTGTTTAATACAGTTTTTCAAACTGTGGGTCCCAATCCATTATGAGCGCTAAAATCTACTTGGGGAATGAAGACTAGAAACTGGTTAAAATAAAAGAATTAACAACATCTACAACAAAAAAGAAGAGAAAAATATTGCACATGGTAAGGTCAAACATTATGATTGAAATTTTGGTTTGAATTATGTATATGCATATGCATATGTGCCTGTAAGTATATATGTACTGTATGTAAAATGTATTTCCAATCATGGGTTTGAGGAAAGTGAAAAACCACTGCTCCTTGTACCCCTTGACTACCAGGATTTGGAGTTAAGGAATGATAACACTCCAGTTTATTTTACTGGACTAAAAAGTAAGTTTTTAAGGAACCACGTGAAAATGTGACACCTAAGATTTTTTTTTTTTTAAGCAAAAAGCCATAAAGAACTAAACTTAATTTGCCATGTTAAAATCTTTCCTTTTCTGACCATTGCTACCAGAAGAAATATAACCTTAGAACACTGGGTCATACTGCCCCAGGGGTCTAGCCCCACCATCTGCTGGTACTGGGATGACAGCAAGAGTCTGGCATAAGGCATGAATCATGATTAGATATGAAGCCGAAGCATTTGTTATGTGTGGAGGCGAGCAGTTAACTGCAAATCACCCATGCATGTCTCATTTAACTGTAACTAAAAGAGTGGCTTAATATCATAGTGGAATGTCAGGGGCAAGGGGAAAACAAAACAAAACAATGCTAACTCTTGCACTCCAATGACACTTTCCACAGATTAAATCCAGTGAACTGGGAGAATAGCTGTACTAAACAGGAATCCAGAATTTGAAAATAGTATTTTCACTGCTATTGTCAAAGAAATAAAAGGGAAAAACATAACCTGGTTTTTCACATAAATCTGATTTACGATTTAGAAAAATCTAACAGGAATTATTTTTACCTGCTAGCATGTAGATTTCTATATAGGTTTAGAATGTAAACGTCTGGGAACTACCATTTTTCTGTGACATAAAAAAGTAAAGAACAAATTTGTACTTTATCACTCAAACACCACTGTCCAATAAATAACTACAAAGTGTATTTTTTTATTTTTTAAACTTTTATTTTAGGTTTAGGGTACATGGGTAGGTTTCTTATATAGGTAAATTGCATGTCATGGGGGTTTGGTGTAAAGATTATTTAGTCACTTAGGTAATAAGCATAGTACCCGATAGGTAGTTTTTCAATACTCATCTTCCTCCCACCCTCCCTCCTCAAGTAGGTCCCAGTGTCTGCTGTTCCCTTCATTGTATCCATATGTACTCAATGTTTAGCTCCCACTTTTTATATATATATTTACATATATACATATATGTGAATATATATTTTTTCTTTTTTGAGACGGAGTCTTGCTCTTTCAACTAGGCTGGAGTGAAGTGGTGTGATCTCAGCTCACTGCAAACTCTGCCTCTTGGGTTCAAGTGATTCTCATGCCTCAGCCTCCCAAGCAGCTGAGATTACAGGTGTGCACCCCAATGCCTAGCTAATTTTTGTATTTTTTAGTAGAGATGGGGTTTTGCTATGTTGGCCAGGCTGGTCTTGAACTACTGGCCTCAAGTGATCTGCCTCAAGTGATCTACCTTAAGTGCTTCCCCAAGTGCTGGGATTACAGGTGTGAGCCACCATGCCTGGCAGCTCCCACTTAAGTGAGAATGTGTGGTCTTTGATTTTTGTTTCTGTGTTAGTTTGCTTAGGATAATGACCTACAGCTTCATCCATGTTGCTGCAAAGGACATAATCTCACTCATTTTATGACTATGTAGTATTCCATGGTGTATATATACCACATTTTCTTTATCCAGTATACCATCGATGGGCTTAAGTTGATTCCATGTCTTTGTTACTGTGAATAGTGCTGCGATGTGTGTGTCTTTATCGTAGAATGATTTCTATTCCTTTGGGTACATGACCAATAATACAATTGTTGGGTAGAATGGTAGTTCTGTTTTAAGTTCTTTGTAAAATGGCCAAGCTAATTTCCACAATGGCTGAACTATTTACATTCCCACCAGCAGTGTATAAGCATTCCCTTTTCTCTGCAACCTCACCACCATCTTTTATTTTTTGACTTTTTAATAACAGCTATTCCAACTTGTAGAATGATTTCTATTCCTTTGGGTACATGCCCAATAATACAACTGTTGGGTAGAATGGTAGTTCTATTTTAAGTTCTTTGTAAAATGGCCAAGCTAATTTCCACAATGGCTGAACTATTTACATTCCCACCAGCATTGTATAAGCATTCCCTTTTCTCTGCAACCTCACCACCACCTGTTATTTTTTGACTTTTTAATAATAGCTATTCCAGCTTGTATAAACTACAAAGTTTTAACTTCATTTCATATATACTTTTTGCACTGGCATTACACTGTATCTCAAAATGTATATTGACCTGTGAACTGAGGATGTTCTCAGATATCTGTGAAAACCCTTGAAACAATTTTAAAATGGCACTAAGGAGTAGTCAGGGGTTGATGATTCCATGTCCAAATGAATGGCTACTTGTTAAAAAAAAAAATCAAAAACGATGCACTGTGATCAGAAGTCTTGTTTAAAAAAAAAAGGTAGACTCTTCACTATCTGTAGCCAGACTACTATTGACATTTTAACTACACTCCTTTTTAATGTTTGCAGGAATCAATTCAACATCTTTCTCCTCCTTCACATCTAGGTGCAGTGACAAAAATGTTTGAGAATGCCTACAAATTATAGGCAACTGGCAGTTTTTGAATTTTGAGGACCCATATAAGACGGGCAATTGCTACTTTAAAATAGTATCTGTGTGAGCTGAGGCAGGAGTCATATCCATCACAATAGCCCCTGAAGTTCTTCCAGCACTCATTCTGTCCCTGAAGCCCTATGTCCTCACTCCACCTGACCTCCTGGTAGCAAGGAGGCAGCTTAGTTATGACACTGCCAGATATAGGAAAGAAAAGGAAAATTGGGCAATCAGGCCAGAGAAACTTGGAATAAGAGTAAATCAAGAAGCCAGCCTATAATGTCATATGAGCAGAGTTTAAAGCACAACTCACACAAATCGTCAAGGTCAATACAAAGTATTACAAAGGAGGGAGTAAGGAGAATGGGAGGGAACTCATAATTTAAGGTTATAGCTTGAGAAAGGCTCAAGTTCCAAACAAAGCTGCCAAGTAAACATATTAAAATAATTGCCTTTACAGTTAAATACCAAGAGGGAATTTCCAGGTATGCTACTACAATAAACTGAATTTATGATGTTATATTATCATATAGGTTTCATGAGGATAAACTAATGAAAAGCAATTGACCAATTTATAGTAAACTCCAAGTTAAAAAAATAAAAATAATGACTGCTATTACTAAGACTCTATTAGGTTAAAAGTGTATTTGGATTAGATTGGTAATATAGCTTTAGAGTAATAAAAAACATTTTAAGTTTTACTTAGAGTTATGAGAACAATAAAAAAGTGGTAAAATAGTGGCCTAGGGATCCTTACGGCAGATTGTGAGAAGACAGGTTTTCACTGAAGGCTCAGACTTGGGATTAAGGACCACAAATATGAATCAAAGGGGGGCCATGGATATCAAGGTTTCTGGGGAATTGTATATTTCTCAAGGGGTAGATTTTAAAAATAGGGTGTAACAAAGAGACTTAGCCCTATGCTGCTTTGGGTGATCTGATCTAAACCCAAGGCTTCAATTACCAAAGAGACAAGTCCCCAATCCTCTCTCCTTTTATGCAACAGAAAACAAAGCATTTGCACTTGGGTATATGCTAAATACCTCAAATTTAACAAAATCAAAATCAAATTTACCCTCTTTCCTTTAAATTCATTTTGGTCTCTAACTCAGTGAATGGTAGGAAACCCATTTAAGCCAGAAGCCCTAGAATAATTATAAAATTTTCTCTTTTAGTAAATAGCTTCCTACCCCCACATTTAATCAGAACATAGGTCCCATAGATTCCATTTCACTATTGTCTTTTGCATCTATCTTTTTCCTTTCTACATTCATATTACTTCAAGTTCTCAGTTCAGACCCTTGTTAAATGCAATAGCCTCCTCAAGTCTCCCTAACTCCGGTTTGCCTCCCCTGCCCTGTCCGCATCTTTCATCTACAATAGTATAAGAATAAACTTCTGAAAATGCAAAGTTTATGTCATTCCTTTAAATTTTTAAGCAATCCTCCACATCTTTTCATTAAACATTCAAGCACATCCATATTTCCTAATCCTATCTCTTGATACTCCTCCATGGACATCCTACACTCTAGCCATACTAAATTACTTATAGTAATCCATACTAATCATCTTATTTCATAACTCCTTTCTGCACATGATGTTCCCTCTCTGAAATGCCACCCCCCTCACCCTACCATTTTAGCTAATTCCTACTCATTAGACTCACACTGTCCTCATTAAAAGGTACCTGACTGAAAGCTATTCAATCTTTTTAATGTTATCTGACTTCCATAAACACTGTGTCTTAATTTTTTATTAAGAGCATTTGTAAAAATTTCAAAGCTCTTTCAAACACATTAATCTCTTCATTTAAAAAGTCATCTGAGATAGGGATGATAGGTCATGTTCTTCATATTACAAATAAGGCCATATAATAAGATTACACTGGAAAAGGAATAAGAAACCAGCTTTTGTGATTTCTTCTCCAAAGCTCTTCCTACTACAACTGTCATTTAGAAGTTATATGTTGATGACTATATTTTGACCTGATTTGCCAAATCATTATGTGAAAAATATTGTTATTTAACACATTTTACAAGAGTAAGAACTAAAGTAAGACAACTGAGTGAGAAAGAGATGTATAGTATTTTGGGATAGCTAAACTGAGGCAGTGATTAAATGAGAGAAAAGCAACTGCATATACAAAGAATGAAGCAGGCTGAAACAGACTGAAGGACGGGTGCAGTGGCTCACACCTGTAATCTCAGCACTTTGGGAGGCCAAGGTGGGCGGATCAGTTGAGGCCAGGAGTTGGAGGCAAGCCTGGCCAACATGGTGAAACCTCATCTCTACTAAAAATACAAAAATTAGCTGGGCATGGTGGTGGATGCCTGTAATCCCAGCTACTCGGGAGGCTGAGGCATAAGAATCGCTTGAACCTGGGAGGCAGAGTTTGCAGTGAGCTGAGATCATGCCACTGCACTCTAGCCTGGGCAACAAAGCGAGACTCTGCCTCAAGAAAAAACAAAAACAAAACAAAACAAAACAAAAAAAACCCAGAATGAAAACACAGAAGAGAAATATGCTGAATATAAGTAGCTTAATGTAAGGGCCAGAAAAATGAGAAATTAATGTTTCTAAAAGAAAATGAAAGTGTTTGCAGTGGAGGTGGCAGGGATGGGAATAAAAAAAAATGGCAATTCTTTCACTGACGACAAGAAAGTGAATTCTTTCACTTTCTTCCCCTAGTGAAGAAAACTGATTGAGGATCTTAAATAAACAAAAGGAACATGAAATGCAAGAGTTTAAAAAAAGGATATATGAAGTCATGAAAAGAAAGATAGCAGAACAAAAACCCATTTATACCGTGATTCACCATCAGAAACAGATCTCACTAAAAAACTAAGTTGTGAGACTCATTTTATAAAATTACAGTAAATGATTTTGATAGTCTTGTACTCATTTCAATTCCAGGGATAATGTAGGATGTGGGAGTGGGAGAAGTTATGTGTGTGGAAATCATCACTAGAATAAGCAGGGAGATCTGCTAGTTTGACTATTTTCTTTAAAATTACCACTAAGTAGGTCATAAAGCAGTTGCTAAAAAATTTAAGAGTTACATGGTTAAAAAATAAGATATATTTATTGAGAATGTAAACACCATGAGGAAATGTGTTAATGACTGTGGTATAAGCAGAGTATATAACTAGATTGTTCACCAAGAAGTTGAATTACTGAAGATATGAATATTTACCTATAAGAAATACAGATTTCTTACTGCAGACTAAGAGAATGAGGACACAATAAAACATAGTGAAAAAATATTTTCAGCAAAAGATCTATCTCCATTCTATTGTCAGATACCCTGGGGGAAAATATGAAGTAAATAAAGATAAAGAGATTTAGCATCTGCAAGATTTTTTGAAGTCGTCAATTTGCTAATGTTTACTGTGAGCCAATAGGAGTATACACTGTTTATCAAGTAAGTCACTTCTTAATAGGGCATCTAAGAAAATGAGTAATCCAAGGAATCTATTTAAGGAAATACTACTTTATACAAGTATGATATAAAATTTACTCCACTTTCCCAGGAAAATAAAACAACAGAAAGGTACACAGAAAAGTTAAAAAAAAAAAAAAGGTAAGAAGTCACTTAAAATCAACATTAATCTTGGCCAAAGGAAAGAGTGAAGTGGCTCACAGTATCATCTTAAAAGACAACTATCACTACGGTCTAGCATTCTAAAAGAACATTATATAGTCATTAATAATATCATTTTAAAAGAATATTTAATATGATAAACATTCAAAGATAAGTTTTTTTAAAAAGAAGCTACATTTATGTGAAATAATTCAAACTTGTAAAATAAAAAAAAAACTTTTTCATATTTTCCACATTCTATACAATTTGAAAGTTGTCCAAATCAAAATGGAGTCACCTGTGTTTAAAAACAAACAAACAAACAACCCTAATAGAGCCAGAAAAGGTCATGAAGAGAGTGTTCTCATGCATAAATCCCTGATAACAAAAACTATCACAGAAGACTGCAAAAACCACAAAGACCATCACAAACTTACAACCTCAGTGAGGACATCTGCCCAGCAACTGCATGACCAACCTGAGACTGGCCTCACTCTTATTATTGATCCTTGTAGCCTGATGGACACAGAATGATTAATTAAAAGCCAGTAGGACAGTCACCAGCACCTAAAACAACAGTCCTGACATACCCTGACAGAATTTATGGGATTTTCCGTACTTTTGAGAGATTAATAAGAAAAGGAATGGAATTCTCAAACATTAAGGCATGTCAGGTTCTAGGGGACTTCAGCAGGCTACATCTTATGGCCTATTCTCATTTTTTAACTGATGGACCAAGTATATCGAGGAAAATCCAGAGCTCAAACAGTCATTATTCAAACTCTCTTTTTAAAAAAACAAAAAACCTGCAAATATTAAGCTGACATGTAAAGCCTTCTACCTTCCCCATCTCTTTTTTTTTTTTTTTTTGCTTACTTTGATTCTGCTGATTTTCCTACTGGTGTTGATATAAAACTCACTGCTTATGGAATTCCAGCCAAGATTAAAAAAAAAAAAGTATTAAAGGACTTTCAAATTAATAGCTTTACAAAGTATAACAGCTCGATGACAACTAACGACTTAAGTATCTTTTGGAAATGTAAATTTAGGTTTGCCTGACTAACAATTGCTTAGGGTAAAGAAACAGTTAACTGAAGGATTCATAGTCTAAAAGAAAAAGAACTATATAGTGCTCACAAAAGTTAGGATCTCAGATCAAACACTTGAAAGTCTTGAGCTCAAAGAAACAATATAAAGTATCTCTGTCTAGCATAAAAATTCCTTTTTCTGCCATGCGGGGGTGAAAAACAAAAAACCAAAAACACACTAAACGATTTCCCTGCTACGCTGACTAGTCAAGCAAATCAGACTGGCAAACAAAAGATAGACTTGTTACCGAAAATTCAATGCCACTTAGAAATTTTGTTTTTCTCATACAATTCAGCCAGTCCTAGCTAAAAATGTAAACATTGAATATTTAACCCTAAACTCATGTGAAACTGAGTCAAAGGTGGGGGAAGGGTAAAAGAGGTTTTTTTTGTTTTTTTAAACTGCTATAGAAACAGTTTTACCCCAAAATTTTTGTGTGTATGTATATATGCTTAGGTGTGTTTATGCACATGCACATATTTTATGTTGTATGTTATGTCTACATAGTAAAATCTGATGTACTTGGCCAGAAATCCCTTAAGGAATTCTATTCAGATTGGCTTAAATAAATGAGCGCTTACATGAAATACATAGTAATTAAGCCAAATGTCTTTTAGTTCACGTGACTTAAAAAAACTTTGATAAATAAGCTGGTTTTAAAACTTAATAAAAATGTATTCAAAATTATCAGCATACATTTTTGCCTAAGTTTACTGGTCAGACAGGATTATATTTGTCTCTGCTAGATGTTTTAAGGCCATAACACTATAAACCCAACCTAAAACAGAATAATCTTTGTTGGTATAATTCTTTGGTAAGACTAATGTAACACTGTTTAGTTTAATAAAAACAGCTGTGTGTTCTGAGTTATTGGCAAAATACCAATATATTTTAGTTTCTTACTTAGGTGAATGCCTGATATTCAGTCTATATAAATGGTTAAAAGAAAAATAACTTGAAATGATGACTAGTTTTACCCAGTATCTCAACTTTCATAAGTAATCTAGGTATAATTGTTAAAGATAAACCAGGTAAATGTAGGCAGGATAAATGTTTACCCATGAACTTTTCAGGCAATCTAAATTCCCACTGTTATGTTAAATTAAGTAATAGATATTCATTAAATGTCTGGGTCTTTCCAATTAAGATTCTTAAAAAACATTAAAACATAAATTGCTGAACATAATTGTAAGTTTGCTCTTAGCTTCTTAAATTTTATAAAAAGCCTAAATATGTTTGGGTCTATTTTTAACATAAAAATTATGGGGAAACATTTTCTGAAATTACAAAATGATTCTCATCTATAAAAGTACTGATATACAATGAACAGTTCAAAATTTCTTGCTTCCTATGTTTTCACTAAAAATTGTTACTAAGAATTAAAATTCTAATATATATAATTTTGTAAACAAAGTACACAAAAATGTGTTTTCGATGAAAGCATAAAAATGTATTCGCTATTGAGATAATCATTTTGTCTAATTCAGAGGTTAAAGGTTGTTTCAAAATATGATTTAAGAAGGAAATAAGAAAAGGAACCAATAAGTAAAATAAGTAGGAAAGAGAGATATTAAAAAAATTACAGGTATGAAATTGTATTTTTGGTAAGAAAGGTTAAAAAGAAAAAGAGAATAATTTTGTATGAGAAAGAATCTTGTGGTAAATTTTCAACCTAAAGATGGTGCGTTATTTAAGAAAGAGGACATATAGGACAAAACAAAAAGTCTAAGCATGTTGTCAAAGGTCTATGCAGCTCACGAAAGGTTTGAGAAAGATGAATTTAGGAAAGAAATTGTGTGTGATCAAGTTGGCTATAATTAGAAGGGAATTATTTACAAGTCTTTCTAAAGATTGAGCTTTGATACTAAAAATACACTGATACAAAACTAAAAATTTGGTCCCCTGTGTTAGAACAAGGTTTTCTTGGAAGTACTGAGATTTTGATTTTTAATTCTAAAATCTCTTAGCCATCTTCTAACAGATTCCATCTAATTTCCCTAGTTTCAAGTTGGAAATGCTGTCTTTTTCATTTAGAATGGTAATTTCATTTCTTGAGGTATAGTTTTCCTCTTAAAGCTTCTCATATTCATAGCTCAGAAGTTTAAATTCTGCTGTGTCTCACTGCACATGATTTGCAGGTCATGCATCATTGCCTTCTGCTCTCCTCCTTTCTCCTCTTGAAAAATACATCTTTTTGTTTAGCTGGGACAATAACTGGGACTCTCTCTTTTTAACTTTTTCATCAGTTCCTTTTTTCTCCAGTTCTAACTCTGTTTTTGTGACCTGAAACTGAAATGTTCTGTCTTGAAGGACTAGAAAAGCAATGTTTCCTAGTAAAACTTGATTCTGCACTCTTGTCTTGTCCTGATGTATCTCAATTATTCCATGTAACCAGGAAATTTCTCAGGCTGCTGCTAAGATCCACGTGTTCCCCTGCTCAAGGTACTAATTTTATTGTTTACATTCCTCTATAATAAGGTGTAGAGTCATAACCTTAGACACACTTCTCCTTTGTCTGATTAACCTGAAGTACCTTTTTCATCAGGTTCAACTTCCAGGCTATCTAAATGGGTTTACCATAAGAAGAAGCAATTACACTGCAGAAAAATTCTCTTTACCTTTTTGGTAACTGGCCAAAGAAACAAAGACTTTGCATTTTATCAAGATAACTTCATGTGGTCTTTATTAGATTTTTGATTGGTTGGGGAAACTGAGCTTTGTAAGGGTTAAGATTTTTAAAATCCATGTAACTTTCTGTATTGCTTTTGAAGTCTTTTGATTATTACTCTGGTTAAAATAAATAATAATAATAAAAAAGACTGATTTCACAGTGACCTGTGCTACTGTTTTGTTCAAGTGTTTTGAACCTTTTGACATCTTTGGCAGGCTTTCCCAAGCTCAAAATTCTAAATTAAGATTTTTTGACCTAGAATTAACTTTGGGATTTCCCCACTGGGCTCCTAGAGAGCATCAAAGAATGTATCTCTCATCTTGTAGAGATATTAAGTGATTAGGGTTATTGGATAAATTGAATAAGAAACATTGTCAAATGGTAGGTGATACTAGATCTTTCAGTTACATGTATGTGTATGTTACAGATAATGAATGTTCCAAAATTATATAAAATGCAGAAATCTAATGTAATCAGTCAGAATTCTAGATAATATGTCATATGCCACAAATATAACTAAATTTTCTTGTCAATTGTTGATAATAAACTTCCATTGGATTTTTAACCATAGCCACTCTTAAGTCTCTGACATCCACAGTTACTGTTTTGAATTTTTATAAAAGTATTTACCTTCTCCCTCTCCCTCTCTCTCTCCCTCTCCCTCTCTCTCTCCCTCTCCCTCTCCGTGGTCTCTGTCTCCCGCTTTCCACGGTCTCCCCCTCTCCTTCGTCTCCGTCTCCCGCTTTCCATGGTCTCCCTCTGTTGCCGAGGCTGGACTGTACTGCCGTGATCTCGGCTCACTGCAACCTCCCTGCCTGATTCTCCTGCCTCAGCCTGCCGAGTGCCTGGGATTGCAGGCACATGCCGCCACGCCTGACTGGTTTTTGTATTTTTTGGTGGAGACGGGGTTTTGCCCTGTTGGCGGGGCTGGTCTCCAGCTCCTGACCTCGAGTATCTGCCCGCCTTGGCCTCCCGAGGTGCTGGGATTGCAGACGGAGTCTCGCTCACTCAGTGCTCAATGTTGCCCAGGCTGGAGTGCAGTGGCGTGATCTCGGCTCGCTACAACCTCCACCTCCCAGCCGCCTGCCTTGGCTTCCCAAAGTGCTGAGATTGCAGCCTCTGCCCAGCTGCCAGCCCATCTAGGAAGTGAGGAGCATCTCTGCCTGGCCGCCCATCGTCTGGGATGTGAGGAGCCCCTCTGCCCGGCCACCCAGTCTGGGAAGTGAGGAGCGCTTCTTCCCAGCCACCACCCCATCTAGGAAGTGAGGAGTGTCTCTGCCTGGCCGCCCATCGTCTGGGATGTGAGGAGCCCCTCTGCCCAGCCACCCAGTCTGGGAAGTGAGGAGCGCCTCTTCCCGGCCGTCATCCCGTCTAGGAAGTGAGGAGCGTCTCTGCCCGGCCGCCCATCGTCTGGGATGTGGGGAGCGCCTCTGCCCGGCCGCCCCGTCTGGGATGTGAGGAGCGCCTCTGTCCGGCCGCCCCGTCTGGGAGGTGAGGAGCGCCTTTACCCGGCCACCACCCCGTCTGGGAGGTGAGGAGCGCCTCTGCCCAGCCGCCACCCCGTCTGGGAAGTGAGGAGTGCCTCTGCCCGGCCGCGACCCCATCTGGGAACTGAGGAGTGCCTCTGCCCGGCCGCCCCGTGTGAGAAGTGAGGAGCCCCTCTGCCCGGCCGCCACCCCGTCTGGGAGGTGTACCCAACAGCTCATTGAGAACGGGCCATGATGACGATACCGGTTTTGTCGAATAGAAAAGGGGGAAATGTGGGGAAAAGAAAGAGAGATCAGATTGTTACTGTGTCTGTGTAGAAAGAAGTAGACATAGGAGACTCCATTTTGTTCTGTACTAAGAAAAATTCTTCTGCCTTGGGATGCTGTTAATCTATAACCTTATCCCCAACCCTGTGCTTTCTGAAACATGTGCTGTGTCAACTCAGGGTTAAATGGATTAAGGGCAGTGCAGGATGTGCTGCCTAGGAAAACCAGAGACCTTTGTTCACATGTTTATCTGCTGACCTTCTCTCCACTATTGTCCTATGACCCTGCCAAATCCCCCTCTCCGAGAAACACCCAAGAATGATCAATAAATACTAAAAAAATTTAAAAAAAAGAGGAGAATATAAGGAAATATATATGTATCTGGTCACTTGTGCACAATAAATACTGGAATAAAAAACAAGTATTTACAATCAGATTAACAGAAAAGGCCCTAATGGGCACTTTTTTTTTTTTTTTTTTTTTTTGAGATGGAGTCTCACACTGTCACCCGGGCTGGAATGCAATGGCATGATCTTGGCTCACTGCAACCTCTGCCTCCTGGGTTCAAGTGATTCTCCTGCCTCAGCCTCCCGAGTAGCTGGGATTACAGGTGTCTGCCACCATGCCCAGCTAATTTTTTGTATTTTTAGTAGAGATGAGGTTTCACTATGTTGGCCAGGCTGGTCTCGAACTTCTGACCTCGTGATCTGCCTGCCTTGGCCTCCCAAAGTGTTGGGATTACAGGCATGAGCCACCACACCTTGCCCTAATGGGTCCTTTTAAATGCAGGTTTCTAATAACTTTAAGATTAATGGACTAAATCTTTTTTTTCTAGAACACTAATAAACTGATGGGTTCAAAAGACTGTTAAGATGAAGCAAAAATAAAACAGATGAGATTAAATAAATGATAAAGATAATGTTTCCATGACTTTTATATGAAACACTATTAGTTATTTACTTAAATGTTCTGTTTTCCAGATTTAAGGAAACTTTCTCTTTAGGCAATTTAATAAAGTATACTTTTATGAACAAAGGTAGAAATAGTTGCATTTTCTCCTTATTTGACTGCCCCCCCAATTCAAAAATTATTTGTGAGTATTCTTATGGCAATATGGTTAACTGAAAGGTTCAATAAAAATCTATTGTTTTTCTATCAAGATACAATAAAATACACTGGTTGTGTTACCAAGGCTTTGACTGAAATATCATATTTGAGAATGTGCATACGATGCTTGGTTTCAAGGGTTCCCAGCCTCACAGTGAGTGAGTAAAAAGTGTCACTTCCCACAAGCTCAGGAACCTTAAGAGTGTAGGTAAAATCTAAAATCTGCCTTGGTTTGGCTTTGCAGCCTTAAGAGTTTTTAAATCTGGGAATACCGTGTGATCAAATCACTTCTTACAGGCAATTATTGATAAAACTTATTTTACAAACAAGTTTGTCTTACTCTGATTATCTTTGATAAAAATCAGGATGACTTGGAGAATCACTTGAACCCAGGACGTGGAGGTTGCAGTGAGCTCAGATCGCACCAGTGCACTCCAGCCTGGGCAACAGAGAGAGACTCTGTCTCAAAAAATTAAATAAATAAATCACGATGACTATACAGAGAAAGTTATGTTTATTAAAAAAAACTATAAAACACATCCTTATTAGATTGTAGCTCTGTGCATTGTTTTAAAATAGTTCTTATCTACCTGTAGACTAGAACGAATCCTAAATTTTCCTAAAGCTTTATAAACTGAAACTAGATGGATCTGAAGGAACAAGTCCTGGGCCTGATGTACGAATCACACGGAAAGTTCACCAAACCACCCGATGCCCTAACTAGAGACATTCAAACTGCAAACCAAGACAAGGAGGTGACATTTTTACATGGTAGACGGTTTTTCCCAAGGTGTTGGAACAAGACTTTTATATAATAGTAAGACTCTTACGCACCTCAATGCTACTTTTTTTCACTTGATAGGAGAATGCCATAACTGAAATTTAACAATCAGTGGCTTCTGCTGGTAGTTTGAAAGAATGAAACCTAAGAGATCTTTTTGTATCAACTGGTTAAATAAGAAAATGCCTGTGCTATTGCTAATACCACATGCTGTAACTGGATAAATTCCTATGGGAAAGTTGAGACCCCATATACATAAAATAAGAAAACAGGCCACATGGTTACAATAGGTCTCACCAAATTCTCTATGGCCACTGGAATTATTTAATTAGTTGTCTTTACGCTAGGTTTCATGGCTCAAAACCATTATGCAAACTGGGATTGCCATATTATTATGAATTTTACTTTGTATTTTCCTTTCTTAAACTTTGTATCTGTTACTTGTTAAATTTTTGCAGAAGTACAACTCCTAACAAAATAATACTAGCTCAGCACTTTGAGATGACAGCAAGCACCTACAAAACAGAGAAAATTAAACTTAATGATGGTCTCCAGATAGGCTTAGACCAAGAACCACTCACCTTCAATCTCCCTTGTTGCTCAAATGTGGCTAGAAAAATTTTAACACTGATTCCTGGTCACCAATCACCCTCTCCAATGTGGGACCAAACCAGTCCATCCCAGCACCAAGGGACAATCAAAACCTAATTACAGGAAGACTGATCATCAATGCCTTCAGAGAAAGATCTTGATCAAAAGGGAGAAAATTAAAGCTGTTGAAATCAAGAGTCACTCGTGTTAAAAACAAAAACAAAAAAATCCTAACAAACAGAGTCAGGAAAGGCTATGAAAATAGGGTTCTCATGAATAAATGCCTGACAAAAACTATCACAAAACATTCTTCAAAAACTACAACCTTACACAAAGGCTGTCACAACCTTACACAAAAAATACTTCTGGAAAGACATCTGCCCAGCAACTGTCTGTCCAACCTCAGACCAGTGTGATCCTTGTAGCCAAGGATAATTATCTCAAAACAATTATGTAATCCTTCTCATTTTTTTCTATTAAAAACCTTTGTTTTCCTGTACTTCCCTGAAACATGCATAGTTTATCATGGCACATGTATTCCCATGGCAATGCCCTATTCCTAAATATCATTTCTGTTAAGAGAGCCTCTCTCTGTTATTTAGGCTGACCAACAATATGCTTACTGTACTTTAGATTTTTAAAAAAATGTTACAATTTGTATATATCAGTTAGGATATACTGGAAGTAATAGAAACTACTGTACTGTACTCCAGTAGAAGAATTTATCAGCTCAGAGATCACATCATTGTAAAGTCTGGAAGTAGAATGAGCTTCATAAACAGGTTAATCAAGGCTCCTGCTTCATTTCTCTGAGATCTCCTCAACTTTCTCCTCGTCTGTGTGTGGCACTGTCATCAGACTAGCTTGTATCAGAGTAGAAAAACGACTATACTAATTCTAGCTCTTACAGGCACACACCACACAATTCAGAGCAACACAAAAGTCTTTTCTTCCACCTACCTTCCAAAAAAGAAAAAGAGACCAAAATCACCATGGCTCACATGACTAAAACTAATCTGTAGGATTAATAATGAATCCTGTAACCTAGTGAGTGGAGCTGAGGGTCATCTCACTCTAATCTTATAACTTCCCCAAAGGAGAAGGGTTGTGAAGCAAGAAAAGGAAGGGAAATGGGTGCTGGAGCTGAGGAGGGAAAGAATTTAAGCATTAATAAAGAAAAAATAAATAAATGTAGAAACACAGGGCATAAAAGAAACAGAAGTGATTAAGATCTGTAGTGAAAAAGAAAGCAAATCCAAATAGAATCATGTTGGCTTAAATAAAGCCAAAATGTTTTTAAAGTTTAATGGGAATAAATCACAATTTCCTTTCAAGTATAATCCTAGAAAGAAAAGAAATTCAGCAGTTATCGAATGAGGTTCAAGAAAGGGGTTGAGAATGGGGAAGAAAAAAGGGAGATATTGCTGACCAAGTAGAAATTTGATATTAATTACCCAAAGGTTAAAAGATGGCCTAATGCTGAAATGACAATGAATAATTTTATGTAACTTTTGGTAGAGGTTTTTGATTTATTGGGGAAGATGGCTAAGATATTGGCTGCGTTAACTATGAAATATTTTGAGGAAATTCAATATTTAAAAAGCATATGTTTGGAAGAGGGAAGAATTAAGTTCTATTCTGAGAAATGAATGAAAGAAATATCAAACCAAAGCACTTTAAAAAAAAGTAATATGCAAGACTGTCGGAGAAAACTGTGATTGTTACTGAACAGATGAGACACTTTGAGAAAAGATAAACAATTATTCATTTTTGTTTAAGACATCAGGAGTACTAATAAAGAACCAACTGGTAAACTGCTGATAATTCCATATAATATATCTAGCACTACAACTACACTGAATCTTTTTTTTTTTAATACTTTAAGTTTTAGGGTACATGTGCATATTGTGCACGTTAGTTACATATGTATACATGTGCCATGCTGGTGCGCTGCACCCACTAACTCGTCATCTAGCATTAGGTATATCGCCCAATGCTATCCCTCCCCCCTCCCCCCACCCCACCACAGTCCCCAGAGTGTGATATTCCCCTTCCTGTGTCCATGTGATCTCATTGTTCAATTCCCACCTATGAGTGAGAATATTCGGTGTTTGGTTTTTTGTTCTTGCGATAGTTTACTGAGAATGATGATTTCCAATTTCATCCATGTCCCTACAAAGGACATGAACTCATCATTTTTTATGGCTGCATAGTATTCCATGGTGTATATGTGCCACATTTTCTTAATCCAGTCTATCACTGTTGGACATTTGGGTTGGTTCCAAGTCTTTGCTATTGTGAATAATGCCACAATAAACATACATGTGCATGTGTCTTTATAGCAGCATGATTTATAGTCATTTGGGTATATACCCAGTAATGGGATGGCTGGGTCAAATGGTATTTCTAGTTCTAGATCCCTGAGGAATCGCCACACTGACTTCCACAATGGTTGACCTAGTTTACAGTCCCACCAACAGTGTAAAAGTGTTCCTATTTCTCCACATCCTCTCCAGCACCTGTTGTTTCCTGACTTTTTAATGATTGCCATTCTAACTGGTGTGAGATGATATCTCATAGTGGTTTTGATTTGCATTTCTCTGATGGCCAGTGATGGTGAGCATTTTTTCATGTGTTTTTTGGCTGCATAAATGTCTTCTTTTGAGAAGTGTCTGTTCATGTCCTTCGCCCACTTTTTGATGGGGTTGTTTGTCTTTTTCTTGTAAATTTGTTTGAGTTCATTGTAGATTCTGGATATTAGCCCTTTGTCAGATGAGTAGGTTGCGAAAATTTTCTCCCATTTTGTAGGTTGCCTGTTCACTCTGATGGTAGTTTCTTTTGCTGTGCAGAAGCTCTTTAGTTTTATGAGATCCCATTTGTCAATTTTGGCTTTTGTTGCCATTGCTTTTGGTGTTTTGGACATGAAGTCCTTGCCCACGCTTATGTACTGAATGGTAATGCCTAGGTTTTCTTCTAGGGTTTTTATGGTTTTAGGTCTAACGTTTAAATCTTTAATCCATCTTGAATTGATTTTTGTATAAGGTGTAAGGAAGGGATCCAGTTTCAGCTTTCTACATATGGCTAGCCAGTTTTCCCAGCACCATTTATTAAATAGGGAATCCTTTCCCCATTGCTTGTTTTTCTCAGGTTTGTCAAAGATCAGATAGTTGTAGGTATGCGGCGTTATTTCTGAGGGCTCTGTTCTGTTCCATTGATCTATATCTCTGTTTTGGTACCAGTACCATGCTGTTTTGGTTACTGTAGCCTTGTAGTATAGTTTGAAGTCAGGTAGTGTGATGTCTCCAGCTTTGTTCTTTTGGCTTAGGATTGACTTGGCGATGCGGGCTCTTTCTTGGTTCCATATGAACTTTAAAGTAGTTTTTTCCAATTCTGTGAAGAAAGTCATTGGTAGCTTTATGGGGATGCCATTGAATCTGTAAATTACCTTGGGTAGTACGGCCATTTTCACGATATTGATTCTTCCTACCCATGAGCATGGAATGTTCTTCCATTTGTTTGTGTCCTCTTTTATTTCCTTGAGCAGTGGTTTGTAGTTCTCCTTGAAGAGGTCCTTCACATCCCTTGTAAGTTGGATTCCTAGGTATTTTATTCTCTTTGAAGCAATTGTGAATGGGAGTTCACTCATGATTTGGCTCTCTGTTTGTCTGTTGTTGGTGTATAAGAATGCTTGTGATTTTTGTACATTGATTTTGTATCCTGAGACTTTGAAGTTGCTTATCAGCTTAAGGAGATTTTGGGCTGAGACGATGGGGTTTTCTAGATAAACAATCATGTCGTCTGCAAACAGGGACAATTTGACTTCCTCTTTTCCTAATTGAATACCCTTTATTTCCTTCTCCTGCCTGATTGCCCTGGCCAGAACTTCCAACACTATGTTGAATAGGAGTGGTGAGAGAGGGCATCCCTGTCTTGTGCCAGTTTTCAAAGGGAATGCTTCCAGTTTTTGCCCATTCAGTATGATATTGGCTGTGGGTTTGTCATAGATAGCTCTTATTATTTTAAAATACCTCCCATCAATACCTAATTTATTGAGAGTTTTTAGCATGAAGGGTTGTTGAATTTTGTCAAAGGCTTTTTCTGCATCTATTGAGATAATCATGTGGTTTTTGTCTTTGGCTCTGTTTATATGCTGGATTACATTTATTGATTTGCGTATATTGAACCAGCCTTGCATCCCAGGGATGAAGCCCACTTGATCATGGTGGATAAGCTTTTTGATGTGCTACTGGATTCGGTTTGCCAGTATTTTATTGAGGATTTTTGCATCAATGTTCATCAAGGATATTGGTCTAAAATTCTCTTTTTTGGTTGTGTCTCTGCCCGGCTTTGGTATCAGAATGATGCTGGCCTCATAAAATGAGTTAGGGAGGATTCCCTCTTTTTCTATTGATTGGAATAGTTTCAGAAGGAATGGTACCAGTTCCTCCTTGTACCTCTGGTAGAATTCGGCTGCGAATCCATCTGGTCCTGGACTCTTTTTGGTTGGTAAACTATTGATTATTGCCACAATTTCAGCTCCTGTTATTGGTCTATTCAGAGATTCAACTTCTTCCTGGTTTAGTCTTGGGAGAGTGTATGTGTCAAGGAATGTATCCATTTCTTCTAGATTTTCTAGTTTATTTGCATAGAGGTGTTTGTAGTATTCTCTGATGGTAGTTTGTATTTCTGTGGGATCGGTGGTGATATCCCCTTTATCATTTTTTATTGTGTCTACTTGATTCTTCTCTCTTTTTTTCCTTATTAGTCTTGCTAGCGGTCTATCAATTTTGTTGATCCTTTCAAAAAACCAGCTCCTGGATTCATTGACTTTTTGAAGGGTTTTTTGTGTCTCTATTTCACTTCAGTTCTGCTCTGATTTTAGTTATTTCTTGCCTTCTGCTAGCTTTTGAATGTGTTTGCTCTTGCTTTTCTAGTTCTTTTAATTGTGATGTTAGGGTGTCAATTTTGGATCTTTCCTCCTTTCTCTTGTGGGCATTTAGTGCTATAAATTTCCCTCTACACACTGCTTTGAATGCGTCCCAGAGATTCTGGTATGTTGTGTCTTTGTTCTCGTTGGTTTCAAAGAACATCTTTATTTCTGCCTTCATTTCGTTATGTACCCAGTAGTCATTCAGGAGCAGGTTGTTCAGTTTCCATGTAGTTGAGCGGCTTTGAGTGAGATTCTTAATCCTGAGTTCTAGTTTGATTGCACTGTGGTCTGAGAGATAGTTTGTTATAATTTCTGTTCTTTTACATTTGCTGAGGAGAGCTTTACTTCCAACTATGTGGTCAATTTTGGAATAGGTGTGGTGTGGTGCTGAAAAAAATGTATATTCTGCTGATTTGGGGTGGAGAGTTCTGTAGATGTCTATTAGGTCTGCTTGGTGCAGAGCTGAGTTCAATTCCTGGGTATCCTTGTTGACTTTCTGTCTCGGTGATCTGTCTAATGTTGACAGTGGGGTGTTAAAGTCTCCCATTATTAATGTGTGGGAGTCTAAGTCTCTTTGTAGGTCACTCAGGACTTGCTTTATGAATCTGGGTGCTCCTGTATTGGGTGCATATATATTTAGGATAGTTAGCTCCTCTTGTTGAATTGATCCCTTTACCATTATGTAATGGCCTTCTTTGTCTCTTTTGATCTTTGTTGGTTTAAAGTCTGTTTTATCAGAGACTAGGATTGCAATCCCTGCCTTTTTTTGTTTTCCATTTGCTTGGTAGATCTTCCTCCATCCTTTTATTTTGAGCCTATGTGTGTCTCTGCACGTGAGATGGGTTTCCTGAATACAGCACACTGATGGGTCTTGACTCTTTATCCAACTTGCCAGTCTGTGTCTTTTAATTGGAGAATTTAGTCCATTTACATTTAAAGTTAATATTGTTATGTGTGAATTTGATCCTGTCATTATGATGTTAGCTGGTGATTTTGCTCGTTAGTTGATGCAGTTTCTTCCTAGTCTCGATGGTCTTTACATTTTGGCATGATTTTGCAGCGGGTGGTACCGGTTGTTCCTTTCCATGTTTAGCGCTTCCTTCAGGAGCTCTTTTAGGGCAGGCCTGGTGGTGACAAAATCTCTCAGCATTTGCTTGTCTGTAAAGTATTTTATTTCTCCTTCACTTATGAAGCTTAGTTTGGCTGGATATGAAATTCTGGGTTGAAAATTCTTTTCTTTAAGAATGTTGAATATTGGCCCCCACTCTTCTGGCTTGTAGGGTTTCTGCCGAGAGATCCGCTGTTAGTCTGATGGGCTTCCCTTTGAGGGTAACCCGACCTTTCTCTCTGGCTGCCCTTAACATTTTTTCCTTCATTTCAACTTTGGTGAATCTGACAATTATGTGTCTTGGAGTTGCTCTTCTCGAGGAGTATCTTTGTGGCGTTCTCTGTATTTCCTGAATCTGAACGTTGGCCTGCCTTGCTAGATTGGGGAAGTTCTCCTGGATAATATCCTGCAGAGTGTTTTCCAACTTGGTTCCATTCTCCGCCTCACTTTCAGGTACACCAATCAGACGTAGATTTGGTCTTTTCACATAGTCCCATATTTCTTGGAGGCTTTGCTCATTTCTTTTTATTCTTTTTTCTCTAAACTTCCCTTCTCGCTTCATTTCATTCATTTCATCTTCCATTGCTGATATCCTTTCTTCCAGTTGATCGCATCGGCTCCTGAGGCTTCTGCATTCTTCACGTAGTTCTCGAGCCTTGGTTTTCAGCTCCATCAGCTCCTTTAAGCACTTCTCTGTATTGGTTATTCTAGTTATATATTCTTCTAAATTTTTTTCAAAGTTTTCAACTTCTTTGCCTTTGGTTTGAATGTCCTCCCGTAGCTCAGAGTAATTTGATCGTCTGAAGCCTTCTTCTCTCAGCTCGTCAAAATCATTCTCCATCCAGCTTTGTTCCGTTGCTGGTGAGGAACTGCGTTCCTTTGGAGGAGGAGAGGCGCTCTGCGTTTTAGAGTTTCCAGTTTTTCTGTTCTGTTTTTTCCCCATCTTTGTGGTTTTATCTACTTTTGGTCTTTGATGATGGTGATGTACAGATGGGTTTTTGGTGTGGATGTCCTTTCTGTTTGTTAGTTTTCCTTCTAACAGACAGGTCCCTCAGCTGCAGGTCTGTTGGAATACCCTGCCGTGTGAGGTGTCAGTGTGCCCCTGCTGGGGGGTGCCTCCCAGTTAGGCTGCTCGGGGGTCAGGGGTCAGGGACCCACTTGAGGAGGCAGTCTGCCCGTTCTCAGATCTCCAGCTGCGTGCTGGGAGAACCACTGCTCTCTTCAAAGCTCAGATGGAAATGCAGAAATCACCCGTCTTCTGCGTTGCTCACGCTGGGAGCTGTAGACCGGAGCTGTTCCTATTCGGCCATCTTGGCTCCTCCCCCCTACACTGAATCATTCTGAAAAGAGAATCACGTAACGGGGACATTTTCAAACAGCTCTTCTCCAGATACTCTGGCTACAAAAAACACAAAACCTATCAACACTAATCTAAAAAGAGAAACATACTTTAGGCCACCAAATCAACCAATAAAAATGAGTAAGTATATGTGTTGGATTTAATTATTGCTGATAAAAGAATAAATAAAGTAAGTCGAAAACCCGCAAATATCTTTTGACTCCCCCAAAACTTAACTAATAGCCTATTGCTGACCAGAAGCCTTACCCATAACAATTAACACATATTCAGTATGTTATATGTATTACATACTATATTCTTGCAGTAAAGTAAGCTACAGAAAAACAAATGTTATTAAGAAAATCATACAGAAGACAAAATATTTTACTATTCATTAAGTGGAAGTGGATCATCATAAAAGTCTTCATCCTCACGGTCTTTGCACTGAGTAGGCTGTGGAGGAAGATGAAGAGGAGGGTTTGGTCTTGCCGCCTCAGAGGTAGCAGGGATGGAAGAGGTGGAGAAGACGGAAGGAGAGGCAGGCACACTTGGTGTAACTTTTATTGAAAAGAATCTGCTTATAAGAGGACCTGTGTAGTTCAAACGCCAATTTCTCTCTTTTTTTTTTTTTTTTTTTTTGAGACATTCTCACTCTGTTGCCCAGGCTGGAGGGCAGTGGCATGATTTTGGCTCACTGAAACCTTCGCCTACCGAGTTCAAGCGATTCCTGTGCCTCAACCTCCCGAGTAGCTGGGATTATAGGTGTGCACCACCATGTTGGGCTGATTTTTGTACTTTTAGTAGAGACAGGGTTTCACCACGTTGGCCAGTCTGGTCTTGAACTCCTGACCTCAAGTGATCTGCTCACCCCGGCCTCCCAAAGTGCTGGGATTACAGGTGTGAGCCACCATGCCCAGCCACAAAACCCAATTTTCCAACAGTCAACTATAATGGCTCTTAAAATACACATGAGACTGAAAAAATATCAGTAAACCAATACATATTACATCATAAAAAGTATGAGGAAACCTATACCATATATCTTGAGAAAATTCCTTGCTTTTTCAAAGAAATATATGCTAATAAGGGAGTACGATATTATCACCATTACACATACATTTAAGTTACACTATTAATTTTGAGAGGTTAGCCACTCAAAAGAAAGTTACTAGATTCATGCAATGACTCATCATTAAATACTTAGGTAAGTGCCTAGAACATGCTAAGCAAATGGCTAACAAGACACAGACTCTGCTCTGAAAGAGTTTATAGTTTAGTAAAGGAGACAGATATGTATAGAAGCAGTTTTAATATTTTGACAAAAATTCCACAACATACTTAATGTACAGAGGCACCTAATCCATTCTAGGTTTCTATCAGTCTAACCTTCATGATGATCAGCCATGGTTCCAGAACCTCATTTCCCCCCCCAGAGAACTACAGCAGTTGCCCCTTATCAGCAGTTTTACTTTCCATAATTTCATTTCCACGGTTTTGGAAATTTTCACAGTCAACTGTGGTCTGAGAATATTAAATGGAAAGTTCTGGAAATAAACAATTTGTAAGTTTTAAATTGCATGCCGTTCTGAGTTGCATAATGAAATCTCACACTTCCATCTGATTCAGAATGTGACTCATCCCTTTGTCCTTTATCCACGCTGTATATGCTACCTGCCCATTAGTTGTTGACACAGACATCAACATTATCTGCTCCTGAACTCCAACCATCAACATCATCATGGCTCAACAGTCTCAGATCACCTGAAGCAAATGATCTTTGTCCTGACATATCCCCAGAAGGTCAATAGCAGCCTACTGCTACCTCACAATGCCTACATTATTCATCTCACTTCATCTCATCAAGAAGGTATTTTATCATCTCACATCACAAGAAGGTTAAGTACAGTACAATAAAGTATTTTGAGATGGGGAGGAGAGCGAGTACACATTCACGTAACTTTTATTACAGTATATTGTTCTAATAATATTTTATCATTAGTTATTGTTGTTACTCTTTTAACTGTGCCTAATTTAATAATTAAACTTTATCACAAGTATGTATGTACCGGAAAAAACATTGTATACAGAGGGTTCAGAACCACCCACAGTTTCAGGCATCTACTGTGGGTCTAGGAACGCATCCCCTGAGGATCTCTGTACTCTATCCTTTTGTAGGTCCCATGTTAAAATGAAAGGTATTAAGAGACTAAGCTAGACTAAGCAAGATATTTATCCAGAGTGGCTAGATTCAGTGTTCAAGAATATAGTCAGATATCACTGGACGCGGTGGCTCACGCCTGTAATCCCAACACTTTAGGAGGCCAAGGCGGGCAAATCACTTGAGATCAGGAGTTCAAGATCAGCCTGACCAACATGGTGAAACCCCGTCTCTACTAAAAATACAAAAATTAGCCGGGCGTGGTGGTGTGCACTTGTAATTCCAGCTACTGAGGAAGCTGAGGCACGAGAATCAGTTGAACCCAGGAGGCAGAGGGTTGCAGTAAGCCAAGATCACACCACTGCACTCCGGCCTGGGCGACAGAGCAAGATTCTGTCTCAAAAAAAAAAAAAGAGAAGAAAAGAAAAAAAAATATATATATATATAGTCAAATATCAGGGCTGAGGTAACAGCATAGAGCATCGCGTCTGTTAACACCACTAGGATGCTCACCAAAAAACTATCTCCCTCTCCATACCCCACACTAAGGCACGACTCCTGTGGCCACTTAAGGTTCCATGATAGCTTAGGGAATAAAGACACTTAGTGTGGCTTGCAGAATCTTTCAGATGTCAAAAACTCTTCCCACATGCAATATTTCACAATTATCTATCAGTTCAGTCTCGTCTTCAAAAACTGCATTTAGTTCTCGTGCTTCACTACATTCCCATACTTCCTCCTCCTCCAACCCTATCACCTTAACATGTGATTACCCCATGACAGTAGAAGCCAGACTGGCAATATGACCTTAGCCCCGAATTTGGAGATGTTTGTGTTCTAAAAACATATAATGTTCTTTGTAGACTGTGGGGATACAGTAATACATAGCAGCCTAACATGAGTGCGGAAAGGTTTTCAGATTGATTCTGGATTTACTAAATATCATGGCACTAGAGTAATTGCTTAGATCTCCCTAATACCTACGACAAATGCTGAAATTATAAAAATCCTACAATCTGGCATGGGGAAAGGCCAAGGCAAGATGTTCTAAGATAAGAGGGAATGCATGGTATCACAAGCTGGCCTTATTTAAATGATAAGGGTAAAAAAGTGTGATGGAGGCCCCTTAACAGTACCTAATTCAGGGGAACAAAGAGGGAAATAATATTAGTCAAACCAGAATTCACCCTCTCAAGCAGAGAGGAAAAGAAAAGATTATAATGACAAAATGGATCACAATCTCCCAAACCATATGGACAGAGCAAAGCAACTGGGAAAAGATTAACTGCACGACAGCCAATTAAAGACTTTCCCATCCCATAGCGGCATCCTTACACTGGAATTTCCCCCTCAGACCTAGTTTTGAACACTTTTTACCGTACCCTTTGAATCTCTTAAATTCAGACACTCACAAAACTCTAGCTCCTATCTTTCACTTTTAGCTAGATTATTCTCAGGAGACTTCCCTTGAAGTACTCTCATGCAGAACTTCTCAACTCTCTTTTCTTCATTTTCTACCCCAAGACCCAGGCTTGGAGCTAAAGTTGTATTTTCTTAGCTCAAAAATATCTGAGACATTTTGTCTTCTGCCTTCATTCAAAAACAGCTTCTCTCTTTTCAGCCTCTGCCATCTGGTAACATTGTATTTCCCCCATTCTCATCATTAGTACCACAACAACCCTCCAGTACACTGGAGCTTACTCCCAGTTTGCCTCTCCCCTTCAACTCCTGCCATCATCCTGAACAACTCTGAATCTACATACAGTGGTTAATAACTTGGCCTCACACTCCCTGACTTTAATAATTTCCACTGCTCTTTAACAATCCACCACAATATGACACCCAAGGCCTATCATCATAGGTAGAACTACCCTATGATTGAAAGCTTATATTTGGAAATCACTTTCTGATCAGTCTTCTCTTCTACCATGTCTTTTATACTTATTAAACATTTTTTAAACCTCATTGAAAACTCTATTCTTTCAACTCCTCCTTCTTTCCCTATCAGCCCTCTTTCCATAATTCATGTCATGCTTACCTACACTGGAAGAAAAAAAGACCAATGATTTCAACAACTCTAGTATTACTGCAGTACCCTAAACCCTATCTATTTATCTCACCTTGCTATTAAATCCTAGCACTGGATGAATCTAGCCATATACTTTGCCTGTTCCCTGATTTTAAAACAGTAAATTATGTTATTAAGTATGTTACCTGGTATCACTACAAATTCATAATTTATAATCTTAACTGGACCCTTCAACATTGTTCAGTTATCCTTTCACCCTTAGTCATTTCCCTTTCACATTTCCTAGGCCCTGGAACTCTAAAGATTTATTATTCCCTATGTATGCCATATTCCTATAATGTAAACATTTATTACTCTCTCTATATGCCATATTCTCCAGCACTGTCAACACACCACCTTTCTTGGTAATTAGGTGTGCCAACATTTTTTTCCTTTCACACTGTCTCCACACTGATCTTTTTAAAACACCAATCTGATTTTTACTTGCTTTTCAAGTAAAAATCATGTTTAGCATGATATAAAAGTCCTTTGATAATATGATCCCTTATGCCCTTTCCACTTTTCACCTCTTGACCCTTCCTTGCATGTACCCTTTTTGCTAGCCATACCAAGCTTTTCAGTTTCTTAATGGACTAGATTCTTTACTCACCACTATGACTTTGTATATACTCTCCCTTTGCTTAGGATGTTCTTCCCATAATCCTCAGGCCCCCACATTTTAGCTGGTTAAAATACATTTTGTTTTCAAAATTCAGCATTCCTTGGTTCTGCTTATCAAACTTACCCCTACTTCAATACTCACACACAGCACTGTAATTGTTTCCAAGTTGTTAGAGCATATTTGGTAGTCAAAGACATGGAGTGGATGAGATCATCCAAGGAAAGTGTATTTTTACTGAGTCGCTACTAT